>NC_000020.11:45708658-46011688 GCF_000001405.40 Homo sapiens | reverse complement strand
CAGCGGTAGCCGTCGGAGCGACCGTCCGTGGTGCAGGCGGAGTAGGATTGGCCTTGGAAGATGAATGGAAACTGGCAGGGTTTCCCATCAGCATTGCCGTCCTGGGTGTAGAGTCCTGGGGCGAGGAGGATGTGGGAAAGGGGGAGAAGGCGGAGACAGCACATTATAACCCCCAAGTGTGTCCTGTTCTTTGACCCATGGATGGTCTGCAGTTCATCCCATCTCTCATCATTTCTCAGATGAGAAAATTGGGCCCAGAGTGCGGGAGGGTGAATTGCAGGCCACACAGCACTAGTGGCAGAGCTGGAATTAGAACCCAGGACCATCAAGGGTGGTGGGCGCCCCCAGCCCTCGGCGAGCCCCCTCACTCACTCTCGCTGGGGCAGAAGCCAAACCGGTCGTCGGTGTCGTAGTTGGCCGTGGTACTGCACCAGGGCAAGCCGTCGGAGCGACCGTCGGTGGTGCAGGCAGAGTAGGAGCGGCCCTCGAAGATGAAGGGGAAGTGGCAGGCCGCGCCATCTGCGTTTCCAAACCGAGTTGGAACCACTGCAGGAGGAGGGGGGACCGGAGTTAGGGCGGCGGGTGATGAGTGGGAGAGAATGAAGGGAATCAGGGGCCAGGAGGACTCAGAATCTCACCGACGCCCTTGCCCAGGGACCACAACTCGTCATCGTCGAAATGGGCGTCTCCCTGAATGCCGGGGCCAGGAGGAAAGGCGTGTGCCAGGAGCCCGTCCTTCCCGTCGAAGGGATACCCGTCTCCGTGCTCTGAAGAAACAGGTCGAGAGGAAGAGGGTTAGCCGAGTACTGCTGCGCAGATTGTGCGCTGCCCAAGGCAAGGGCTCCGAAATAAGTGCGGGCTGAAATCCCGCCTGCGCGAAGCTCTCCCAGCCTGGCGCCCTGGCCCTGTGCACTGTCTGGCAGGAGGGGCCGTATAAGCCAGGGCAGCGCGGGCAGGCAAGAGGAAGCCGGGGCCACTGCTGCCTCCACGCTCTCCGTGGTCCTCCCTTCCCTGACCCCGCCCAGGTCTCTTGGATTTTCCCTCCTCACGTTCTCACCCGCGACACCAAACTGGATGACGATGTCTGCGTCCCGGCTGTACACGCGAGTGAAGGTGAGCGGCGTCACCGCGCTCCACAGTGCGAAGGCGCGGGCAAAGGCGTCGTCAATCACCGCCCGCGGCAAGTCTTCCGAGTAGTTTTGGATCCTGTAGCGTAAGAGCCAGAGGAAGGAGGTCAGAAGTGAAAGGCTGGAGCGGGGCAGCAGGGACACCCCATATCGCAGAGACTTCAACATACACAATGCTCTCTGCCGTCCACGCTCTCATCTATAAATTGCTTCCAGACTGTTTTTTTTTTTTTTTTTTTTGTCTACTTAGACCCTCACAATGGCCCTGGCAGGAGGACTTGGATTGCAAGAGCCATTTCCCTGAAGGAGAAACAGAGGCTCAGAGGTGGGGACACTCCCCAGGGGCCACACATTAAATAGTGAAACCCAGGGACGCGTCCAAGACAGGACATGTTCACCGCTGGCCCAAGAGCCAGACCTGGCCTCCCCGCCCCACCCCGCTGCCCCCACGGCCCCGGCTCACCAATAGGTGATGTTGTGGTGGTGCCACTTGAGGTCGCCCTCAAAGGTTTGGAATCTGCCCAGGTCTGGGACCCCGCACCGTGGGGTTCGCATGGCCTTCAGCGTGGCGCTATCCAGCTCACCGGTCTCGGGCAGGGACAGTTGCTTCTGGAGAAGCAGCAGCGCAGGCCCCAGAGATTTCGACTCTCCACGCATCTCTGCCACCCGAGTGTAACCATAGCGGTACAGGTATTCCTGTGGATGAAGGGACACACACATGCCAGATCTCTGACCCCTTTCTCTGCCCAGCTGGGGCCAAAGGACTCCCTCCAGACACTCATGGAGGGAGTCTTTTTTCTTTTTCTTTTTCGGAGAGACGGTATCAGCCCACTGCAGCCTGGACCTCCTGGACTCAAGCGATCCTCCCATCTCAGCCTTCTGCATAGCTGGAACTACAGGTGCACATCACTGTGCCTGGCTATTTCTTTAATTTTTTTGTAGAGACAGGATCTTACTATGTTGCCTAGGCTGGGCTCAAACTCCTGAGCTTCAGCGATCCTACCACCTCAGCCTCCCAAAGTGCTGGGATTACAAGTGTGAGCCGTCATGCCCAGCAGGGACTAACATTTAATAAAGCATTAAATGCTTTCCAGACACCAGTGCTTTCTGACCACCCAGGGATCTCCCCTCCTTAGACATCCTCAGCTCCTTCTCACCCCTGGATGCCTCTAGCCCATTTCTACCCCACAGCTGCATAAGGTTTGCCCCTGTTCACTCCCAGCCTATGCTTACCCCAGAACCCTCCAATGCCTCCCCCACCCCAAACCATTTCCCATTTCCCACCTAGGAAAGCCCCATTGCCCATTTCTGGCCATCACTGCTCAAAGCCTCCACAAGACCCCCCACTGCCTAACCCTGGACACCTCTGTTCTTCAGATACGCCCATCACCACCAACACACCCCTAAAGCATCTCCTCTGAGGCCCTGCATCCTCTCTGGGACACTCAACACCCTCACGGACAGCCCTCCCCAACTCTAGACTAGGTGTTTGCCCACCTCTGCCAGCTGCCTGTCGGTGAGATTGGTTCTCAGGTCTCCAGGGAAGAGCACAAGGGTGGACTGGCGCTGTCTGGGGGCAGCAAAGCAGCAGCCCAGCACCAGGAGCACCAGGACCAGGGGCTGCCAGAGGCTCATGGTGAGGGCAGAGGTGTCTGACTGCAGCTGCTGTTGTGGGGGCTTTAAGGAGGCGCTCCTGTGACCCCACCCCTCCTTGACAGGCAAGTGCTGACTCAGGGGTCAGGGTGTGTGTGTGTGTGTGTGTGTGTGTGTGTGTGTGTGTGTGTGTGTGGCAGCACCAGCATGAGAAAGGGCTTACACCACCTCCTCCTCTCTCCACTGCCCGCAGTCTCCACTGCCAAGTCAGGCAAGACCCCAGACCCGCAGGAAACCGCAGGCCCTCAGGGGAGGGGTAGGGTTTTGCAAACTGCAGAGCTTGTGGGAACTGTATGAAAGGGAGGGAGGGGGATGAAGCTGGAGGGATCCCCCATCCCTTGGTCTGAAAGCCTCCAGTGGTCAGCCAAGGGAAAGTGATGGAAGACTCCCTGAGACTTCTTTCTGAAACTAATGATCCCCCTGGCCCATCCTTGGCCTTTTGCAACACCCCCTCCCAGGTCAGATATCCTCCCCAAACCCCTCCCCACACTCCAGGCTCTGTCCTCTTTTTCCCTCCCTGACAGCCTTCTTTGACTCAGCTTCCTCTCCCTGCTTCATCTGGGGGCGGAAGGAATGGGCTCTGCTAGGCAAGGCTGGGGAATTCCACTGGGGCAACCCCCTGTCTTCCGCAGGCTGAATCTTCAGGGCAGTAAAGGGGACAGTAGCAGCCTCTAGAAAACAGCAGACATGGCTTTACTCTCTTCCTTCAGGACCTCGGGCAAATGTCTTACCACTTTGAAGTGTTTCCTCAGCTGTAAAAAAAAAAACGGGGGGTGGGGGGCTCTTTGTCCCTAAATTGATGTGAGGATTAAATGAGATCAAACATATAAAATGTTTAGAACACTGTAGGTTGTAAGTCCGCAACGGATGGTGGTGATTGGTTTTAATTACTAAGGCCAAGACCCAAGATTCAGGGCCAGGTATGGTGGCTCATTCCTGTAATCTTAGCACTTTGGGAGGCCGAGGTGGGAGGATTGCTTGAGCCCAGAAAGAAGGTCAAGGATACAGTGAGCCATGATTATGTCACTGCACTCCAGCCTGGGCAACAGAGCGAGACCCTGCCAAAAGACCATGATTCTAACTTGGAATCACCAAACCAGGTTATTGGGCTCTAAGCTGCAGTGTAACCTGGAGTAAATGCCTTCCCCTTTGTCAGCTTAGGATTCTTCAACTGCAAATTGGGGCAGGATATGGGGGAAAATAATCTATAGGAGCCCTTTCAGTTCTCCAGCCCTGCTCCATGCAGCCAAATCTCCAGCCCCAATTATCACACTTATGCCAAGCCTCCCTCCCAAGCCTCCCACACCAGCAGCCTCCCTCACTCCTTTCTTCCTAGCCAGCCGGCATCGGGCAGGGTCTATATTCACCTTCTTCAAAGCCCTATTTGGGAAAAACCTGCTAACAACTCAAAAAGTTGTATTTATTTATTTTATTTTATTTTTGGGGGGTGTAGTATCACTCTGTCACCCAGGCTGGAGTGCAGTGGCGTGATCTCGGCTCACTGCAACATCTGCCTCCCGGGTTCAAGCAATTCTCCTGCCTCAGCCTCCCGAGTAGCTGGTATTATAGGCGTGCGCCACCACGCCTGGCTAAATTTTTTGTATTTTTAGTAGAGATGGGGTTTCACTACGTTGACCAGGCTGGTTTCGAACTTCTGACTCAAGTGATCTGCCCACCTGGCCTCCCAAAGTGCTAGGATTACGGGCATGAGCCATGGCGCCCGGCCCAATAAGCTGTATTTAAAGGGCCTACTATGTGCCAGGCATTTTATATGCTTATCTAATAAATGAGACTGTGAGATGGAGATAATTAACTTCCTTTACAGAAAAGTTGAAGTTCTAAAGTTCACTAACCAATGAACATCTGCTTTGCAGTCACGAAGTCCTGGATTTCCATCCCGGCTCTGCCATTTTCCAGCTATGTGACCTTGGGCAAGTCACTTTACCTCTGAACCATAATAATAATAATGCATTTTTTGAGATTTACTGTGTCAAGCACCGTAATAAGTTCTCTATAAGCCTCTCGTTTCATCCTCACCACCTGTAAGGTAAGTTTAATGAGTATCCCTCCTGTTTTCAGAGGGGGAAACTAAGGCTCAGAGAGTTAAGGAATTTGCCTGTGATCACAGAGCGAGTTAATCCACAGAACTAGTGTTCAAGCCCAGAACTGCCTGGCTCTGAAGCTTTTCATCTTTATTACCATTTACAGGGAACTGTGATGACCCAGGTATAGAAGTGGGTAGGTGGATGCGGTGACAGGGGCAGCACATAAAACCTGGATGCTTCTCCTCTGGTCCCCTGCTACCCACTGAAGGTAAGAGAGGAGGCCCAGGCATTTAGGGAATCAGAGGCTAGGACAGGGGACCCAGGAGGAACTAGATTCTAGACTCGGGAATGTGAGGTCATAGAGTAATATGAGTTTAGAGGAACAGATCTTCCAATCTGGAGGATCTTCATCTGGGTGGCAGACACGGGCTTTTAGGAAAATCCGTTAACTACCCCCCACTTGCCATCAATGGTACCAAACATGACATACAATACATATCTATGTATGTATGTCACATAGCTCAAACTTAGCACTATTGGCACTTGGGGCTGTCGTGTGCATTGTAGGATGTTTAGCAGCGTCCCTGACCCCTACCCACTGGATGCCAGTAGCACCTCCCCCTGCCAGTTGTGACAACCAGAAATGTTACCAAACATTGCCAAATGTACCCTGGGTGAGTGGGAGGGGCAGACTCACCCCCAGCTACTGGTATATGTTGATTTTTCTATGTAAAGGGTCTAAAACTTTTATCAGATACTCAAACCATTGTTGATGATCTTCAGACCTTTTAAAGACCATTTACTCAACACATTCTAGTTGAGTTTTTCTAGGCCAATCATTATGCTAAGAATTGGGAATACAAGTAGTGACCAAGATAGCCTTTGTCTCATTGTTCATGGATCTGAGAGTTCAGCATGGGGAGAAATTGAATGAATAATTAATTACCAGAGAATCAGGCATCAAGAAAGGAAAGTGGATTTATGTATTCCAATTACCCTCATCATGCAATGAGGAAACTGAGGCTCAGAGTGGTCACAGAGCAAGAGCCTGCACTCTGGAGCCAGGCTGCCTAAGTTCAAATCTCAGCTCTGCCACTGACTTGCTGTGTGACAAGGGCAACTGACACAACATTTCAGTGCCTCAGTTTCCCCATCTGTAAAATTGGAGTAATAATAGTGCTTCCTTCATGGGGTGGTTGTAAGGCTCAAAGTGTTAGCAAATATAAAGTGCCTGGCACATGATAATAAGTGTTCACTGCTATGCTAATTAGGACCACCTTCAGGACAGCCGCTGTTTTTTACCAAATGGGAGCAGGGAGAGAGCAGCCAGGAAACCCAGATCTTGATTCCTGGAGTCAATCCAAATAAGAATCCTCCTTTTTTTAACATCCCCCCCAACTCCCATCAACTTCCTCCTTTACCTCCTGGCTCCCCAACCCCCATCAAGGGGAACTTGGACAGAGCTTGGCTTTCAACACTGCAGTGGCAGGAAGTGGTTCTGGTTACCACATCCCCTTCCCCACTTCCCCCAGCCTCTCTTTTTAATACCACAATAGAGTTTAGCCAAGACCCTGGGAGTGCAGGCAGAGAACAGCATATACCCTCACGTAGAGTCATAGCTTAGACTCTAAGCCCCTCACTGAGGTAGCTCCATCAGGATGGGGAGGGTGCTGACCCTGGAGTCCTGAATCACTAGCTGGATGACACAGCCCTGCAGGCCATTATTAATAACAGGCCCCCAGATCAGGGTCAGCCTCACGAGATGAGGAATCTGTCCCGCTATCTAGGATGGGGGAACTCCAAGCCTCTTTCTCCCAAACCTGCCAGAGAGGGGAGGGGCAGCCAGGCCAGAGAGGCTCTGGCAGGATGTGGAGGAGACACTGAAATCTGAGATGAAGTAGAAAGGTGTGTATCCTGCAAGACATTGCCTCAGGGGAGAGCATCACTCAAGTACCCCACCCCCAACCCACAAACACACCTGCCATCCCTAGCTTCAGGGGAATGGCAATTCCCACACTGACTCTTAGAGTCCCTATTAACACCAAGTCACACCTCCCACTTATCTGTACTGAGCACCGTCAGTAAGGAAGCCATAGGGCATAAATTTTGGAATCAGACCTCCTGGGTTCATATTCTACTACCTATCATTTATGGGCTGTGGGACTTTAGGCAAATCACTTTACCTCTCTGTGCCTCCCTTTTCTCATTTGTAAAGTGGGGAAAGAAGCAGACCTCATTTGGAGGTGTTGTAGTGGGGATTAAATGTGATTATACATGGCAAATTCTCAGCACAGTGCCTGGCTCTTAGCAGGTACACACACACACACACACACAGTTTAGCTATTATGATTCTATTACTCTAATGCTCTCATCTCAACTTTGCAAATTAACGTTCATACCCATGGCTCAGAGAAGTGCTTTAAGTTGCTCACGGTCACACAGCTGGTGAGTGACCAGCTGCCTAGGCCTTCTGACTCCCAATCCCGTGCTAAGATCAGGTCACTGGCTCTCGCAAAAAGGAAGTCCATGGGGGCAGCAGTCTAGGGGCAGGGAGGGGTGATTGCCCAGAAGCCAGGCTGGAGGAGTTATGTTTAGGAACCAACAGAGGGAACAGATGTGAGTTATTTGGCTGAAATCTGTAGGAAAGAAAAGTTGGAGATAAAAAAGGAAAATAAGAGTGAGGTAGCTGGTAGGGCAGAGAACAGTCAAGTGGAGGTTTTTTTGTTTTTTGGGGTTTTTTTTTTGAGTCAGGGTCTCACTCTGTCACCCAGGCTGGAGTGCAATGATGTGATCTAGGCTCACTGCAGCCTCCGCCTCTGGGTTCAAGCCATCCTTCGACCTCAGCCTTCTGAGTATCTGGGACTACAGGTGTGCTCCATCAAGCTCAGCTAATTTTTGTTTTTTTGTAGAGACAGGGTTTCGCCACGTTGCCCAGGCTAGTCTTAAACTCCTGGCCTCAAGCAGTCCACCCGCCTCGGCCTCCCGAAGTGCTGAGATTACATGCGTAAGCCACCGTGCCCAGCCTCAAGTGGAGTTTTATTTAAGGTGAGAAGTTCTTGTCTACAAGAAGGGATGGTGCTGTGCAGGGAGAGATGTGAAAATGGAGGTGAAAGAGAATGGGCCTGGGACCGGTTCCTTTGACACTGGGTTGCCCACTGGCAGGTAAGAATATGCTTGGGGTCCCAGCAAAGCAGGCGCAGTCCCAAAATACACATTTAAAATATTGATTTTGACCGGGTGCGGTGGCTCACACCTGTAATCCCAGCACTTTAGGAGGCAGAGGCAGTTGGATCACCTATGATCGGGAGTTGAAGACCAGCCTGGCCAACATGGTGAAACCCCGTCTCTACTAAAAACACAAAAATAAGCTGGGCATGGTGGTGCATGCCTGTAATCCCAGCTACTCAGGAGACTGAGGCAGGAGAATCACTTGAACCCAGGAGGCAGAGGTTGCGGTGAGCTGAGATCGCGCTACTGCACTCCAACCTGGGCGACAGAGCGAGACTCCGGAGACTGTGTCTCAAAATAAATAAATAAAATAAAATATTGTTTTTGATATTTGGAAAAAATCCTCAAAGTAGCCAGCTTGGGAAAAAAAAATCAGTTCTCTATTGTTCTTTTTATGAAGTCATTTCAGGGTTTAGTGTTGTTTTACTTTGGACAACAGATGGGAGGGGCACCGTATTTTCAGTAATCACAGCCACTAAAGGTGTAAATCTGGTCCTGCTCACAATGGGGAAGAGGTGGGAAGAGGACTTAATCTTTGAGAAATCCAAGGTTAAGCATTCAGCGGGGGCTCAGTCCCTGCTGGACAAATGGATGGAGAGAGCCCTGGGGAATGGCTCAGGAGGGAGAAGTCCATGTGGCGCACAGGGAAACCGGCACATATTTTGACCCTTTTCCAAGCCTGGGTTGAGCCTCTACTCTCGGCCCAGCCCACTTTCTCATACATCTTCCAGTTCAATGGTTCTCAAACTGTAGTCCCAGGACCAGAAGCCCCTGCAGCACCTGAGAACTTAGAAACACAAATCCTCCCCGCCCCAGAATGATTGAATCAGCAACTCCGGGGTGGGGCCCAGAAATCTTTGACCTAACAAGCCAAAGTTTTTGTTTGTTTGTTTGTTTGTTTTTGACACAGAGTCTCACTCTGTCTCCCAGGCTGGAGTGCAGTGGCACGATCTCGACTCACTGCAACCTCCACCTCCCGGGTTCAAGCGATTCTTCTGCCTCAGCCTCTTGAGTAGCTGGGACTACAGGGGCCCGCCACCATGCCCGGCTAATTTTTGTATTTTTTAGTAGAGACGGGGTTTCACCATATTGGCCAGGCTGGTCTTGAACTCCTGACCTCGTGATCTGCCCGCCTCAGCCTCCCAAAGTGTTGGGATTACAGGCGTGAGCCACCACACCTGGCCCTTTTTTTTTTTTTTTTTTTTTTGAGACAGAGTCTTGTTCTGTCACCCGGGCTGGAGGGCAGTGGCATGATCTCAGCTCACTGCAACCTCCACCTCCCAGGTTCAAGCAATTCTCCTGCTTCAGCCTTTTGAGCAACTGGGACTACAGGTGCTTGTGGCCATGTCTGGCTAATTTTTGTATTTTCAGTAGAGACAGGGTCTCACTATGTTGGCCAGTCTGGTCTCGAACTCCTGACCTCAGGTGATACACTGGCCTTGGCCTCCCAAAGTGCTGGAATTACAAGCATGAGCTACTGTGCCCAGCCCAGCCAAGTGATTCTGATGCATGCTCAGTTTGCCACCTCTGCTGTAGTGCAGCTTCATCCCTACGCTGATAGGGAGGGCATTTGACCCCATTTCCAGATGAGGAAACTGACCTTCAGAGAGATGAAGCCACTTGTCCAAAAGCCACACAACTCATACCAAAATCAAGTGGGAATCTAGGCCTTTCTGACTATATAAAGTGGGTGCTTCTCACTACAACATTATAGCGGGGGGTGATGTTCAAGTATTTAACAACCAGGTCCTCAGGAGCCCTAACTAATCAGAACTGATTATGTCCAGGGTCTGGGGAGATGGGGAGGGTGATGCTTTGAACTTAGAAAGTTCAAAGCAGCCCCAGTTACAAGTGGATGGGGAAATATGTCAGTATTTTATTTTTGAGACAGGGTCTTGCTCTGTTGCCCAAGCTGGAGTGCAGTGGCACAATCACGGCTCACTGCAACCTGTGCCTCCCAGGCTCAGGCGATCCTCCCAAGTAGTTGGGACCACAGGCACGCTCCACCACGCCTGGCTAGTTTTTGCAATTTTTATAGAGATGGGTTTACCATGTTGCCCAGGCTGGTCTCAAAATCTTGAGCTCAAGGGATCCATCTGCCTCGGCTTCCCAAAGTACTGGGATTACAGGCATGAGCCACCGCACCCAGCCATATTTCAGTATTTTTACAACCAATGCTGCTATACCAGTGCATACTGGCTGCACACCAATCCTCCAGTCCCCTTCCTAGAAGGAGGGTCTCCTGAAGCTGGCACCGGGTGGTGGGCCTGCAGCTAACAATAGCCCCAAAGCAAGCACAGGTATAACAAGTGTCTCGTGGGAATCCTGTTCAGCAATGCTTCTCAAATTTGATTGCACATTGGAATCACTCAGGATTTTCTCTTGAATACTGATGCCTGACTTTCACCTCCCCTCCTGTAGATTCTGACTTAATTGGTCTAGGGTACAGCCTGAGCGTTGGGAAATTTTTTAAGCCTCGGTGATTCTAATATGCAGGAAGGGTTAATAACATTGCTATACCGGGCCCCGGAACCTGTAAGAGTCTCCAGATTAAGAACGCCTGGTTAGTGTCAGTATTTCCTAAAGCCAGGGACTTTTAAAAAACAAAGGTTCTCAAGAGATTCTGGTTTAGTAATCAGTGTGATCTGGAAGTAGATGTTAGCAAGCTCCTTCGGTTTAGAAATCACTGATAGGGACAGCCGCTGCTGGCTGTGTTCACTGAGAGGTTCAGAGATTCTACCCCCTCTCTCCCACCCACCCCCAACATAGTTGAAGCAATTGAGAACACTTTGCCAGGAAGTATCCAGAACCAATTTCCGCAGCTCTTCCTTCCCCTGTGCTGCGGAGACATTGCTTCAAAGAACACGCTCTGTAAAAGAGCCCAAGACACCCTCCCCGGAGAGTCATTTCTGACTGTGCTGCTGCAGAGCCCCAGGGCTGCAGGCTGGGCTGGGCCTGCTCTGATTGCCTGTTCTTCCCATTAAACCTGGGACACCCTCATTTAGATGCGATCTGCATACATTTGCATATTAAATTCCAGTGCCCCCTCCCATTCCTCCCACCCCTGTGGCATGTTAGGGGAAAACAAAAACTAATGTATTCACAAAGCCTGCTGAGATGTGTTCAAACCTGAACTTCACGCAGCGCTGGGACTTTGATACACCTGAAGCCGGGGGTGCTGGGATGCAGGGAAGATGGCACAGTCTCTGCATGGATGCAAGGAAGGCCAGCGGAAGGGAAGCACTCGAAGCTTCCCAGGGTCTGGAAGTAGCAGTTCCAGCCCAGCTCCTGATGAGAGGCGATGCGGGATTTCTCCAATGGGAAAACACGGGGAGCACATGGAGAGGGGGCGGGTGAGATTCATGGGGGGCCTGGTTTGGAGACCATCCATAAGGCTCTCTCAGCTCCAACCATGGGCTCCATAAAGAGGCCAACTAGGTGACAGCTGGTACAGTGGAAGGGGCTGGATGCTGGAATCTGGCATACCTGGATTTGAATTTGCACTGTGTGACCTTGGGTAAATGACTTTCCCTCCCTGAACCTCAGTTTCTTCATCTTTGTAATGGGAGTTAAAATTAAGCTGATTATATGGTCATGGGAGTCATGTCTTTAACCAATCATGGAATTATCTTTCCCAAGTCCCTTCTGAGATTGGGAAGGAATCTGCTAATGAGTGAGTCTTGGAGGGTGGAGGGGCTCCAGAAATCTACACCTGCATGACAAACGGCCTCGAAATTTAAAGGCTCTGAAACAATTTATTGTGACTGTATCTCACTATTCTGTGGGTCAGAAATTTGGACAGAACACAGCAGGGCTGCTCCTTCTGCTCTATGATGCCTGAGGCCTCAGCTGAGGGAGTCAGCTGGTGGCTCAGTGTGGACTGGAAAGTCCAAGGTGTTTTACTCCCATTCCTGGATGGATTCATCATGTTTTTATTTTTTATTTTTTGAGTCAGAGTCTCACTTTTTCTCCCAGGCTGGAGTGCAGTGGCACGAACATAGCTCATGGCAGCCCCTAACTCCTGGGCTTAAGTGATCCTCCCGCCCCAGCCTCCTGAGTAGCTGCTACTACAGGCATGCGCCACCACACCCAGCAAATTTTTTGTTTGTTTTTGGCAGAGATGGAGTCTCACTGTGTTGCTCAGGTTTGTGTCAAACTCCTGGGCTCAAGTGATACTCCTGCCTCAGCCTCCAAAAGTGCTGGGATTGCAGGTGTGAGCCACCACGCCTGGCCTATTAATCGTGTTTTTTCTTTTCTGTATTTTATGATGCTTTGACATCCAGGGGCCTTATGGACCCGAAAAGGGACTGCCCCTCCTAGGGATAGCTAATTCCTAGAGATGGCAATCTTGCCTGGGAGCACCTCTTAATGTGCAAACCAACCAATCTTGATTCCATAACCCCCATCCACCTCCTACCTCCTTTTATCAGCTCCTGCAGTTCAGGATGCTATCCCCCATTCTAGATCATCCTGCTTAGGTACTAGACAACTAGGGACCACCCCTATAGCCCAGAACCCAAGGGAATTGTTCAAGCTAGCCAGTCCTAAACCCATCCAGCTTGTCTACCCTGCCTTGCCTATTCCTTCCCACCAAAATCACAATGAAGACTCTGGCCCACACTTCCCCCTTCCTCCTTCTGCCTCCTGACTGATGCTGGTACTTCCCCATGTGGCCCTGTGTGACATGGCATGCCCCCTCCTCTTGAGAACTGTGGTTAACCAACTGTCTTTCAATGACAATCATCTCCTGATCTGTTGGCCTCGCCATACCTGAATAAAAACAAAATCCCAGGTACAATTTAAAACATGGGGGTCAGCCGGTGCGGTGACTCATGCCTGTGATCCCAGCACTTTGGGAGGGCGAGGTGGGAGGATTGTTTGAGCCCAGGAGTTTGAGACCAGCCTGGGCAACATAGCAAGACCACCATCTCTAAAATAAAAAAGAAAAATATGTATATAAAACACTGGGGTCTTGGCAGAGCTAGCTGGAAGGCTGGGCTGTAGTGTGCCCTTCTCCCTTCCCCACGTAATCTCCATGTGGTCTCTCCAGTCAGTCTTCTTACGGAGTGAGTGACTCAGGGCTCCCAGAGACCAAGGCAGAAGCTGCCACTTCCCTTAAAGTCTGGGCCTGAAGCTGGCATAGTGTCACATCCACTGTATTCTATTGGCCAAAGCAGTCACAGGCCAGGAGAGGAAGATAGAGCCCAATTCTCTATCTCCTGTGATATGAAAGGAGTATCACAGAGCATGCAGCCATCTTTAATCTTCCAGGGATGGAGAGGTATCCTCCCACTGGAAACCTCCCCCGGGCATCAGGGATGCAGACATGTGACTGGGTTTGGGCCATAGGATGCTCCCCCCAGATCTCTGAATCTTAGGAGACTGCTGGATTGATGTATGAGCAGAGCCCAGCAGTCCTGAGGGTCCTCCAGGGTCAGTCCAGGCTGACCCTGCTACGCGTTCCTGATCGTGCCCACTGTGGGCCAGTCTCCCTCGACACCAGCTCACCTTCCAAGCTTGGCCTTGAGCCTTCACATCGCTGCTGTGAGCCTCCAGAAATCTGTTTAGTACATTCCTTTTTGCTTAAGTTAGCCTGAGCCAGTTTTGCTTATTTAAAACCCAGGGCCCCCACTAATACAGGACCATTCTCTTCCTTCTCCTCACTCCCTGAGTGCCTGGCTTTAACGGAAAGCACCACTGGCCTCATTTCCTAAAGCCCCCTGGGTAGCACCTGCCGAGGTCCCAGTGGCACCTCCAATGTAACCTGGTCCAAATCCAGTCCTCCCCAGCCCTGCTCCTCCCTCTGGGCCCCTCCTCCAGCTTCCTATTCATTCCCAGGCCTTCCCAATTTCCAAATCACCTGTATGGCATCCGATAGCCCCCCACAATGACATTCAAGTAACTGACAACCTGGACAGTCCTCTTTAATCCAGCCCCTCTGTATTTATTTGCTTGCATGGGCTGCCATAACAAAGTCCCATAGATGGGTGGCTTAAACAACAGAAATGTATTTTCTCATAGTTCTGGAGGCAGAAGTCCTAGATCAAGGTGCTGGCAGGGCTGGTTTCTTCTGAGCCCCCCTTCCTGGGTCTGTAGATGGCCGTCTACTTTCCTTGTCTTCGCATGGTCTCCCCTCTGTGCATGTCTGTGTCCTAATTTCCTCTTCTTAAGGACGCCAGTCATATTGGATTAAGGCCCATTCCCATGACCTCATTTTAACTTAATTACCTCTTTAAATACCCTATCTCCAAATACAGTCACCTTCTGAAGTGCTAGGGGTTAAGGTTTCAACACTGAATTTTTTGAGGGGAACACAGTTCAGCCCAGGACACCACCATCCTCTGCATTCCCACTGCCTCTGCCTGAGCTTCAGCCTTGCCACCTCTCTCTCCTGTTTTTGCAATAGCTCAGCCCCTCTAGCACCCAGCATCCAGCTCCTTATTGCCTCCAGAATAAATGCTGAACTCCTTAGCCTGGCATCCAAGGCCCTGCTGAGCCTGACTCCAACCTGCTTTTAAAGTCGTCATTGCAGTGAGGGCCAGGAAAGATGTGAATGTTGTCTAACGGCTTGCTACTCAAAGTGTAATCCACGGACCGGCAGCATTGGCATCACCTGGGAGCCAGTCAGAAATGCAGAATCTCGGGCCAGACCACAGACATACTGAATCAGAATCTGCCTCACCTGCATAAGATCCCCAGGTGACCTGATACAAGGCAAAGTTTGAAAGTTTACAGATGACCAGGCATGATGGCTCATGCCTGTAATCCCAGCACTTTGGGAGGCCAAGGTGAGAGGCCTGCTTGAGTCCAGGAGTTTAAGACTAGCCTGGGCAAGATAATGAGACTCCCCTCTCCCTCCTCCTTTCTCCACAACAGTAAAAAAAATTAGCCACATGTGGTGGCATGCACCTGTGGTCCTAGCTACTCAGGAGGCTGAGGTGGGAGGATAACTTGAGCCTAGGAGGTCGAGGCTGCAGCGAACCGTGATCACACGACTGCACTCCAGCCTGGGCGACAGAGCGAGCCCTTGTCTCAAAAAAAAAAGAAAGTTTGGCCAGGTGCGGTGGCTCATGCCTGTAATCCTAGCACTTTGGGAGGCCGAGGCAGGCTGACCATCTGAGGTCGAGACCAGCCTGGCCAACATGGTGAAACCCCATCTCTACTAAAAATACACACACACACACAAATTAGCTGGGCGTGGTGGCGGGCGCTTGTAATACCAGCTACTGGGGAGGCTGAGGCAGGAGAATCACTTGAACCTGGGAGGCAGAGGTTGCAGTGAGCCTAGATGGCGCCACTGCTCTCCAGCCTGGGCGACAGAGCAAGACTTCATCTCAAAAAAAAAAAAAAAAAAAAAAAAAATTGCTGGGCGCGGTGGCTCACACCTGTAATCCCAGCACTTTGGGAGGCCGAGGTGGGTGGATCACCTGAGGTCAAGAGTTCAAAACCAGCCTGGCCAACATGGTGAAACCCCGTCTCTAATAAAAACACAAAAATTAGGCAGGCATGGTAGTGTGCACCTGTAATCCCAACTACTCGGGAGGCTGAGACAGGAGAATCGCTTGAACCCAGGAGGTGGAGGTTGCAGTGAGCCAAGATCGCGCCATTGCACTCCAGTCTGGGTGACAGAGTGAGACTGTCTCAAAAAGAAAGAAAGAAAGAAAGGAAGGAAGGAAGGAGGGAAGGAAGGAAGGAAGGAAGGAAGGAAGGAAGGAAGGAAGGAAGGAAAGAAAGAAAGAAAGAAAGTTTACAGATGGTAAGAAAGAAAGTTTACAGAATGGCATCCAGAGAGGGACTCAAAGGATCAGGTTTCACCTTGTTGGGCCAGAAACTTGACTTTGCCCGGACAGAACCACCTCATTCAGAGGAGTCTGAGACGCACAGCAGATGACAATTCTGAACAAACAAATAAACTTGGCTATTAAGAATAGCCCAAGGCTAACAAGAATTCCAAATTCACAGGTTAAGCAAATGAAAAGGTTGCCCAAGATGGCTCCCTGATGGGTTCTCAAATTTCTCATTTCCATTCAGCAAACATTTATTGAATCCCTGCTGAGTGCTGAGCTGGGTGCTGGGCGCAGGGAATTCAAGGAGATGTGAGCTTTGTCCTGCAGGAGCTCACACACTAGGAAGGAAGACAGATCACAAAGAGACACAGTGAATAACTGGTGTATATGCCAAGGGCACCCACCCACCCACGCTCCGGGATCCACGCTCCATCCTGAGCTTCGGTTCTTGAAATACATCAAGAACTCTGGCTTCTGAGCCTTTGCACTATCCATCCCTCCTGCCTCAAACCCTTCCCACGCTTCCCCTCTCTGCCCTCCCTCTTTGCCTGGCTAAATCTTATTCATCTTTTATATTTCAGCTGAGTTGTCATTTATTCCAGGAAAATGCTGCTGACCACCCCAACCTGGGAAGGGGGCTTTTTCTGTGCTCCCATGACTCCCCTCAGCCCACCACTTCCCTTACTGAGACATTTTTCATCATTCAGAGTGAATTTCCTGTTTATTTGTCTATCTGTCCACACAGGCTGAGAACATATCATGGGTGCAGGAAACTTATGTGCTGTGTTCACTATATTCTCAGGTATTTCTTCTCTTTCTTTGACAGACAGGATCCTGCTCTATTGCCCAGGCTGGAGTGCAGTGGCACGATCATGTCTCATTGTAACCTTAAACTCCTAGGCTGAAGCAATCCTCCTGCCTCAGCCTCTGGAGTAGCTGAGACTTCAGGCATGAGCCACCACGCTCAGCCTTAGGTATTTCTTAAATACAAACATAAGAGTGGCCGGACGCAGTGGCTTACACCTGTAATCCCAATATTTTGGGAGGCCAAGGTGAGAGGATCACTTGAGGCCAGGAATTCAAGACCAGCCTGGCCAACATGGTGAAACCCCCATCTCTACTAAAAATACAAAATACCCCATCTCAGCTGGGCGCGGTGGCTCACGCCTGTAATCCTAGCACTTTGGGAGGCCGAGGCGGGCGGATCACCTGAGGTCAGGAGTCCGAGACCAGCCTGACCAACATGGAGAAACCCCATCTCTACTAAAAATACAAAATTAGCCGGGCGTGGAGGCACATGCCTGTAATCCCAGTTACTCGGGAGGCTGAGGCAGGAGAATCGCTTGAACTCAGGAGGCGGAGGTTGCGGTGAGCCAAGATTGCGCCATTGCACTCCAGCCTGGGTGAAAAGAGCGAAAACTCCATCTAAAAAAAAAAAAAAAAATACCCCGTCTCTACTAAAAATACAAAAAAAAAAAACCTAAAAAAAAAAAAAATTAGTGGGGTGTGGTGGCACTCGCCTGTAATCCTAGTTACCCAGGAGGCTGAGGCACGAGAACTGCTTGAACCTGGGACGCAGAGGTTACAGTGAGCCAAGATCAAGCCACTGTACTCCAGCCTGGGCAACAGAGCAAGACTCTGTCTAAATAATAATAATAATAAGAGTAATACTAGTCAGCTCTTTTTGAGCTCATATTGTGTGCCAAGCACTGTCCTAAGTATTTATGTATAATAACTCATTTAACCCCCACAACTACCCAGTGAAATGGGTGCTATAATTTTTCCCATTCCGCAGATGTAGAAGTACAGAGAAGTTAAGTAACTTGACCAAGATTACACAGCTAGTAAGTGGCAGAGAAGGGATTCACACCCAGGCAGTCTGGCTCCAGAGTGCATATTGGAAGACAACATTATTCACTCCATGGGGGAGGGGTCAGAGGTCAGGAAAGGGTTCAGCAGGAGCACTACCTGGGCCGGGTTTTGGAGTGTGAATAGGAGTCTGCCATGTGGAAATGGAGGAGTAGGGCTTTGCAGATTTGACAACCTCCAATCTGGGCCCCGCCTGTCAGTGCAAAAGCATTTCCCTGAAGGGCAAATGTAAAGCAATTGACAGCACTCCAGACACTAACCAACTAGGCTTAGACAGGGTGAATGCTGGGTCTGGTTTCAGCCTGAGTCACCCACTGGCAGGGCAGGTTACACACACCCTGCAATGGCTGAGAAGTACATTGTCCTTCCCTCTTGCCCCAAGGTTCAGGCTCACGCCAGAACCACCACACCTCCCTTGCAGGGATTGCCTCACTCGCTCAGCAAGGAACACCCCAGCGGGCATGCCTTCGGGCAGATGTGGGCTCAGAGCAGACCTGGAGCCTGCGAAGAGAGCAGGCGAGGTTCCTCTCTTCCCTGCAAAGCACCCCAAAACCCCACTCAGGCTGACCTTAGAGACTAGAGTAGCTTCCCCTGACTCAGGGGTCCTCTAATTTCCTCCTCTCCTCTCCCCTCCCCTCCCCTCCCCTCGCCTCTCCTCTCCTCCCCTCTCCTCTCCTCTCCTCTCCTTTCTTTTTCCTTCCTTCCTTCCTTCTTCCTTTTTTTTTTAAATAGAAAGACAGGAGGTCTCACTTTGTTGCCCAGGCTGTACTCGAACGTCTCCGTTCAAGTGATCCTCCCACCTCAGCCTCCCAATTATCTGGGATTATAGGCACGAGCCACCGTGCCCAGCTAGTCCTCCAACTTCTAAAGCCCCAGAACCTATTTAAGAAACTGGATCTCAGCCAGGAGCGGTGGCTCACACCTGTAATCCCAACACTTTGGGAGGCCGAGGCAGGCAGATCACCTGAGGTCAGGAGTTCAAGACCAGCTGACCAACACAGCGAAACTCTGTCTCTACTAGAAATACAAAAATGAGCCGGGCATGGTGGCGTGTGCCTGTAGTCTCAGCTACTCGAGAGGTTGAAGGAGGAGAATCATTTGAACCTGGGAGGTGGAGGTTGCAGTGAGCCAAGATGACACCACTGCACTCCAGCCTGGGCAACAGGGTGAGACTGTCAAATAAATAAATAAATAAATCAGTCAAATAATGACCACAAGAAAGAGAACATGAACACTAAAAGTAATGTGAATTTCTTGATTGGACCCTGGGTTTTTAATGTTTTAAATTGCCCACATTAAGGGATGTCTGTGGGACAACTGGAGACATTTGTGGGGTTTTTTTATTTTTTGGTTTGTTCGTTTGTTTTTTGAGACAGAGTCTCACTCTGTTGCCCAGGCTGGAATGCAGTGGCGCGATCTTGGCAACCTCCACCTCCCAGATTCAAGCAGTCTCCTGCCTCAGCATCCTAAGTAGCTGGGACTACAAGCATGCACCACCACGCTCCGCTAATTTTTGTATTTTTAGTAGAGATGGGGTTTCACCACGTTGACCAGGCTGATCTCAACCTCCTGACCTCAGGTGATCCGCCTACCTCCGCCTCCCAAAGTGCTGGGGTCACAGGCGTCAGCCACCATGCCCGGCTGAGAAATTTGAATGTAGATTATATGTTGGATAATTGTACTGTGGTTATGTAAGAAACTGCCCTTATTCTTTGGAGGTTTAAGGGTGAAATGTGAAGATGTGTGCAACTAACTCCCTTGTGGTTCAGAAAAAAAAAGTATTACATGTATAAATATAAATAAATAGAGAGAGAGAAGAGGAAGTATTATAAATATAGAAATATATTAACAACTGGTGAGTCTAGATGAAGGTTATGAGTGAAGGTCATTGTACTACTCCTGCAACTTCTGTGAAGGTTTGAGAATTTTTCAAAATAAAAAGTTGGGCCAGGTGCAGTGGCCCATACCTGTAATCCCAGCACTTTGGGAAGCCACAGCGGGAAGATTGTTTGAGTCCAGGGGTTCAAGACCAGCCTGGGTGACATAATGAGACCTCGTCTCCACAGTCAAAAAATTCACTGGGCTTGGTCGTGTGTGTCTGTGTAGTCTCAGCTACTCAGGAGACTGAGATGGGAGGATCACTTGAGCCCAGCTTGAGGTTACAGTGAACTGTGATTGCACCACTGCACTCCAGACTGGGCTAGGCTGAGTCCCTGCCTCAAAAAAAAAAAAAAAAAAAAAAAAAAACAGAAGAAGAAGAAAATTAAGATAAGATAGTGGTCACTCCACTGCCAGGCAAAGTATGGAGGAGTCTTCTGGCATTGTATGATATCCTATTTATTTTCCTTTCTTTTCTTTTTTTTTTTTTTTTTTGAGACAGGGTCTCACTGTCTCCCAGGTTGGAGTGTAATGGCTTGATCAGAGCTCCCTGCAACCTCATACTCCTGGGTTCAAGCGATCCTCCTGCCTCAGCCTCCCAAAGTGCTGGGATTACAGACATGAGCCACCGCGCCTGGCCCATCCTACTTCTTGATATGGGATTGTTGGTGGCATGGGTGATGTCATGGGTTGAATTGTGCTCCCCATCAGTAATAAGATATATTAGCCTAGAACCCCTGAATGTGACCTTATTTGGAAAAAAGGGTCTTTGCAGATGGAATTAAAGATCTTGAGATGAGATCATTCTGGATTAGTGTGGGCCATAAATCCAATGACTGGCTGTCCTTATAAGATAAAAGCTGGCCAGGCAAGATGGCTCGTGCCTGTAATCCCAGCACTTTGGAAGGCCAAGGCAGGTGGACCACCTGAGGTCAGGAGTTCGAGACCAGCCTGGCCAGCATGGTGAAACCCCGTTTCTACCAAAAATACAAAAATTAGCCGGGTGTGGTGGTGCAGGCCTGTAATCGCAGCTACTCGGGAAGCTGAGGCAAGAGAATCGCTTAAACCCAGGAGGCAGAGGTTGCAGTGAGTGGAGATCGTGCCACTGCACTCCAGCCTTGGCAACAGAGCAAGACTCAGTCTCAACAACAAAAAAAAAAAAAAAAAAAAAAGAGAGAGAGAGAGAGAAAGGCTGAAGGAGATTTGAAACAGAGATGAAGAGAAGAAGGCCATGGAGGCAGAGAGGCTGGTGTGATGCTGCCACAAGCCAAGGAACTCCTGGAGCTACTAGAAGCTGGAAGAGTCAAGGAAGGATTCTCCTCTAGAGCTGCCAACACCTTGATTTTGGACTTTTGGCCTCCAAACTGTAGGATAATACATTTCTGCTCTTTTAAGCCACGAGGTTTGTGTTAATCTATGATAGCAGCCGTATGATACTAATACAGGTGTGTACAATTAGTGAGAATTCATCAAGCTGTACACTTACAGTTTGTGCACATTTCTCTATGTTCTCTATGTTATACTCCTTTAAAAATGTACTTAGAAGGCCGGGTGCAGTGGCTCACGCCTACAAGACTCACCTATTTTAAGTATACAATTCTATCACGACTGTAATCCCAGCATTTTAGGAGACAGAGGCAGGCAGATCACCTGAGGTCAGGAGTTCGAGACCAGCCTGACCAACATGGAGAAACCCTGTCTCTACTAAAAATACAAAATGAGCTGTGTGTGGTGGCATGTGCATGTAATCCCAGCTATTCGGGAGGCTGAGGCAGGAGAATCACTTGAATCCGGGAGGCGGAGGTTGCGGTGAGCTGAGATCATGCCATTGCACTCCAGACTGGGCAACAAGAGCAAAACTCTGTCTCAAAAAAAAAAAAAAAAAAAGTACTTGGAAATAAATAAGCCAGAATGACCATCTACTAATCTACTATCAATGTTAATTTATTTAAAAATCTTAAAATCAAAAGTATAGTAAGTACATAATCACAAAATAAAAGAAGGACCCTCAGAAAGAAATTTAAGTTTGTGATACTCTTTTTTCCTTCATTGCTAAGAATCCACAAAAATATCTCATCATAGATAAGCACCATCTGCAGACTGGCTGCATCAGAATCACCTGGGGAGCTTCAAAAAAATATAGAATCCCAGACAGAGCCATCACCAGGACAGGATAGGGAGTCCAGAAATAGACCCAAATACATGTGGGAATTGAGTATATGCTAAAGGTGGCATTTCAAATCAGTAGGGGGAAGATAGATTATTCAATATGGTGTTGGTTCAACTGGCTAGCCACTTGGAAAAAAAGCTGTATCTCTACCTCATTCTCATCACTAAAATAAACCCCAGATGGATAAAAAACATAATTTAAAAAAACACACCCTAAAAGGACTAGAAGAGAATATGAGATGTTTTCCTTTTATAATCTGGAGGTAGAAACTGCCTTTAACCACCATTTACTGCATACTTACTCACTATCCAACTTTGTTCTGGGGGCTATAGATGGGGACAAATGGGAGGTCCCTACACTTCCAGGAACTCCTATTCTAGGGAGGGTGATCTACAACAGTGGTTCCCAGGTTTTAAAATTTCACTGACCATTAATAATAATTTGCAAATCCATTGCTTTTTTTTGAGACAGAGTCTCACTCTGTTGCCCAGGCTGGAGTGCAGTGGCATGATCTCAGCTCACTGCAAACTCCGTCTCCTGGGATCAAATGATTCTCCTGCTTCAGCCTCTCGAGTAACTGGGATAACAGGCGTGTGCCACCATGCCTGGCTATTTTGTATTTTTAGTAGAGATGAGATTTCACCATGTGGTCAGGCTGGTCTCGAACTCCTGACCTCAAGTGATCCACCCACTTCAGCCTCCCAAAGTGCTGAGATTACAGGCATGAGCCACCATGCCTGGCCTCCTTTGCCTTTTAATAATCAAGTGAGAAAAGCATTCCCATGCACGGCACAAAATCTTCGGGCCATTATGAAAAAGATCAATAAACTGGTTGTGGTGGTGTGCACCTGTAGTCCTAGCTACTCAGGAGGCTGAGGCAGGAGGATAGCATGAGCCCAGGAGTTCGAGGCTGCAGTGAGCTATGATCACAACACTGCACTCCAGCCTGAGTGACAGAGCAAGATCTCTGTCTCAAAAAAAAAAAAAAAATCAATAAATTTAGCTCCATAAAAACAAATGGTTGGCCGGGCACGGTGGCTCACGTCTGTAATCCCAGAACTTTGGGAGGCTGAGGCAGGCAGATCACCTGAGGTCAGGAGATCAAGATCAGCCTGGCAAACATCATGAAACCCTGTCTGTACTCAAAATACAAAAATTTGCCAGGTTTGATGGTGGGTGCCTATAATCCCAGCTACTCGGGAGGCTGAGGTGAGAGAAGCGCTTAAATCTGGGAGGTGTAGGTTGCAGTGAGCTGAGATGGCATCATGGCATTCCAGCCTAGGTGACAGAGTGAGACACCATCTCAAAAAAAAAAAAAAAGGCCAACAAAACAAAATAAATGACCCTGGTGTGAGGGGAAATAAAGATAGATTGCTTAATTGATACAAGGTTTTCTTTTGTGGTGATCAAAATGTTTTCAAAGTAGTGGTAATCAAAATTAGTTGTGTGTATTCCTAAAACATTTCTAGGCCAGGTGTGGTGGCTCACCCCTGTAATCCCAGCACTTTGGGAGGCTGAGAAGGGTGGTTCATTTGAGGCTAGGATTTTGAGACCAGCTTGGGCAACACAGTGAAACCCCATCACTTCTAAAAAATACAAAAATTAACCGGGCGTGGTGGCACATGCCTGTAATCCCAGCTACTAGGGAGGCTGAGGCACGAGAATCCCTCGAACCCAGGAGGCAGAGGCTGCAGTGAGCCGAGACTGCACCACTGCACTCCAGCCTGGGTGACAGAATAAGACTCTGTCTCAAAAAACAAACAAAAAACATTTCTGGAGGGTACACAAGGAACAGATAATCATGTTAGCCAGGCTGGTCTCGAACTCCTGACCTCAAGTGATCTGCCCTCCTCGGCCTCCCAAAGTGCTGGGATTACAGTCGTGAGCCACGTGTGCCCAGCCCATATACATATATATATATGTATTTTTTTGTTTTTGAGGCATTGTCTCATTTTGTCACCTGGCTGGATCGTGCAATGGCACGATCACAGCTCACTGCAGCCTCGACCTCCTAGGCTCAAGCAATCCTCCCACCTCAGCCTCCGGAGTAGTTGGGACTACAGGCACGCGTCACCATACTCGGCAATTTTTTTTAACTTTTTTTTAGAGACGGGGGGGGGGGGGTCTCCCTGTGTTGCCCAGGCTGGTCTCGAACTCCTGGCCTCCCAAAGTGTTGGGATTAGAGGCCTGAGCCATGGCGCCTGGCCACCCAGAAGGTTCTGCTGGGAGGAGGGGCCAGATGAGGCTGAAGCATCTGCATCTTTTGGAAGGTCTGTTTGAGGCAGCTCCGCAGCCCGCTTGGGGAGATAAACCTCTCTTGGCATGCCCCTGGCTTTGCACGGGCTAACACCGCCACTCTCTGCAGCCCCTGCGCGTGGTCCCCAAGGTCCGCCTGGATGGGCCACTGGACAGGTCTCCAGCCCGGCCTCCTGGTTCAGGTCTGGGAGACCTGGTGGAGGCAGCGGGTGCCCCCTGCTGGCAGCAAACGGGAGCTGAACAGAGTGGTCCCTCCATCCTTTCACCCCACCCTCCTCGCCCAGCCTTTAGGGCTCCTTGAAGGCATTCTCCACTTACATCTCTTCTGGTTCCAAAACACGTTCATACATAACGTAGACGTCCTAATTGCACCATTTGTGAAGACTTCATTAGGGATGAATAAATAACAGAGTCTGCCAGAGCTCAAATCCTGGTCTGGGACCTGACTGCTGTGTGACCTCTGGCAAGTCATTGGACATCAGAATAACTCAGCTCCTCATGGATAAAATGGGGACAGTCATATTACCTAGCTCATAGGACTGCTTTGAGGATTACAGTCAAAGCGTAAAGTGTCCAAAGTGGTGCCCATCAAGCAGCAAGCATTAGTTACTATTAGGTGCTAGACCCAGGGCTCATGATTTCAGTGACAGAGAGCTCACCTGTGCCAGACGCCATTCTGCGTTCTTCCTGGTGAGGAGATCATTTAATATCACATCTCCATGAAGTAAGTGTGCTTATCTTCACCCTCCACTTTCCAGGGGAGGAAACCAAGGTACAGAAAAACCTAGCAATTCCTAGACAGGAAGGGGCTTAAAAAAAAAGAACTGCCGGGATTGATGGCTCACACCTATAATCCCAGCACTTTGAGAGGCCGAGGTGGGAGGATCAATTGAGGTCAGGAGTTCGAGACCAGCCCGGCCAACATGGCGAAAACCCATCTCTACAAAAAAAAAAAAAATACAAAAAATCAGCTGAGCGCAGTGGCGAGAGCCTGTAATCCCAGCTACATGGGAGGCTGAGGCAGGAGAATCACCTTTGAACCCAGGAGGTGGAGGTTGCAATGAGCTGAAATTGCGCCACTGCACTCCTGCCTGGGAGACAGAGGGAGACTCTGTCTGAAAAAAAGAAAGAAAGAGAGAGAGGGGAAAGAAAGAAAGAGAGAAGGAGGGAGGGAGGAAGGAAGGAAGGAAGAAGGAAGGAAGGAAGGAAAGAAAGAAAGAAAGAAAGAAAGAAAAGAAAGAAAAAGAAAAGAAGAAAGAAAGAAAGAAAGAAAGAAAGAAAGAAAGAAAGAAAGAAAGAAAGAAAGAAAGAGAAAGAAAGAAAAGAACCAAGCAACTTAAGGTGGTGGAACATGATTTGAACCCAGGGAAACCTACTCCAGAGCCCATACTTTAATCACTACATCTTCACAGCAAACTGGTGTGACAGGAGCTGTGCCCATTTGCTAGGTAGGGAGACTGAGGCTTAGAGAGGT
This sequence comes from Homo sapiens, assembly GCF_000001405.40. Taxonomy (NCBI): domain Eukaryota; kingdom Metazoa; phylum Chordata; class Mammalia; order Primates; family Hominidae; genus Homo; species Homo sapiens. The sequence goes on along the minus strand of NC_000020.11, from coordinate 45,986,201 downwards.
GAAGTGACTTGCCTCAGATCATAGATTAATTGGTAATTGAGTCCTCACCTGGACTTGACCCAGTTCTGTCTCCTTGCATTGTCTCATGTCATCCCTTGGCAACTCAGCATGTGTGGTGACTCTGTGTGACAAGTGAGGACGCCCAACTGAGATGATTGAGTGACTTGCTAAGGTCACAGAGCAAGTAAGTAGGGAGCTTGTTCTGTTGGGTTCGGGGCTCAAGGACATTCTGTTCGGGGCCCAGCACCTCCTCAGCGCCCTGCTGAAGCCCCTGGCTATCTCTTGTCTTGACAATCACAGCTCGTCTTCCCCAGCCACTTGCTTTCAGGCCAACCTCGGCACAGCTGTCAAAGTCATGGTCTCAAGCTGTCATTCTGCCTGAGCCTGGCCTCAGCATTGGCTCTCATGGCTTCCCGTATGGCTTGAGGCTCAGCTTCCATTCCCCTGCCTCCTCCTGCCTTCCATTCCCCTACCTCCTCCTTCCTCTGGGAGGCAGCTTGGGTACAGTGAAAAGAACAGGGAGGACCAGGCATAGTGGTTCATATCTGCAATCCTAGCACTTTGGGAGGCCTAGGCAGGTGGACCACTTGAGGTCAGGAGTTCGAGACCAGCCTGGCTAAAGCGGTGTCTCTACTAAAAATACAAAAATAAGCTGGATGTGCTTGCTTGAACCCAGGAGGTGGAGGTTACAGTGAGCCAAGATCTTGCCACTGTACAGCCAAGATCTTGCCTGGGAGACAGAGCGAGACTCTGTCTCAAAAGAAAAAAAAAAGAAAGAAAAAAGAACAGGGGGTTGAGTCAGACAGTCTGGAGTTCAAATCCAACTGTGCTCCTTCATTTCTGTATGACCTTCGGTGAGTGTCTTCACCCCTGGAACTCACATTTCATCACCTCTGAAGTGGGCATAACAATCTGTGCTTTGCAGGCTGCTGTAAGGATGAAATGCAATAAAGTGTGTACAGCACTTGGCACACAGTAGATGCTCAATAAGTGTTAGATTCCTTTGCTAGTCCTTTGCTCTAGACCCTTGTCTGCTTCCATGCATGCCCCCTCCTCCCAGGCTCCAAAGTCCCCACCTTTAATCCCAGGGTGGTCCCTTGACCTGTTGGAGAGGCCTCAGTGCCAGGGTTGGGCTGGTGGTGTAGGCCGAATATCCTCTGTGGTGCCTGGGACAGAGGGGAAGGTCACAGAACTAGACACTGGACTCACAGGCAGACTGATGTTATCAAATGAAACTCAGCCATTGTTCTATGGCCCAGAAAAGATTGATTGAAGCCAGGGGTGGTGGCACACATATGTAATCCCAGCACTTGGGGGGATTGAGGCAGGCAGATCGCTTGAGTCCATAAGTTAGGGACCAGCCTAGGCAACATGGTGAGACCTCGTCACTACAAAATAAAAATTAAAAAAAGGCCAGGCGCGGTGGCTCACGCCTGTAATCCCAGCACTTTGGGAGGCCGAGGCGGGCGGATCACGAGGTCAGGAGATCGAGACCATCCTGGCTAACACGGTGAAACCCCGTCTCTACTAAAAATACAAAAAATTAGCCGGGCGTGGTGGCGGGCGCCTGTAGTCCCAGCTACTCGGGAGGCTGAGGCAGGTGAATGGCGTGAACCCGGGAGGCAGAGCTTGCAGTGAGCCGAGATCGCGCCACTGCACTCCAGCCTGGGCGACAGAGCGAGACTCCGTCTCAAAAAAAAAAAAAAATTAAAAAAAAAAATTCGTGTGGTGCAGGCCTGTGGTCTCAGCTACTTGGGAGCAGGGGAGGCTGAGGTGGGAGGATCGCTTGAGCTCAGGACGTCAAGGCTACACTGAGCCATGTTTGTACCACTGTACCCTAGCCAGGGTGACAGACCAAGACCCTGTCCTAAAAAACAACCCCAAAGATTGACTAAGCACCTACTACGTTTCAGTGACTATGCTTGGTAATGGGGCTACAGTGGTCAACAAGAAAGACAAGATCCTGGCCAGGTGCGGTGGCTCACACCTGTAATCCCAACACATTGAGAGGCCAAGGCTGGAGGACTGCTTGAGGCCAGGAGTTCAAGACCAGCTTGGGTAACATAGTGAAACCCCCATCTCTATTTTTTTTTAATTAAAAATTAAAGGCCGGGCACGGTGGCTCACGCCTGTATTCGCACCATTGCACTCCAACCTGGGTGACAAGAGCAAGACTCCATCTCAAAAAAAGAAAGAAAGAAAGAAAGTTCCCTGTTTGATATATATCCTCTTACCTATGCAACGTTCAGGCATGTGACTAGGCACCACACATAATAATACTAGGTACATTTATTAAGCACTTGCACTGTTTTCCACACAGTTTAATTTAATCCTCACAGATACCATATGAAATATTAATATCATCCCTAGTTTATAAGAGAGAAACAGAGGAGTAGAAAGTTAAGTAACTCCAAGCGGAGCTGGGGGTTGACTGCAGATGTTCTGATTCCAGAGCCTATGAGCTTAACTGCACTGCCACGCATTCTCTCTTTTACTCCTCAAAGTTCCCGTTTTACAGATGAGGAGACTGAGACTTGTGGACCCTCAGTTTGGTCTGACTCTAGAGTTCCTTGCCCCATGTTATCCTTCCAACAGCTGACTCATTCAACAATCATTTTCTGCTCAGCAGAGAAACAAACCAGACTCAGGACTGGCTTTGGGAGGCTCCGTCCATCGAGGAGCCTGGCAGGTAACTGGCAGCATCTCACGGTGGTGTGTGTTCTGTGACAGAGGTAGGCAGAGCATGCTAGGGGAACGCGCTGAAGGGAAATACCAGCTCTGCTGGGAAGAAGGCTTCCTGGAAGAGGTGATACTTAAGGCAGACATAGAAAGATAAAGAGACTAAAAAGGTCACATGGACTTGGGGGAGGGGCACTGCCTGACAATGCATACACAATGCAATCCTTCCTAGGTATGGGATAATTTGGGCCAGGTAATTTTTCTGTTTGTCTCAAATCCATTCTCTGCCCTTCTGCTCTGCTCCGTGCAGCAGAGGCTAATCCCTGCAAACCATGTTTCCTGGACTCCCTTGCCAACTGGCTTTTGGCTAGGATTGGCCAATGGGAAGTCCTGGTGAGAGACTGGAGAGAAAGAAGGGAGAAGCCAGGGTCTTTCTCCTCCATTTCTCTCGTCTTCGGGAAGGATGGGGTGGGGGGATCTTTAGCAGTTGCAATGACTCCTTCATGGTTCAGCTCCTGCTAGACAGACCTGCTGTGATTCCAGCTTCTCTCAGGGTGGCCCCAGTTGCTGGTCTCCAGTAATGCTACCTCCTCCCTTGATATGAATACTTCCAGCCCTGGGTGAGGTAGCAGCTTCATGAAGTTGCTAATCTCAGGTTTGCCTCAACTTCCCCTGGTTGCTATTTCTACCCATAAAACAACTTTGTAGCTAATTCTCCACATTAAGTTCCCTCTGTGTGTTGTGTTGTGTCTTGTGTGTATGTGTTTAGAGGCAGAGACAGGGTCTTGCTCTGTTGCTCAGGCTGGAGTGCAATGGCGCAGTCATAGCTCACTGCAGACTCAAACTCCTGGGCTCAAGCTATCCTCCCACCACAACCTCCCCAATAGCTAGGACTACAGGCACATGCCACCATGCCCAGCTAATTAAAAAAAAAACAATGTTTTTGTACAGACAAGGGTCTCACTATGTTGCCTAGGCTGGTCTCAAACCCCTGACCTCAAGTGATCCTCTCACCCTGGTCTCCCAAAGCGCTGAGATTACAGGCGTGAACCACTTCATCTGGCCTAAATTCCCTCTTTGGAATCATCTAGTAGTGGTAGAAGTCTTGTTTTCCTGGCTAGACCCCTGATATTCTGGGTCTTTGTTTCCTTGTCTATAAAATGAGGGTTCATTGGTTCATTCATAGAACAAATAGCTATCTAGTATCTACCTGTATCTCCAAAATGTGCTCAATGGTGAGGATACCACAGGAAACAAGACAGATTAAAGGAGACAAAAATCCAGGCCCTGCCTACCCTTTATGTCTTTGTAATGATCAGATGAGATGTTTCCATACATGTCGCCTGCTGCCTGGTGTCAGGAATTACCATCACATACAAACAGTCAAATACTATTTGGACTTCAGCCTATTTTCTTTTTCTTTTATTTTATTTATTTATTTATTTTGAGACAGAGTCTTGCTCTGTGGCCCAGGCTGGAGTGCAGTGGCACAATCTTGGCTCACTGCAACCTCTGTCTCCCCAGTTCAAGCAATTCTCCTGCCTCAGCCTCCCGAGTAGCTGGGATTACAGGCGTCCGCCATTATGCCCAGCTAATTTTTGTATTTTTAGTAGAGACGAGGTTTCGCCAGGTTGGCCAGGCTGGTCTTAAACTCTGACCTCAGGTGATCCACCCACCTTGGCCTCCCAAAGTGCTGGGGTTACAGGCATGAGCCACCGCACCCAGCCCATTCAGCCTATTTTCTAAATCCAAGTGTTGTGGCCCTAGGGCATTTCCCCACTACCCCATCCCCCTCCAATACTGAAAGAGAAAGATTTAGGACAAATAGAAGGAAATCTTAATTTACACCGTGGGAAGTCAACTTAAGGGACTCATTATCCCAAGTGGTGGTACAGTCTTAAGCTATAAATAGGTTTTTAAAAACAGGGTTAGCTAAACCCATAGACAGCAGTGACATGAAGAAAGCAGGTAGAGATGAACCCTCGGACCCACCTGCTGGCTGCCTACTCTCAACCCCGCTGCCCTTCCGGGGCATCTGGTGCAACATGAGGAGCACTGGACTGGGAGTCAGTAAGCCAGGGTTTGAATCCTACCTCTGCTGACGATCAAGCACATGACCTCAGACAGTCACTGCTCTGGGGCCTCAGGTTCCTCATCCGTAACATGGGAATGCAGAGAGCATCTAATATCTCTGGCTGTTGTGACTGTAGTTTAAAAATGCACATAGGGCCGGGCAAGGTAGCTCACATCTGTAATCCCAGCACTTTGGGAGGCTGAGGTGGGTGGATCACCTGAGGTCAGGAGACTAGCATGGCCAACACCGCAAAATCCCGTCTCTACTAAAAATACAAATTAGCCGGGCATGGTGGTGCGTGCCTGTAATCCCAGCTACTCGAAGGCTGAGGCAGGAGAATCGCCTGAGCCTGAGAGGCGGAGGCTGCAGTGAGCCGAGACTGCACCACTGCACTCCAGCCTGGGCGACAGAACGAGACTCCATCTTAAAAAAGAAAAAGACCAGCCTGGGCAACATGGTGAAACCCCACCTCTACCAAAAAAATATACAAAACTTTGCCAGGTGTGGTGGTGTGCACCTGTAGTCCCAGCTGCTCAGGAGGCTGAAGTAGGAGGATCACTTGAGCTTGGGAGGACTGGTTGCAGTGAGCCAGGGTCTGCCACTGCACCCCAGCCTGGGCAACAGAGCCAGATCCTGTCTCAAAATAAAAATAAAAATGCATACAAAACACTGAATGCATCCCCTGATACTTGGTAAGTACCCAGTAAACATTCACCCAGCCGGGGTAATATGGGGAAAACCCATCTCTACAAAAAATACAAAACAATTTAGCTGGGTGTAATGGCGCGTACCTGTAGTCCCAGCTGCCTGGGAGGCTGTGGTGGGAGGACTGTTTAAGCCTGGTAGGCAGTGGTTGCAGCGACCCATGTTTGCACCACTGCATTCCAGCCTGGGTAACAGAGTGAGACCCTGTCTCAAAGAAAAAACAAAAAAGCCAAAAACAAACAAACAAACAAACAAACAATCTGCTAGTGGCCGGGCGCAGTGGCTCGCTCCTGTAATCCTAGCACTTTGGGAGGCCGAGGTGGGCGGATCACGAGGTCAGGAGTTCGAGACCAGCCTGACCAACATGGTGAAACCCCGTCTCTACTAAAAATTCAAAAAAATTAGCTGGGCGTGGTGGCGCGTGCCTGTAATCCCAGCTACTTGGGAGGCTGAGGCAGGAGAATCACTTAAACCCGGGAGGCGGAGGTTGCAGTGAGCCGAGTTTACGCCACTGCACTCCAACCTGGGCGACAGAGCGATGCTCTGTCTCAAAAAAATAAATAAATTAATTAAAAACTGCTAGTGTGATTATTATCTACTGCAGGAGATCTGGCCTGGGCTCACAGCCCCTTCCATTACACCAGAAAATTTCTGTGATCTTGAGCAAGTCAAATCCCCTCTCTGGGCTTCAATTTCCTCATCTGTAAAATGGGAAAATAGTAACCACCAGGCCTGACTCAGGAGAAGACAAAATATCACCTAAGAGTCAAGCATTATGATGAGAAATGGTACAGCAATCTAAAAGTATGGAGTCTAGAGCCAGATTGCTTAGTTTTCTTTTTTTTAAATAAATGAAAAAATTTTTATTGAGTATTACTTTATACATGTAAATTAAAAGTGAATCTATATTAAGTTGACTATTCTACAATAAAAACCTATGCAATGGGAATAATCAAAGCTGTCTACACAATACTAATGTGGTCAATAAATTACCCAGATGTTTTTCCACAAATATTTGGATTACCTGAATTAGCTGATTTTTCCACAAAAGTTAAATTTGAGCTTTAATATGGTAGCAGCAGGATGCTGCTTAAGTTTAGAAGAAAAACATAAGAATAAAAACCCTGAATAGCATAACCAAATCTTCCAAGAAATAAGTTCACCAAAAAAGTAGCATACACCTATTTGGTATCCAGAGGAGGAAACAAAACAAAACACAGGCACTTAATCAACATCCACCAAGTGATCATCACTAACATTCTATTATTACCAGAGCAACTGTCAATACGTGAACCGTAGATTAGGACAGACTTACATATCTAAAAACAAACCAGTAATCAATAATATATACAGAAATACTAACTTGCAGTCACATTTAAATACCATCAACAGTTTGGTGTATCTGATATAGACTGAATTCATTTCATCACTGCTATAAATTCCTTAAAAGTGTTCTTTTCCTAATGTAACATTATCTTTAAAAAATGGTAAGATATTTCCCAATATGCATCAGTTCTTTCACTCACCCATTCAATAAATGTTGCAGCAAATTAAATAGAACCTATTAACTAGATCTAAAAACAATGGCTGAATAATTAACACAAAGAAGTACTTTTGAGTAAACTATTCAGATTAGACAGGCTAATGCTAACTAAGACTGCATTTTGTGCTACTGACATGCACTATATAGATCGTACACTACTAGATGGAAGGTTGGTCCACGTCCATTTATTTAAAGATTCTGTAACACCTATAATAGTATTTAATACAGCTCCCACACATAATATTCCTCTCACATAGACATAGTTATTTTTAGTGGGGATAAGGTATGACTTTAACATGCTATGAGATTCTAGCTAAGTAAAATAAAAACAATATGGGCTCAGGTTTTCTTAGGTAATATTAGTTCAAGTTTTTAAACTGGGAAACAACCAACTTCCATATATCCAGGAGAAACTTAGCATGGGGGGAGGTGCCTTAGTTGATGTGCCTGATAAGCAAACTGTTAGTCGTCTATTAGTATTATGTTTTCAGCTTAATGTAACAACAAAAGAAAGGTGTCACACTACTTCTCAGATAATATGGGAATTACAATTACAGATAATATGGGATTACAATTACAATCCCATGGGATATCCTTTATTTATGAAAGCATAGTTCCAATGCAAAAGTCAAGCTTTATGGTTACATATTAGGATAGGTTCAGACCCAATATGACCATGTTTAGCACTAACTTTAACATGTTAAAGTTCTGATTCCTGAATGTTTTTCTCACTTAATATATTATCTCCAATGACAAGCTGGTGTGTCTGGCTTCTTATGCTGAAAATATATGCCTGAATCCTGTAACAAGTTATTAACAAAATCATGAATAGTTATTAAATAAGTGCCAGCACTACATGGAACTTACTGGTCACCAACTCAGAACGATAAAACTACACACATATGCACACAAAAAAACCCCAAAGAAACATACCTATCACTGTACATATGAATACTGTCCAGGATATCAGATCAATTATCAAATCCAAGGTCTCTGCTGTTTTGTCTTACAGTGTTGAATATATGAATGCTTCTCTATTACACTGACTTGTATTATTTTCAAGAAATTATTAAGTGGATTCAAAATCTTACATTTTTATTTCTAATTATAAAATCCAGATTAATCCAGAAAACACAAACCACATGTAACTGAGGTAGGTTTTTCACCTTAAGGATACATTGCTTCTACCACAATTTAAAATTTTTAAAATTGAAGAAAAAAAAAAGACTACATTGCTCCCTATACCTGCCTCTGATACTTAATTTTCTACGTTTGAAACTACTTGAACAAGTGTGACAGTGCTCTACTATATTTAGTAAATCCCTTAGTACCTACAAATACACACCCAAAATCCCTTCCCCCCTTCTCTAATGGTCACTGTTGTATAAAAAAATTGCCAACAACTCTAGAAAGATGAAATAAAGATTACTATAGCAATCTTCAGTTAATTCATTTCAGAAATCAAGGAAGCAAGTTACGTTCATTTTAAAGATGACAAACTTACTATTTTGAAAATGAGCTCATAAACACATTAGAACTTTGAATGTGCTTTAGTATGCCACAAATTCCCAGGAGATTTAAGAAATAGTATTTCTGAACAGAAATAATAATTTCACAAATACTTTATTGACAATAGACAAGTCTTTTAGGGTAGTGCACCTGTATTAAAAACTGCCTTCTAACAATCTCAACACTTTTTATAAATTTTCAGGGGAAACTGTAGCAGATCCTACTTTATTTTTCAATAGTTAGTGTAAAAGTCTGTATGTAAAATAAATACATATTTTAAGGAGATAGAAGAAGGACTGCACATGAAATGCTTTGACTAAGTTGTAAGGCTCCTGTCTTTACACTATCATTATGTTAAAAAGGCCAAAAAAAGTCACTGCTAGAAACATTCCCCCAAAAATTCTTAAACAGCTCAGTCTTTAAAAGTATTAATAATTTTTTTTTTGAGACAGAGTTTCATTCTTGTTGCCCAGGCTGGGGTGCAATGGTGCGATCTCAGCTTACCGCAACCTCCGCCTCCTGGGTTTTCAAGCAATTCTCCTGCCTCAGCCTCCCGAGTAGCCAGGACTATAGGCATGCGCCACCACGCCTGGCTAATTTTGTATTTTTAGCAGAGACGGGGTTTCTCCATGTTGGTCAAGCTGGTCTCCAACTCCCGACCTCTGGTGATCCACCTGCCTCGGTCTCGCAAAGTGCTGGGATTACAGGCATGAGCCACAGCACCCAGCCTAACAGATTGCTTAGTTTTCAATCCTAGCTCCATCCTTTACTTAGGTAGATTCTTTTATTGTTCTGTGCCTCAGTTTCCTCATATGTAAAATGGAGATAATAATGACAACCACTTCGTAGGTTCATAGGGTGGTTGTGAGGATAAATAAATGAATGTAAATAAACCACTTAGAATGGTGACCGGCACAGAGTAATTTAAGGTATTTCTTTTTTTGCTTTTGTTTTTGTTTTTGTATTTTTGAGATGGAGTCTCTATCGCCCAGGCGAGAGTGCAGTGGCACTATCTCAACTCCCTGCAACCTCCACCTCCCAGGTTAAAGCGATTCTCCTGCCTCAGCCTCCCAAGTAGTTGGGATTACAGGCAATGTGCCACCATGCCTGGCTAATTTTTGTATTTTGTGGTAGACACCAGGTTGGTCAGACTGGTCTTGAACTCCTGACCTCAAGTGATCCTCCCGCCTTGGCCTCCCAAAGTGTTGGGATTACAGACGTGAGCTACCGCACCCGGCCTAAGTGTATGATTACTATGGAATGAGGCAGACCTGGTTCCATATACCAGCTCCATCCTCCTGGCTGCATGACCTTGGAAAAGTCTCTTCCCCTCTCTGAGCCTCAGCCGCCTCCTCTCTACAGTGGAAGATGATTTAACAACTCCTGTTTCCTTAAGATACCATGACTCCTCAGCAGAGTCACATTGGGCAGTCCCACGGATCTGTGTCTTGCTTCAACAGTGTTTGGACGGAAGAGATCCTGGGACTTCCTCTCTTCCAGCCTCTCACCATCAATCTCCTCTCCACTTGCAACCTCAGGGACCATCTTTTTAGCCACCTTCTGCTTCTGGGTCCAGCCAACACCATTGTTTGTGGTTAGCTCCTTCTTACCAGCCCATGAGCTCCCAGATTCGTCAGAATTATTCCACTGAGGTGGAGGCAGCCGTGAACCACCTGCTCAATTTGCACCTGCAGGCCTCCTCATCTGCCTCTCTCTGGGCTTCTACTTACACTGTGACGATGTGGCTTGGGAGGGCGTGGGTCACTTCTTCCACGAATTGGCCGAGGAGAAGCGCAAGGGTGCCTTAAAGATGCAAAACCAGTATGGCGGCTGCATTCTCTTCCAGGACATCCAGAAACTGGCCCAAATTGAGTTAGATAAGACCCTGGACACGGCTGGACGTGGTGGCTCATGCTTGTAATCCCAGCACTTTGGGAAGCCAAGGCAGGTGGGTCAGTTGAGGTCAGGAGTTCAAGACCAGTCTGGCCAACGTGGTGAAATTGTATCTCTACTAAAAATACAAAAAAAATTAGCCAGGTGTGGTGGCACACGCCTGTAGTCCCAGCTACTAAGGAGGCTGAGGTGGATCGCTTGAACCTGGGAGGCAGATGTTGCAGTGAGCTGAGATCACACCACTGCACTCCAGCCTGGGTGACAAAAAAAAAATAATAATAAATAAATAAATTTTAAAAACCCTGAATGCCACGGAAGCCGCCATGGCCCTGGAGAAAAATCTGAACCAGGCCGCTTTTGGATCTTCAAGCCCTGAGTCCTGCCCGCACAGACCTCCATCTCTGTGACTTCCTAGAGAGTCACTTCTTAGATGAGGAAGTGAAACTCATCAAGATGGGCGACCACTTGACCAACCTTCCCAGGGTGGCTGGCCCCCAGGCTGGCCTGGGTGGGGTTCTCTTGGAAAGGCTCACCCACCCTCAAGCACGACTGGGAGCCTTAAGGGCCCCTCCCAAAGTATCAGGGCTTCTGCCTAAGCCTCTCCCTCCAGCCACTAGGCAGCTTTTTAATTACCCTGGAGCCTTCTTCCAAGCCTTGATCCAAATGGAAATAAAGCTCTGTGGAAGCAAATTAAAAAAAAAAACAAAACATGACTCAGAAAGCACACACACTGCCTGGCATCTTCCCTCCTCTTTCCCTCTTGGCTCTTCTACATTTTTCTCAATGGTCCACTTTAATGTCCTCTGACCCAGAGCCCCTTCACTGCTTCCATAAGTCTCTCTAAGCTGGGGCCATGGAGTTCGAGACCAGCCTGGGCAAAATAGCTAGTCCCCATCTTTATAAACAATTTTTTAAAAGATAAAACAAATTTTAAAGAGAAAACAAAAAAATAAAGCTGAGACCAGAACTAGACTGCACTCTCTGGAGGAACAAACCCTGGATTCACAGGCAGAATACAAGGATTTGCCTGCTTGTCTTTGTGATGGAAGGGTTCTGGTATGTTGTTTCCAAGGAGCCGAGACCTTGGGCTGTTAGCTTTCCCCCTCTGGGCCTTGGGCTCCTCTTCGGTTTCATGATGAGTCTGTTTCATCTGTACCATGACATTCTGCAATCTTGTGATGCTGTGGCAAAGGCCAGGATTAAGGTTGAGTCTTTTTTTTTTCTTTTTAATAGACAGGGTCTCACTCTCTCACCAAAGCCAGAGTGCAGTGGCGCACTCATAGTTCACTGCAGACTCTACCTCCTAGGAGGCTTCAGTCTTAGTGGGGAAGGGAATGAGGGTACTGTGGGGCTACTTCGGAGTACCCCAAACTTGGGAGAGGTGACTTGGTCAGATGTAGGATGCACCCTACTACCCTACTGGCATGAGGGGGCAGATGCTTCTGTAGGGCTGAGGAATGGGGTCCACACGGGAAAACTGCCTGGAGATAGTAAAACCAACATGTCATCATGCCAGTGCTGACCTAGCTCTTCAGAGCTGCTCTGGGGCCTGGTCCTGCTGGTTGCAAGGGATAGGGGATGAGGGTCCTAACCTATCCAGAGGCCTCCTGTTCCATTCCCTCAACCCAAAAGGGAAACCTAGGAAAGAAAACTTTACCTAAGAAAAGGACCAGATGAATCCCCTCATACACAAGTGCACACAAATAACAGCTCAAAGCACCCTTTGTCCTTTTTATTTTTATTTATTTATTTATTTTTTGAAGCGGAGTTTCTCTCTTGTCGCAATGGCACAATCTCGGCAACCTCCGCCTCTGGGCTTCAAGCGATTCTCCTGCCTCAGCCTCTCGAGTAGCTGGGACTACAGGCGCGCGCCACCACACCCAGTGAAATTTTGTATTTTTAGTAGAGACAGTTTCACCATGTTGGCCAGGCTGGTCTCGAACTCCTGACCTCAAGTGATCCACCGGCCTCAGCCTCCCAAAGTGCTGGTTATTACAGGTGTGACCCACCGAGCCCGGACCTTTTCTCCTTATTAATAGGTCTTCTCCTTAGGACTTTTTGTTTGTTTGTTTGAGACAAGAGTTTCCGCTGTTGTTCCCCAGGCTGGAAGGCAATGGCGTGATCTCGGCTCACCGCAACCTCTGCCTCCCGGGTTCAAGCTATTGTCCTGGCTCAGCCTCCTGAATAGCTGGGATTACGGCATGCGCCACCACGCCCAGCTGCTTTTGTATTTTTCGTACAGATGGGGTTTCTCCATGTTGATCAGGCTGGTCTCAAACTCCCAACCTCAGGTGATCCGCCCGACTCAGCTTCCCAAAGTGCTGAGATTACAGGCGTGAGCCACCGCGCCCAGCCTGCTTAGGAGTTTTTTTGAGATTTTTTTCCCCCAAAATTTGTATCTTTCAATTAAGGAAAATAGCCTATGGAACTACAGAGACTTAGGGACAAAAACCAGAGCGCCTTACTCCCTCTTGTGCTCTTCCACTGCAAACTGCTAAAAGTCTTAAAACAGAAGGTGACATTTCCGGAGGAAGGACATACCTTAAGGGCAGCTGACTTTTAATTAAAATTTTTTTTCTTTCTCCACTTTTAAAGGATAGGTAGTTGACTTGTATTTATTTATTTTTTGAAAGAGGGTCTCGCTCTGTCGCCCAGGCTGAAGTGCAGTGGTGTGATCACGGTTCGCTGCAGCCTCAACCTCCCAGACTCAAGCGATCCTCCCACCTCAGCCTCCCGAGCAACTGGGATTATAGGCACGCGCCACCATGCCTGGCTAATTTTTCTTTTTTTTCTTTTTTTTGTAGAGATGGGGTCTCGCTCTTTTGCCCAGGCTGGTTTGGAACTCCTGGGATCAAGCGATTCTCCTGCCTTGGCGTCCCAAAGTGTTGGAATTACAGGCGTGACTCACAGCGCCCGGCCTCAGCTCTATTAATGTTAACAAATATGTATACAAACCTAAGGGACAAGCATTAACTTCTTTCCATTTCCCCGACTCCTGCCATCCGTACTTAGCTCCTGAGTCCCTTTATTGGATGTGATTTTGGACCAGCCCTTCCCATACCCAGACCTCAGTTTCCCTATCTGTACAATAATTATACATTCCCTTCCCAACAAAACACATCAAACCTAACGGGCAGAGCTCGATTGGGTTGCAGCAGCGCGCTAAGTAATAAGTAATGAGTCAGGTAAAATGACTGACAACATGAATTCCTCTTTGGCCAAGCCAAAGTCGCCCGCGGCCACACGCTCTTCCGGGCTGTTGTAGGAGGGGCGCGGCCAAGCCACCGGGAGCCACGCCCCCCACTGGGAGCCACGCCCCAAGAGAGCGGGGCGCGCATTCGCCGCGCCCAACCCTGCGGCCTAGGGAAGGGACCAGAATGACGTCACAACCACTTCCTACGTAACACTCCGCCGAGATAAAGTAGTCCCCAAACCATAGTGGGCTCAGTGCCAAACACCGGGCGACGTATAAAGTCCCAGAGTCTGTTGAGACCCGATTATGGTTTTGAGGCCTCGGAGCGACCTTCCGGAACACTGAAAATGTGTCTTTCCCGGGGCCAGCGGGGGAAGTAGTTCCGGCCTACAATAGGCCGATGGGTTCCTCCGCAGCGGAGGAAAGAGGATGGCGACCTCGTCGATGCCGGAGTCAGAGAGGAACGTGGCTACGAAAGCCTCGGGTGAGCTTCGGGTAGAGTTAGGCGGCCCCACCGTACCCTGCCGTGGAGTGAGGTCACACTGCGGGGATACCCGGAGGCGAGGTCCCAGGCCGGCGGGGCTGTCCGAACAGGGCCCCGGGGTCCCAGGCCCTTTAGTCGCTCTCGCACTTGCCTGAGCGGAAACCCGGCGCCACCACAAGATGGCGTCGGGCCTGGAGCACAGGCAGCGCCGGGGACAGCCCCAAATCGCCAGGCCCCGAGACCGTCGCTGTCAGCCGCCTCCGCAGGGGAACCGGGGGGGAGCGAACCACTGACCCAGGGGGCCAGCGGGCTGTACCACCGGCCCTGCAACCCGGGGGGACGCGGGGGCCGAAGGGCTGAACCACTGGGCCCGGATGGGGCTCACAGAGCGGAACGCTCCACGAGAATCGTGGGGGCGAGGGAAAGGGTCAAGATTACCAGCCATTGACCACCCTCCCGGGAAGGGCCTTAGCCTGGGAAGCACAGCTTCTCCGTCAAGTTTTTCCCGAGCTCCCCTCGCAATACACCAGGAAGCTCCGCCCCGTCGGAGACTCAATCTTCGCATCTGCAAAATGGGCGCAGGGGTGCAAATGGGTGGCCGTGGTTGCCGGGGCTGGGGAGATGGCCCACTTGTTCCAGCCACGGTCACCTCTCTTCTCAGAGTGAAGTTCCCAGACCCTACGCCCCGCTGTCAGGCAGCCCGCCGATCAGATGGAGGAGAACGAGGTGGAGAGCAGCAGCGACGCGGCCCCTGGGCCTGGCCGGCCCGAGGAGCCCTCTGAGAGCGGCCTGGGTGTGGGCACCTCAGAAGCCGTGTCCGCCGACAGCAGCGACGCCGCGGCCGCCCCGGGGCAGGCAGAGGCCGATGACTCTGGCGTGGGGCAAAGCTCGGACCGCGGCAGCCGTTCTCAGGTATGGACCCGGCTGGACGGCGTGGGTGGAGGCAAGGACCGCGAGCAGCAGTGCCTGACAGCCAAGAGGAAACAAGGCTTGTTTGTAGCTAATACTTGGTGTTTCTGGTTTACTGTGAGCCAGGCACCAAGCCAAACCCCTAAAATGGATTTTCTCATTTGAGCTTCATACCTTCTAAGACACATACCATTTTTTCCCACATCTTATAGAAAAGGATGCCGAGGTACAGAGTGCAGACAGAGCCAGGATTCAAATCTAGGCTGTGGTCTTAGCTACTATACTACCCACAGTCCTCACACTTTGAGAGGCAGATGTCTAGGCCAGGAGTGGTAGCTCATCGCCTGTAATCCCAGCACTTTGGAAGGCTGAGGTGGGAGGATCACTTGAGCCCAGGAGTTGGAGACCAGCTTGGGCAAATAGCGAGACCTCATCTCTACAAAAAAAAAAAAAAAAACGCAAGTGCCCTGGGTTAAGACTGGGTCCTGCCTCCAGTTTACTGGGAGACCTCTTTGAGCCTCAGTATCCCGGCTAAAGTAAAGCAGAAATACTTGCTTTCAAGGGTGCTTGATTGTGAGCTCCCACCAGACATCCTCTTGCAAACATTTTGTAAACCATCTCCTCCTGGCTGTGCCACTTCCTAGCCGTGTGATCTTGAGCAAGCTACCCAACATCTAGCTCTGTTTCCTCGTCTGTAAAGTGGGAATGGTAAATATACCTGCCTCATAGAGTTTTTGTGAGGATGAAATGAATTAACATATGCAAAGCTAATAATTAAAACAGTGCTCAGCACATTGTAAGCACTCAGTAAGTATTAGCCATTCTTATATGCAAGATAATGGTCATATTCAGTATATCACGTGATAGAAGTACACAGCAGTGGTCATCACTTTGGGGTCCTGGGGTTTCATTAGTTCAGCAGAGATGGGGGCCTACCATGTGCTCAGCGTGTGCTGGGCCCTGGAAATACAGCAGAGGAAAAGACAAGTTTGGTCCAGGCCCTTGTGGAGGGCACAGTCTGGCATGGAGGCTGTTAAAAGGCACAATGAACCCCACAGTGGTGTGGTGCTGGGGACACAGGCAGCTGCAGCACTGAGGATGAAGAAGTCCTGACTTGGCCTCAAAGCCAGCATTGACTTCCTAGAAGAGGTACCAGCTAAATGGTGGTGAGAAGGCTGGGTAAGATTTAGCCATAGGGTGATGCTGGGAAGAGTTTCAGGCAGAGGGAACGATTTATGCAAAAGCCCAAAGAAAATAGCTCCCCCTGGCTGTGGCTTAGGAGTCCCTTCTCTTATTTTTGTGTATTCCCTGATGAGATCCAGGGACCCTGTGACTTTTTCCTGGGGGACTCTGTGACTGGAGGGCCTCTCTCACTGGTCCTCCGTGGGGCTGAGGGCATGAGTGGCTCCACTGACCATGTCCTTGGGCCTGAGAGCTCTGTCTAGCAAGTGGGAGCTGGCAGGCTGCCCTGCCCCATACCCAGCTGCTAAACTTTTTCCCTCCCTGTTTCATGCCCCTCAGGAGGAGGTATCTGAGAGCAGCTCGAGCGCAGACCCCCTGCCTAATAGCTACCTCCCTGATTCATCGTCTGTGTCTCATGGGCCAGTGGCAGGGGTGACAGGCGGTCCCCCAGCACTTGTGCACTCTAGTGCACTCCCAGACCCCAACATGCTGGTGTCCGACTGCACAGCTTCCTCCTCGGACCTGGGCTCGGCCATCGACAAGATCATCGAGTCCACCATCGGGCCCGACCTCATCCAGAGTGAGTCAGGCAGAGGAGCCCCACAGGGGTTTTCCTGCAGTGTCCGGCAGCCAGCTGTGCCCACCCTAGCTGTGTGAACTCAGGCAGATTACTTTCCCATGTGGAATGTGCAGAGTGGGAACAGTCACCCCTGTCTCATGGTGGTAAATGAGGATTTAATGAGACAACACTGTAAAGTTCTCAGCCTAGCGCCTGGCATGACAGACTCTCAATAAATAATATAAACTGTTATTGCTTACCTTGTGCCCAGGACTGTTCTAAACTTTACATACAGTAGCTCATTTAATCCTCCCAATAACCCCAAAAGGTAGAGGATGTTAATGTTCACAGTCCAGATGAAAAATATGAGGCACCAAGGACATACATAACTTACCCACTGTCACCAGCAAGCAGTGTGGGGTGTCGGGCCATGAGCTCAGACAGTCTGACTCCAGAGCTGTGTCACCCAGGCTGGAGTGCAGTGGTGCAATCATAGTGCACTGTAACCTCAGACTCTTGGGCTCAAGGGATTCTCTGCCTCAGCCTCCAGGGTAGCTGGGATTACAGGTGCACACCACCTTTTTGCTGGGTTGACCAGGCTATTCTTGAACTCATGAGTTCAAGCAGTTCTCCTGCCTCATCCTCCCAAAGTATTGGGATTACAGGCATGAGCCGTGACACATGGTGCTGTACCCACTTTTTGTTAATGATATTTATAGAGGCTATAGCACCTCAAAAAGCCCTGGGATAGTCTGGGAAGCCAACCCTAAGAAAGTGGTGCAGGAGCTGGTCCTTTACTTTGAGAAGTTTGGAGAGGAAGGAGGACTTCCCAGGTTTGGTGGTCAAAGCCTGGGCAGCTGGTGTAGCTGTGGCATCTTGTGTAAGTGTGGGCCGGCTGCTGAGTCAGCATGTCACACTAGACCTCCAGACAGCCCTGCCAGGGGAGTCAACTGAGGCTCAGGGGTGACACAGCTGGTTTGCAGTCGCACATGGGAGCCAGAATGAGTGTGGACCAGCCCTGCTCACAGGCCAAAGTGGGGCCCATGGGGGTGGGCCTGTTGCTGGGACCCCCTCCCCAGGAGGTGTGACCCTTCCCCATCTCTGCCCAGACTGCATCACTGTGACCAGTGCTGAGGATGGCGGGGCCGAGACCACACGGTACCTGATCCTACAGGGCCCAGATGATGGTAAGACCCCAGGTGCCAGAATCGGGGAGGCCTGCAGTGGGCAGGGGGATAGGTGAGGACAGGTTCTGCCGCGGATTCCGTCTGTGGCCCTGGCTGGGTATCCACTGCTCTGGGTCTCAGTTTTCCTACTGACGGGTTGGCCTCTGGTGGGGAATTTGGTTCTGCACTCCCTGGGCCTGCCTGGGAGGGGTAGCTATAGCTCATGGCCAGTGCTGCCCTCCATTTAACCACCCTCCAATTGCCTCACCCATCCCCAGGAGCCCCCATGACATCACCAATGTCCAGTTCCACCTTGGCCCACAGCCTAGCAGCCATTGAGGCCCTGGCAGATGGCCCCACATCCACATCCACATGCCTGGAGGCACAGGGTGGGCCCAGCTCCCCGGTGCAGCTGCCCCCAGCCTCCGGTGCCGAAGAGCCGGACCTGCAGAGCCTGGAGGCCATGATGGAGGTGGTGGTGGTGCAGCAGTTCAAATGCAAGATGTGCCAGTACCGGAGCAGCACCAAGGCCACACTGCTGCGCCACATGCGGGAACGCCACTTCCGTCCAGGTGCGTCAGTAGCAGCCTACCTGCTTGGACTGCATGGGTAGGGGTGGGGTGCTGGGAGCCAGACATGGCAAGCTTGTCTTACCCTCCCTCCACTTCCAGTAGCAGCAGCCGCAGCAGCAGCTGGTAAAAAAGGACGTCTACGGAAGTGGAGCACCTCCACCAAGAGCCAAGAGGAAGAGGGACCAGAGGAGGAGGACGATGATGACATTGTAGACGCTGGAGCCATTGATGACCTGGAGGGTAGGCCACCATGGTTTCTAGGCCTGCCATCCCTATGCCCATCTAGACATACTCACTGAGCTTTCACTTGGAGGGCCAGTAAAGAGGAATTGGCACAGACACATCCACAGGTCCCTCCAGTATAAGACAGAGGAGGTTGTGCTCTGGGACCAGGACTTCTGTGTGCAGTTGTGCAGGGTGCACACTGGAAAAGAGCACAGGGGGCCCTGTTCACATTTGCCCCACAGAAATAGAATACAAGTAAAGGTGCGAGAGGAGGTCCTCGCCCTGTTGCTCAGACTGGAGTGTAGCATCATGATCGTTGCTCACTGTTACCTTGAATTCCTGAGTTCAAGCCATCTTCCCATCTCAGCCTCCCGAGTAGCTAGGGCTACAGGTGCCTGCCAGCATGCCTGGCTAATTTTTTAATTTTTGTAGAAACGGGTTCTCCCAGCCTGGACAACATGGCAAAACCCCATCTCTATGAAAAATACAAAAATTAGCCTGTTGTGGTATGTGTCTGTAATCTCAACTACTTGGGAGGATCACTTGAGCCCAGAAGGTCAAGGCTGCAGTGAACTGTAATTGTGCCACTGCACTCCAGCCTGGGCAACAGAGCGAGACCCTGTCTCAAAAAAAAGAAAAAAAAAAAAAAAGAGAAATGCCGGGCATGGTGGCTCACTCCTGTAATCCCAGCACTTTGGGAGGCTGAGGCGGGCAGATTACTTGAGGTCAGGAGGTTGAGACCAGCCTAGCCAACATGGTGAAACCCCGTCTCTACTAAAAATACAAAAAATTAGCTGGGTGTGGTGGCGGGCACCTGCAATCCCAGCTACTTGGGAAGCCGAGGCAGGAGAATTCGCTTGAACCCGGGAGGTAGAGGTTGCAGTGAGTTGAGATCATGCCACTGTACTCCAGCCTGGGCGACAGAGCAAGACTCTGTCTCAGAAAAAAAAAAAAAAAGAAAGAAAAAGAAACAGAGTCTTGCTGAGTTGCCCAGGCTGGTCTCAAACTCCTGTCCTCAAACAATCCTCCCACCTCAGCCTTCCAAAGCACTGGGATTACAGGTGTGAGCGGCTGTGCCTGGCCCTAAAATATTTCAGTATGCAGTCATCATAACAATTACTGGTGAGTTTTGGCCGGGCACAGTGGCTCACGCCTGTAATCTCAGCACTTTGGGAGGCTGAGGCAGATGGATCACAAGGTCAGGAGATCGAGACCATCCTGGCTAACACGGTGAAATCCTGTCTCTACTAAAATACCAAAAAAAAAAAAAATTATTGGTGAGTTTTTTAATACCAATTTTTTGAAATTCATTATTTTACACTTAATTATATCTCAGTTTGGACTAGGCATATTTCAAGGGCTCAATAGCTACATATGGCTGGTGGCAGCTGTTTTGGATAGGGCAGCCGTAGAGTTTGTGGACTTCAATGTTTATTTAAACTTTTTTCTAACTGGCTGTACAGTGTCTGGAGGAAGGGTTGCCTTTTCCCTATTCACATGAAGGTGCTTTATGAGCTAGTGGTAGGTGCCAGGAAGGGTAGAGAAAGAACTTCAGGGGCTCAGGGCAGGAACGCCAAGTCAGCCAGAGGAGATCAGGAGGGCTTTCTGGAGGAGGCATCGCTGTGGGCTTGGAGGAGGAGTATGCAGGGGTAGGGAAGTGAGCTGGGCAAGGGGTCAGGGCTGAAAGGGCAGGTCCCGCCACTCACTGTTCACCAACTTTACTGTCCCCCACAGAGGATAGCGACTATAATCCAGCTGAGGATGAGCCCCGAGGCCGGCAGCTTCGGCTCCAGCGCCCCACCCCCAGTACCCCAAGGCCCCGAAGGAGACCTGGCCGGCCCCGGAAGCTGCCCCGCCTGGAGATCTCAGACCTCCCAGATGGTGAGGCTTGGTCTTGGGAGGGGCTCGTGTGGGTGGGTCAGGAGTGGCCTCTCTCCCTGCTTGTCTCTGTGGAGTTCTGGGGACTGAGTGTGCCCTGCAGGGCAGCTGTCTCAAACCGGGTCACCTGCAGGCCTCCAGGGAAAGGGGAAAGCCCTCAAAGACTCAAGCTCAAGAAACCCTGACTCAGGAAACTCTCTCAGCTTTATGGAAATGCCTTTCACCACAATTTGTCATAGCAAAAGAGAAATTTGGGACTTTATCACTGAATGCGTAAGATAAGTTTTAAATATTACTGAAATGAGAAGAGAGGAATAAGTCTGAGGCCTGGGACTATCAGAGGAGCCCTGGTTCGGAGCATTACTGGCTGGGGACAGAAAGGACCCAGCCGTGGTGTGAGCACCAGCTCTGCCGCCTGCAGTCTGTGTGACTTGGAGCTTAAATCTCCAGTCCCTTTATTTATGCATGGAGGTTATAGCAGCATGCCTTTTAGGATTGCTTAAGGGTTAAATACACACAAAAGAGTACAGTGGCAGCTGTTTATGGTTGGAGAGTTGTTGTATTATTATTATTATTATTATTATTATTATTATTATTATTTTGAGACAGAGTTTCACTCTTGCCCGGGCTGGAGTGCAGCGTCATGATCTCGGCTCACTGCAACCCCTGTCTCCCAGGTTCGAGCAATTCTCGTGCCTCAGCCTTCTGAGTAACTGGGATCACAGGCGCCCACCACCACACCGACTTAATTTTTTTAGTAGAGACAGGGTTTCACCATATTGGCCAGGCTGGTCTCAAACTCCTGACCTCAGGTGATCTGCCCACCTCAGCCTCCCAAAGTGCTGGGATTACAGGCGTGAGCCACCGCACTTGGCCTATTGTATTCTTTAGTCTCTATTTCAAAAAGGCCTTTTTACCGAGGCACATATGTATGGAAAGTTACACATATTCTGCCCAGGTCAATGAGTTTTCACAAGGTGCACACACCTGTGTAACCAAGCACCTGTATAACCCAGTCAAGAAGCAGAACATTACCTGCATTGTCTGTATTGTTAATTTGTCTAGTACATATTTAATATTTAAATACTGTCAATGTTTTTGAAGAGGTAACAGATTTAGATTGTCCAAATGGTTTGCAAGCATGGAAGTCACATCTCCCTCCTTCCCTCCCATCAGCCCTCCAGCTGCCTGACCTCCCTGGGGAATGCCAGTGTTAAAGCACTCCTATTGCTTCCCGAGCCTTAGATTGTTCTGTGAAGTCACCAAAGCCGCCATTCTGGCCTCCCTTGGATAAATGGGGCAAATGAGACTCCGGGAGAGGAATGGCTTTGTCTGTAGGTGCACAGCATGTCAGTGACAGAGCCGTGCCTGGAACCCAGGTCTCCTGACTGGGAGGTCCCAGCTCTCGCCGTTGCTCTAATCCAGGCCAGGTCCTACTGTGCTGACAGAATGTCGGCTGTTGGGCGGTAGTATCCATGCTGCCCTCTAACCACAGGCTGTCTGTGTCATGTGACTCAATGCACCCATCAGTGGTCTGTGATGAGTGGGTGGGAGGATATTTTGGCTGGCCTCTGGCCCACTTGTCCACGTCTGTCCTGGTGTGTCAGTGGCTGGCTTGTGACCTGGCATGTCCGTGGCAGGTGTGGAAGGAGAGCCTCTAGTGAGTTCCCAGAGTGGACAGAGCCCTCCAGAGCCACAGGATCCCGAGGCTCCCAGCTCCTCAGGCCCAGGACACCTGGTGGCCATGGGCAAGGTGAGCAGGACCCCTGTGGAAGCTGGTGTGAGCCAGTCAGATGCAGAGAACGCAGCCCCCTCCTGCCCGGATGAGCATGACACTCTGCCCCGGCGCCGAGGTCGACCTTCCAGGCGCTTCCTAGGCAAGAAATACCGCAAGTATGTGGAGCAGAGGTGAGGGTGGGGCATGCATGTGGTTAAGCCACCAACCCCACCAGACCTTTCCGCCACACTCTCATCCTGCAGGTACTATTACAAGTCGCCCAAACCACTTTTGAGGCCCTTCCTGTGCCGCATCTGTGGTTCTCGCTTTCTGTCCCACGAGGACCTGCGCTTCCACGTCAACTCCCATGAGGCTGGCGATCCCCAGCTCTTCAAGTGCCTGCAGTGCAGCTATCGTTCCCGCCGCTGGTCCTCGCTCAAGGTGCGGGAGCCAAAGAGGCTTGGGGCTCATGGGAGGGTGAAGAAGGCAAGCAGAGGCCAGCTGGTGCCACTGAGGGAGAATGGAGTCACAGAGCATTCTGGGTCACGCTCTCCTGCTGCTCTTCAGAACGCGTGTCTGGCTCACTGGCGTACCGAAGAACGCTCAGCTCCTCAGAGCTTGCGGGAATGTGGGGAGGGGCTGGGAAGGGCTGCCACAGGCGGTTTTGCAGGCGGCACAGTGCACAGTGGCAGCATATCTTCACCACCACAGACGCCATAAAACTGTTTTCATCTGATTCCATGTGTTAGAAAGATTTCCAGCAGATGGCAGTCATGTGTCTCAAGAAAAGGGTTCCTTTTAGGCCAGGTGCAGTGGCTTGCTCCTGTAATCCCAGCACTTTGCGAGGCTGAGGCAGGTGGATCACCTGAGGTCAGGAGTTTGAGACCAGCTTGGCCAACATGGAGAAACCCCATCTCTACTAAAAATACAAAATTAGCTGGGCATGGTGGTGCATGCCTGTAATCCCAACTACTTGGGATGCTGAGGCAGGAGAATCGCTTGAACCCGGGAGGCAGAGGTTGCAGTGAGCCAAGATCACACCATTGCACTCCAGCCTGGGCAACAAGAGCGAAACTCTGTCTCAAAAAAACAAACAAACAAAAAAAAAAAAACGGTTCCTTTTTCTCCTTAACACAAGCTACCATGTGGCCTGCAGCAGCCCTGAGCCTTTTATGCAGTAACTGGATAATTAAATCCTTATTGCAGCCCAATGAGGTCGTAGGTGTCCATAGTCCCATTCTACTGACCCCCAGGAAACTGTGGCTCGGCCTGGCCAATGTGCAAGTTGGCAGCTGTGGGAGAGGGTACTTCCGGGCACGGTGGTCAGAGCGAGCCCCTGTGCTCTGTGCACGCTGTGCTGTGGGCTGTTATGTGGGTTCTGCAGAGAAGATGTCTCGTGACGCAGTGGGAGAGGTGGAGGCTGCGGCGCCATGCTGCCTGGCTTCAGCTCCAAGCTCTGCCATCGCAAGGTCCCTCCACCCTGAGACTCAGGTTCCTTCTTTGTCAAGTTGTGAGCCAGCACAGAGCCTGGCACAGAGTGGGTGCTCTCGCTGGGGACAGTCCCCGGGCCTTCCTAGGTTTTGACCCTTGCGTCGGGGTGTGTTGTCCACATGCCTGTGTTCTGTGAGCTGCTCCCGCAGCAACCCTAAGACTGTGGCCACAGGCATGGTGGGGACGGGGATGGGAGAGGAGGCCAAGCCCCAGCCCACCATCCTTTTGTCTGTCTCCCAGGAGCACATGTTCAACCACGTGGGCAGCAAGCCCTACAAGTGTGACGAGTGCAGCTACACCAGTGTCTACCGGAAGGACGTCATTCGGCACGCCGCTGTGCACAGCCGGGACCGGTCAGTGTGGGGGTGGGAGGGACCTGGGCAAGAGAGGCCAGGTTGGGTGGGGAAGTGGAGGCCCGGGATAACCATGGTTCCCACTTACCGTGCTCCTGCTCTGAGCCAGCCCCATTTGCTGCACACTACAGGCATGAGCAGAAAGGCAGTTCACCCCAGTTCATTTGGCTTAGAACAGGACAGTACCAGGCCTTGAGGTCCCCAGCTCAGCCTCTTACCTCTTGTGAGCTTTAGTTTCTCATCAAACGGGGACAGTTGTTGAAGGGATTGAAGGAAATTGTGTACCTAAAGGAGTTCAGTAAATGATCCAAGATCTTCTGGACTCCAGATCCTACTCATCTCTCACAGGGCTGAGAGTGCACCTGAGACAGAGAAACACAAGTTCTTATGCACCTAATGATTGCTCACAGGATTATAATTCGATCCCGAGCTTCAGGAAGGAGTTCGCTTCATGAGAGGTGGTGTGTGAGCAGAGGTTGGAGACAGATCCCCTGGGACAGTAGCTCCAGCTGTGTGTGTGGAAAAGCCAGCCCAAGATACTTTAAGGTTTCTTTTTTTTAAATGAAAAAAAAAAAAAAAAAAGGTTCTGTGGCTAAGTAAGATTAGTGTAGGTTCACCAGCTTGCAGAGCTGTTCAACACCTCTTTCCTGCAGGATTTCTTAGAGCTTTTATTGACTGATTGACAGGGTCTCACTCTGTCACCCAGTCTGGAATAGAGTGGCACAATTACAGCTCACTGCAGCCTCAACCTCCCAGGCTTAAGCGATCTTTCTGCTTCAGCCTTCCGAGTAGCTGGGACTACAGGTGCTAACCAGCACACCCGGCTAACTTTTTATTATTTACTAATTTTTTTTTGTAGAGACGATGTCTTGTTATGTTGCCCAGGCTGGTCTCAAACTCCGGGCCTTAACTGATCCTTAGAGCTTTTAATATGCAAGTAACATTTTGTGATTGACAGACAGAAAGAATGTACCATTTCACAAATATATTTGAGTGCAGAATATGTTATTTACAGCGTGCCCCTTAGCGTTTTCCCCAGTGAACTCCAGCTGGGGAAGCACTATTCTAAGAGAAAGGGGCCTTGGCAGGGAGTAGGCTCATAGCTGAGGCTGGGTCTGTTCAGTGTGAGAGGGTCTAGAGTGGGCTTGGGGAAGCTCTGGTCTAATTCCTCGGCCTTTTCCCCACAGGAAGAAGAGGCCAGATCCGGTGAGTCTGGCGTGCTGGCCTGGGAAGGGAACCTGCCCGGGGGTTGTTTATGGGGGTGAGGACAAGAGGGGAGGTTTTATCCTCCCTCCTCCACTTCTTTCTCCATCTGGCCCCTTCTTATGCCTTCCTAGACTCCAAAGCTGAGCTCTTTCCCCTGCCCTGTGTGTGGCCGTGTGTACCCCATGCAGAAAAGACTCACGCAGCACATGAAGACGCACAGCACTGAGAAGCCCCACATGTGTGACAAGGTGGGTGGGAGCCAGGGCTGGGGCTGAGAGGAGGGCCTCCCCTGGGTGATGGAGGGTGATCGCCATCTCACTGCTCTCCACCCCTCACAGTGTGGAAAGTCCTTTAAGAAGCGCTACACCTTCAAAATGCACCTGCTCACGCACATCCAGGCTGTTGCCAACCGCAGGTACATCCCCTTGGAGGCCCCTGGGGACGGGAGCAGTCCCCAGCTCATTACTGAGCTTCCCTCCCTCTAACCGCCTCCAGGTTCAAGTGTGAGTTCTGTGAGTTTGTTTGTGAAGACAAGAAGGCACTGCTGAACCACCAGTTGTCCCACGTCAGTGACAAGCCCTTCAAATGCAGCTTTTGTCCCTACCGCACCTTCCGAGAGGACTTCTTGCTGTCCCATGTGGCTGTCAAGCACACAGGTCAGGCTGGACACACCCCAGCCCCACTCACCAGCCCTCAGTGCCCTGTACCCCTGATCAGAGGCTTAGCTCCCATCCTCTTCCTTCCCCCTCGGTAGCCCCAGCCACAGAACAGCCCAAGTCCTTCAAGTGTAAAGAGAATTTCCCATAGGCGTATTCACCCTAACCTGAGCCTGGGTTCCTGCTTGGCTGGTTGTTCTCTGGATGGCTCTGGGCCGGTCGCTTGCCCTCTCCGAGCCTTCCATATTTATGAAATGGGGGAATCAGAGTGCCTGCCATATGGCTATGATGAAAGTAAGTTCCATTTGTTCCTTGAGCCTTGTGTGTGCTGGCACTGGGGCTGGAGAGGAGGCTCTTCCAGACCCTGCCTTGGCAGATGAAGCTGCAGAAGCAACGCCATTGGCTTGGCCCACAGAAGCTGCACTGCAAACATTGTTTCTTTGGTGCCTAGCTCCCTGGTCAGCACACTAGGGGCGATTACAGAAAAGGAG
This sequence comes from Homo sapiens, assembly GCF_000001405.40. Lineage (NCBI taxonomy): Eukaryota > Metazoa > Chordata > Mammalia > Primates > Hominidae > Homo > Homo sapiens. Next base: position 45,959,716 of record NC_000020.11, on the reverse strand, counting down.
CCAGGGGTTCCCTTAGCCAGAGTCCTGTGATGACCCACAGGAGCTTGTAGTCACATGACTTTGCAAATAGGTAGGCACAGGAAGGCTCTTGAGTGCAGAGGGCGGCCCTGATTCATTTCTGTCCTGGGCCACCAGAATGGACAGTGGCATGTGTTTGCCTACATACGGGAATGAATCGCTGGAAGTCAGTCAGTTGGAGAGATCCTTAGGGTCAAGAAAGGATTCCTGGAGGGGGTAGGCTAGGGACGGGCAGACTTAAGCATGCCCCAACATGTGCCTCCAGGGGCCAAGCCCTTCGCCTGTGAGTACTGCCACTTCAGCACACGGCACAAGAAGAACCTGCGCCTGCACGTACGGTGCCGACACGCAAGCAGCTTCGAGGAATGGGGGAGGCGCCACCCTGAGGAGCCCCCCTCCCGCCGTCGCCCCTTCTTCTCTCTGCAGCAGATTGAGGAGCTGAAGCAGCAGCACAGTGCGGCCCCTGGACCACCTCCCAGTTCCCCAGGACCTCCTGAGGTAAGGTCGGGGCATGGGTCAGGATGACAGAGTGAGGCCGCTTCTCCCAGCCCCAGCATCATTTGCACATTGAGATGCAACAAAATAATCCCTGCCTCTTGAGACTGTGGTAAAAACTCACTGAGTCACACATATGCCAGCCCTAAGCTTAGAGTAAGGGTGGCTTTCTAGTGCTGGTAATAGAGAATGGAAACACCAGTAACTTAACTGTGATCATAGTTTTTATTCTCTCTTATACAAGAATTCCACAGGTCGGCAGTCTAGGGCTGGTGCGGTGATTATACAGTCGTAAGGGAATAAGTTCTCAGTATCTTTGCCCAGTCATCCCAGGCATATGACTTTCATCTTTGTAGTTGCCTCATGGTCCAGTATAGCTGCAGGAGCACCAGCCTTCCCAGCCACATCCCAGGCAGGAAGCAGGAGGAAGGGATGGGGGAGAGGCAAAAAGGATACCTACCATCTATCCATCATTCCTCATGAACTTCACCTGAAGATCGTTGCTTAGTCATGTGGCCACACTTTACCTAGCTGCAAGGGAGGCTGAGAAATGTCTTGGAGCTGGGTACATTGCCACCCTGGTGAAAATCAGAGTTCTGTTAGCAAGAGGGAAGAGGAGGATGGCCTCAGGATAGGTAGCTAGCAGTCTCTGCCACGTGAGCTGACACACTATCCCTGGAAAGATGGACCACATGACTTGCTGGTAGATCACAGGCCCTGGAATCACACAGTCATGGGTTCAAGCCCTCACCCTACTATGTATTAGGAGTGGGATTCTTGGCCAGCCACTTCACCTCTCTGAGCCTTAGTGGGTTCATCTGTAGCACTGAGCTCGTATATTTTGAAAACTGGTTATGGGCTGGGCATGGTGGCCCATGCCTGTAATCCCAGCACTTTGGGAGGCCGAGGTGGGTGGATCACTTGAAGTCAGGAGTTTGAAACCAGCCGACCAACATGGAGAAACCCCATCTCTACTAAAAATATAAAAATTAGCTGGGTGTGGTGGCGGCCACTTGTAATCCCAGCTATTCAGGAGGCTGAGACACAAGAATCACTTGAACCCAGGGGCAGAGGTTGTAGTGAGCCTAGATTGAGCCATTGTACTCCAGCCTGCATGACAGAGAGACTCCATCTCAAAAAAAAAAAAAGAAAAGTGGTTATGAAGATGAAACAAGCCAACAGATGTAAAACATCTGGCAGATCAGAGGTGCTTGGCAAATGGCACTTGAATCTGGGCTGGCCCCTCTCAGGCGTGGCCATATCTCCACCCCATAGATACCCCCAGAGGCGACAACTTTCCAGTCATCTGAGGCTCCCTCATTGCTCTGTTCTGACACCCTGGGCGGCGCCACCATCATCTACCAGCAAGGTGAGCTCTGTAGGAGGATAGGAGCTCATGGAGGGTAGGACCTCTGAGTTGGGCAGGGGCAGGTCGTGCTGGTGGGGGCTGGAAGATGGGGAGGGGGTGGTATTGGGTGCCAGTTTTCTAGCACTTTGTCAGGCTTAGGTCCCACCCCACCCAGGAGCTGAGGAGTCGACAGCGATGGCCACGCAGACAGCCTTGGATCTTCTGCTGAACATGAGTGCTCAGCGGGAACTGGGGGGCACAGCCCTGCAGGTGAGCTGCCTGGGAACCTGCTCCCCTTCCCAGCTACCGCAGGTACCCAGCCCTGCACTGGACACTGGGACTAGAGGAAAACAGTGTATCAGAGCTTCTCCGCCCTTGGGAGCTCCCAGGCAGTGGAGGAGACAGATCTGCTGAAGTCTGGTGGGCAAACAGAGAGGAACAGGCTTTGCCACGGAGGCCGCAGGGTATCCCGTCCATTCTCCAGAATCACTGGTGACCTCTGCCAGGTGGAGCAGTACACACTGCCCCTGCGGCATCTGGGGCCCTGTTCTTGTTTTGTCTTCCTCCCACCTCTGCAACCACCATGTGCCTGTGGGTGCCCCCACAGCTTGAACTAGCTTTTCCATCCACAAGAGCGCCCTCATTCCGGGACACCTCCTACAGCCTGCAGACCCCAGGGCTTCCTCTAGATCAGACCACTCTCTCGCGTTCCAGGGGTCTTGGTTCATGCACCTCCCCAAAGTTCAACACCTTTGCCCCTCCCTGCCCTCCCCGTTCACATCTGGCCTGGTCTCCAAGGCAGAGGGAAGTTTATTAGCCCCTCCTGTTTCCCAGCCTCATGAGAAGATGGAGAGTGTGTTTTTAAGATGATGAATTCCAGAAATCATAATAATTTAGTTCATGGCAGTTAGGGGTGTATAGAAGTTTTACATTTTTAGATAGGAAAATTTATCAGTCTTTTATAGTTTTCCCTTTGGTATCATCCCTAGAAAGACTCCCCCAACTTGTATCCCAAGGTTATAAAACATTCATTTATATTTTTTTCTTAGGGTTTTATTTTTTACACTTAAATCTTACTCCACCTGGAATTTATTTCTGGTGTATGCAGAAAGGTAGGGATCGATTTTTTTTTTTCCAGAAGTCATCCGACGTGGTATCTTCACCTGTGGTTTGAAGTGTCCTCCTCATATACTAGATTCCCAAATATGTAGGAGTCTGTTTCTAGACTTGAGTTCTGTTCTATTGATTTGTCTCCTGTTCCCATGCCAATCTCATGTGGTAGAGTTTTTCTGCTTACAAAAGCACATGCTTGTAAAAGAAACAAAATGGGCCTGGCGTGGTGGCTTATGCCTGTAATCCCAGCACTTTGGGACGCCAAGGTGGCTGGATCACCTGAGGTCAGGAGTTCGAGACCAGCCTGACCAACATGGAGAAACCCCATTGCTACTAAAAATACAAAATTAGCTGGGCGTGGTGGCACACGTCTGTAATCCCAGCCACTCGGGAGGCCGAGGCAGGAGAATCGCTTGAACCCAGGAGGCGGAGGTTACGGTGAGCCGAGATTGCGCCATTGCACTCCAGCCTGGCCAACGAGCAAAACTCCATCTAAAAAAAAAAAAAGAAAAAAAGAAAAAAATGAACATTAGGAAATGTTTCAGTAGAAGGTGAAAGTCCTTGGCATTTCTCCCCTCCCATCAGATACCCAGTAAATGGGTTCAGAAGAATTTCTTCAGGGATTTGTTCATGTTCATACCAACACCTAGACCTTTGTTCCTTAAAAAATGGGATCACATTATTGGCTGCTCCTCAGCGTCATCTTTTACCTAACAGCATGTGATGCACGGCCTGGCCAGCACCTGCAGTTACCCTTATTCTCCTAAGATCTCCATCTTGCATCTCTGTATCATTTGATCACATGGATGTTCTCAGCTATAGTTAGGCAGTCCTTTATTGGCTGGGTTCTTTCGTTTTATATTAATTCAAGCAGTGCTTCACTGTACATATATTTTCAGTGCTCATAAATTTTTTTTTTTTTTGAGATGGAGTCTCATTTTGTCACCCAGGCTGGAGTGCAGTGGCGTGATGTTGGCTCCCTGCAACCTCCGCCTCCTGGGTTCAAATGATTGTCCTACCTCGGCCTCCTGAGTTGCTGGGATTACAGGTGCACGTCACCACACCTGGCTACTTTTTTGTATTTTTAGTAGGGATAGGGTTTCACCATATTGGCCAGGCTAGTTTCGAACTCCTGACCTCAAGTGATCTGCCTGCCTTGGCCTCCCAAAGTGCCAGGATTACAGGTGTGAGCCACCGTACCCAGCCAACATCTTTGTAGTGTTTTTAAAAAGCCTCCTACAAGAAGAATTAGTGGGTCAGAGGGTATGGTGAGAAGCCTTGTAAAAAGATACGCCAGTATACGTGGCCACCAGTAGGGTATATTTCCCTGCATTCATGCCAATACACTGGGTATTATCAGTCTTTATAAATCTTTTTTTTTTTTTTTTTTTTGAGACAGAGTCTTGCTCTGTTGCCCAAGCTGGAGTGCAGTGGTGCGATCTCGGCTCACTGCAACCTCCGCCTCCCGGGTTCACACCATTCTGCCTCAGCCTCCCAAGTAGCTGGGACTACAGACACCCACCACCACGACTGGCTTCTTTTATTTTTTTATTTTTAGTAGAGATGGGGTTTCACCATGTTAAGCAGGATGGTCTCGATTTCCTGACCTCATGATCTGCCCGCCTCGGCCTTCCAGAGTGCTGGAATTACAGGCGTGAGCCACCACGCCCGGCCTCAGTCGTTATAAATCTTTACCAATCTCACACTTGTAATCCCAGCACTTTGGGAGGCCAAGGCAGGAGAATTGCTTGAGTCCAGGAGTTTGAGACCAGCCTGGACAACATGGTGAAACCCTGTCTCTTAAAAAATTAGCCGGGTGTGGCAATGCATGCCTGTAGTACCAGCTACTTGAGAGGCTGAGGTGGGAGGATCGCTTGAGCCCAGGAGGTTGAGGCTGCAGTGAGCTGTAATCGTACCACTGCACTCCAGCCTGAGCAATACCCAGTCTCAAAAAAAAAAAAAAAAAAAAAAAGTAATTGTATGACCGTAAATGAGGTTGAACTCCTCTCTGTATGTTCAGAGACCATTTTATTCCTTTCTAAAGTACCTGTTTGTGTCCTGTATTTGTTTTTCTATTGTTAGCTTTTAGTTATTGCTTTGCAGGAGCTCCATATATGAGGGAAGTCCACTTTTTATGAGTTGTGAAATATCCCCCAACCCCAATTTCTTTGTTTTTTGGCTTCATTTTATGGTTAATTTTGCTCTAGGTTTTATCTTTCTCTGTCATGATTAGAAAAATCTCCCTGTCCCAATTCTAAAATACTTACCTACGTTTTATTTTAATATATTTAGAGTTTTATTACATTTTAATCTTTAAACCATTTGAAGCCAACTGGAATAAGATGTACACTGGAGCTTTTTTCTAAGTGATTTGTCAGTTGTCCCCAGTATTTCTTGTCTGCAGCGCTGTTAGCATGTTGAGGCAGATACTATTGTGTGGTGGGGCGGTCCTGTGCATTATGGGGTGTTCAGCGGCATCCCTGGCCTCTCCCGACTATATGCCAGTACCATCCCCCTCCTGCTGTGATAAGAAATGTCTCCAGACGTTGCCAAATCTTTGTGGGGGGCACAACTGCTCTGCCCTATTCCTGTTGGTCTATTTCCAGTTGCTGAGTGGGATTTGGAAAGCCAGAGTATATTTTAGAAAGAACTTGGGCTATTCAAATGAGTGGTGGCAGCACTGGTCTGACTAGAGTGTGTGGGTGCATCTGGGACACTGAGATGGGGGAGGCGTCTTGCATACCCGCTCCTCTGCCACCAGTGCCTCCCATCCCGCCCCCTGGTGCCGTTGCAGGTGGCTGTGGTGAAGTCGGAAGATGTGGAAGCAGGGTTAGCATCCCCTGGTGGGCAGCCCTCCCCTGAAGGTGCCACTCCACAGGTGGTCACCCTCCACGTGGCAGAGCCAGGGGGCGGTGCAGCAGCCGAGAGCCAGCTAGGCCCTCCTGACCTACCGCAGATCACCCTGGCACCTGGTCCATTTGGTGGGACTGGCTACAGTGTCATCACAGCACCCCCTATGGAGGAGGGAACATCAGCTCCTGGCACACCTTACAGGTGAGACCTGCTGCCTGCAAGGCCCCTTTCAGCTTTTTGTAGGTGTGGTCGGTCGGTCCGATTTGGGCCCCACCCAAGCCTAGTTGGCAGGAGGCAAAAATCCCAATACACATCAAGTGATTAGTGGTGGAGTCTACCCTTCTCAGGAGGTCAAGAGCTACCATTTTTTAGCCACTTAGATATTCCAAGCACTTGGCACTCATGATGGGACCTAAGCCATTCCCATGAGACCCAGATTTCCCTTGTTTTACAAATGAGGAAATGGGCCAGGGAGGTTAAGTGACCAGCCTGAAACCACACATGCAGTAGGTGAGATTTGAACCCTGGTCCCTTTGGTTCCCATGCCCAAGTGCTCTTCTTGGGTGATCCCAGGTGTTCTTCAGTTCTGACACTCCGAGCAAGCTCAGGCCTCTTTACCAGCATTGAGGCCTGGCACCTGTACTTGGCTTCCCTACAGTGAATGAGCTTGGGCAGGCATGTTTATGTTCACCAAACTCTTAGGCCATCTGAGGAAGCCCTGAATCCAAGTGCCAAATTGTTGAGCTGAGCAGGGAGTCAGGATCCCCAGGCCCATGCCCTTGGCCAGCACCTGGGCGGCCAGTCTCAGCATTTGCTGTCTGCTCTTAGGCAGCAGGTCCTCGTTAGCCCTGCCTCCTCCACTAGCTCCTGGTGGTGGATTCACCGTTTGCTACTGGTTGGGTTAGACCCCTCTGCCTCACTGTGTGCCCCCCACCTCGCCATGTTTGCCGAGGACAAGAATTACCAGCTTTTGAGAAGGACCCATGCTTGAGTTGTAATCATTTACAAGAGACATGGTAGAGGGTCATTTGGTAACAGGGCAGAGCCACAGTTGAACCCTGGGCCCTTCTGACTTGAGTCCATCTGTGGTGACAGTCACTCCTCAGTTGATGCCTGTTGCTTGGGGAAGGGGGCTCCTGTGGCCCTCCATCTTCTCCTAGAACCTTCTCCATGCCCACAGCGAGGAGCCCGCAGGAGAGGCAGCCCAGGCTGTGGTTGTGAGTGACACCCTAAAAGAAGCTGGCACCCACTACATCATGGCTACTGATGGTACCCAGTTGCACCACATTGAGGTGAGGCTTGGGGATGCCAACCACTCCCCCACCTCCCTCCCCTTCTCAGTACCTCATGCTCCCTGTCTCTCTACAGCTCACCGCAGATGGCTCCATCTCCTTCCCAAGTCCAGATGCTCTGGCCTCTGGTGCCAAATGGCCCCTGCTGCAGTGTGGGGGACTGCCCAGAGACGGCCCTGAGCCCCCATCTCCAGCCAAGACCCACTGCGTAGGGGACTCCCAGAGCTCTGCCTCCTCACCTCCTGCAACCAGCAAAGCCCTGGGCCTGGCAGTGCCCCCGTCACCGCCATCTGCAGCCACTGCTGCATCAAAGAAGTTTTCCTGCAAGATCTGTGCCGAGGCCTTCCCTGGCCGAGCTGAGATGGAGAGTCACAAGCGGGCCCACGCTGGGCCTGGTGCCTTCAAGTGCCCCGACTGCCCCTTCAGTGCCCGCCAGTGGCCCGAGGTCCGGGTAGGTGCTGGTTGCTCCTGTGTCTCTGCTGTCATTCATTGGGCTACTCGTTTGTATAACAAACCTTTAATGAGTGCCCTTTCAAGCCAGATCCTCTGCTCTCCTCTGAGTGGATGAGATGGGTCAGAGATGACTCCGCAAGGTCCCAGCTCTCAGGGAGTTGGTCTGGTGGGGAGGCAAACCACACACAACGTGACTAATGCCAGACACAGTGTCCCGAGTGTGAACCAAGGGTGCAGGACACAGAGCAGGTCATTTGAACTTGTGTGTGCTGGGGAAAATGCCACAGAAGGGATGGCCAAGCTGGGCCTCTAGGAGCAAAGGCACAGAAGTGTGTGACAGAGGCATGGCTAGGGAGACTCGAACGTCTAGAACAGGGGTGCCCAACCCCTGGGCCATAGACTGGTAGTCATCCATGGCCTGTTAGGAACCAGGCCACACAGCAGGTGAGCGGCAGGTGGGCAAGCACTACTGCCTGAGCTCCACTTCCTGTCACAGCAGCTGCATTAGTCTCAGGAGCACAGCCCCATTGTGAACTGTGCATACGAGTAATCTAGGTCACACACTCCTTCTAAGAATCTAACTAATATCTGATGAACTGAGGTGCAACAACTTCATCCCAAAACTATCACCCTGCACATGCCGTGAAACAGTTATCTCCCATAAAACCAGTCCCTGGTGCCAAAAAGGGTGGGGACCACTGGTCTAGAATACTGAGGGCACAGAGGTTCGAGGTGGTTGGGGAGCCACCATGGAGAAGGTGAGTGGGCCAGTTCTGGGGCAGGTTCACAGCCCAGCTTGGGGCCTCCCTGTTTGCCTGAGGATTTTGTTTTCAGATCCAGTCATGCACTGCATCCTCTCCAGAGGTTGGAGAGGGAAGCAGGGCCTAGAGCCCCACCCTACAGTGCAGAGGTGAACGCCCTATCAGGCCTCAGCCCTAGAAAATCAGGGCCAGGGCCGGGCACGGTGGCTCACACCTCTTATCCCAGCACTTTGGGAGGCCGAGGCAGGCGGATCACCTGAGGTCGGGAGTTTGAGACCAGCCTGACCAACATGGAGAAAACCCATCTCTACTAAAAATACAAAATTAGCCAGGTGTGGTGGCGCATGCCAGTAATCCCTGCAACTTGGGAGGCTGAGGCGGGAGAATCGCTTGAACCCAGGAGGTGGAGGTTGCAGTGAGCCGAGATCACGCCATTGCACTCCAGCCTCTGGGCAACAAGAGCAAAACTGTCTCAAAAAAAAAAAATTCAGGGCCCGATGGGACCTGCACAGGTCCCCTCATCTAACACCTGTGTTACATATGGGTAAAGTGAGATTTTCCAATTTACCTAATAATGATGGAATCTATGGCCTTTCATTCTTAGGACACAGCAGCACCAGATACGGATCCGGCTTGGCCTTTCTACCCAGCTTCTTGTTAGTGCACAGGATTTTGGTTTTCCCAGGTCCACTTTGTCTGGTTCCCTGACCAGCTGTCAGCAGGGATCCGGGGATTTGTTGCCATCTGTCCTGACCCAGCCAATGCCCCCAACTCTGCCCTCTCTGCAGGCGCACATGGCACAGCACTCAAGCCTACGGCCCCACCAGTGTAGCCAGTGCAGCTTTGCCTCCAAGAACAAGAAGGACCTGCGTCGGCACATGCTGACTCACACAAAGGAGAAGCCTTTTGCATGCCACCTCTGCGGGCAGCGGTGAGGCCAGATACTGGTGGGTGGGGACTGCTGGGCATGTATGGTGGAGCTAACCTGAGCCACCTTTCATCCCCCTCAGTTTCAACCGTAACGGGCACCTCAAGTTCCACATCCAGCGGCTGCACAGTCCTGATGGGAGGAAGTCAGGAACCCCTACAGCCCGGGCCCCTACCCAGACCCCAACCCAGACCATCATCCTGAACAGTGATGACGAAACACTGGCCACCCTGCACAGTGAGCTGCCCCTGGGGCCACAGGGTGGGCAACAGGGTAGATCCAGAGACTTGGGCCACTGCCCCAAAAGGCACCACTGGGTACAGTAGCAGCTGGGGCATTGCAGGTTTTCCTGGACCCCAGGTGAGCATCCTCTCCTCTCTGCCCAGCTGCACTCCAGTCCAGTCACGGGGTCCTGGGCCCAGAGCGGCTACAGCAGGCACTGAGCCAGGAACACATCATCGTTGCCCAGGAACAGACAGTGACCAATCAGGTAAGAGTCAGGACTGGGGGCCCTCTGGCCAGCGACAGGCAGGGGTTGGGGTAGAGAAATGAGGCTAGAGCTGTCTTGGTCCTGGCAGGAGGAAGCCGCCTACATCCAAGAGATCACCACGGCAGATGGCCAGACCGTACAGCACCTGGTGACCTCCGACAACCAGGTGAGCTACTAGCTACTGTTAATCCCCTCAGCTGTGACCTCCTACCCTCCCAAAGACCTACCTTGGGGAGGAATGATACTTTCCAAACCACCCCTCCTGGGGTCCATGCTTGCCAACAACTGCATTGTTGCTGGTGGCTGTTCCTAGTCTTCCACTCTGCCTTCTTAGCTAAGCTCCTGGCGAGTGGGGCCTCAGCACCTGCCTCGCCATGCCCGCCCCCCCCACCAACAGGTGCAGTATATCATCTCCCAGGATGGTGTCCAGCACCTGCTCCCCCAGGAATATGTTGTGGTCCCTGAAGGCCATCACATCCAGGTAGGCCAGACCTGGGATGAGGGTGCTGTGTGGTGAAGGGCTGCATGACCTCTCCCTAGGATCACAGCTTGGCTTCCTCTCTGCAGGTACAGGAGGGCCAGATCACACACATCCAGTATGAACAAGGAGCCCCGTTCCTTCAGGAGTCCCAGGTAGGGCCGTGGGGGGACAGGGAGACCTGGGGCACAGGCAGGTTTCTCCAGGCCAGCATCTTATCAGCTTCTCCCCTCCAGATCCAGTATGTGCCTGTGTCCCCAGGCCAGCAGCTTGTCACACAGGCTCAACTTGAGGCTGCAGCACACTCAGCTGTCACAGGTATGGAGCTGGATCCTGAGGAGCATGGGGCTGGGTATGGACCCAGCTCTTGAGCCTCCAGCTCACCATACTTTCCCCTCCCCTGGCAGCAGTGGCTGATGCTGCCATGGCCCAAGCCCAGGGCCTGTTTGGTACAGACGAGACAGTGCCCGAACACATTCAACAGCTGCAGCACCAGGGCATCGAGTACGACGTCATCACCCTGGCCGATGACTGAGCCCCGAGGGCCCAACACAGATCATGGATTTGCGGCCAGCTCTCCTGGGGGTAGGGGGCCACCAGGACTCACCTCCCTCTTCATTTAGGATCTCCAGATACTGGATAGCCAGCATCCTCTCATTCCCAGGGAGCCAGACCTGTGCTGTTGGGGTTAGGGGCAGCCATGGGCCCCAGCCAGGACATGCTGGGTGCCCCAGCCTGCAGGCAGGCTTTGGGAGAGAAATTTATTTTTGTTTGGGTGGACCCACTGGCCTGTCAGTCTCAATAAAGGGACCGGAGTCCAGTCCTGAACAGCTTACTTTGTCTGCTTGCTGCTGTAGCCTGTACCAGGCCAGGTCTTGTGAGGTGGAGGCTGCCTGGCTCCACAGCGTGCCCTGTCCTGCCCTGCCCCTGTTAAGTCCGGTGATCCACCAGCAGGGCAGACCCTTGCTGCAGAGGCCTGGCAATGAGAGAGGTGGCTGGTTCAGAGACGGCTGAACCAGCGAGAGCCCCAGCAAGCACCTTCAGACCTGCTTCCTCCCTGGGCCCTAGGGAGCACACGCTCTGTGCCTACAGATCCTCTGAAGCTGCTCTCCTGAGCCTTGACTGTGAGGCACACCCAGCTCTTCGCTCACTGTGGGGATCCAGGGCCAGCAAGAGTCTGGCTTTTGGGTTGGGGACAGGCACAGCTCCCAGTCCTCTGATCCCCAGGGGTATCCATACAGGCCCTGCTGGGGGAGTTTGGAGATAGGGGATGCAGGGCCTTGGACTCTTCGGACCTCCTGAGCCCAGGCAGAGGCCACCAGGGACCCAGCTGTGTGGGACCCCAGATGGGAGAGTGAAGGCCCAGGGGCCATGAGAAGGAGCTGCTGGAGGGAGGGAGGGGAGTGTGGTCCCAGAAGTAGCTCCAGCTGCCTCAGCCTTCTCTGCCCTCAAGACCCTCACACATTCTTGGGGGGGTTTCTGTATTTCCTTTTACAAATGAAACAAGGTGGCAACAGGGTGAGGGGCGGGGTTGGGAAGGCATCAGGACCTATATACATGGGACTTGGAGGGAGTTTGAGGTGAGGACTTGGGGACAGGCAGGGAGGGGAGCCCTGGCAGAACCATAATCTTCATATGTCAGTGGCAGCCGGGGTCCCTCTGAGGCCCCAGGGGCCCGAGTCCCAGCAGTCCAGACTAGCACCCCTGGGGCTCCTCCTCCCCGCAGGATATGTTAAGTGGGGTGAGGCTCGCGGCTAGGACCCTGCTCACGGCCCGAGTCCCGGTCCTTGGCCTCCGAGGAGGACGATGAGGAAGAACCAGAGCTGTGGCTGCGGCCTGACTGCCGGTAGGCAGCACTCAGCTCCTGCAGCCGTTCAGGCGTCGGCGCCCACTTGGCAAAGCCAGGGTCGTTCTGTAGGAAGAGCACAGCCGTGTTGTGGACGGCCTTGTAGTGCATTTCCTCCCTGCGGGCAAAGGCAATGGCTCAGGGTGGGGCTGGGCCTGGCCTGGCCAGCCCAGCCTCCTTCCCCTGCCCTCCCTGGCACCCACTTCTTGCAGATGTGCTGGGAGCCACTGCGGTACTCATGCTCAAAGGCAGGCAGGATCAACTGGTGGCGTTTGAAGCGGCTCTGCTCCATGCGGGTGAGCGCTGGTGTTGGGGGTTCCCGCCACTCAGGGATGAACACGATGAAGGACAGGGGCTCCGGTGAGCTCTCAAGCAGTCTCTGTGGAAGGGGACACAGGGTGGATGTCAGGGACTACCTCCCAGGTGGCTGGCAATCCTGCCTGTTGCCCACCTCTCACCCTGGCAGTGCACCCACCTCAAAGTGAGAGACCATGGCATCCATGAGCTCCTCGCAGAAGGGAGGGTTGGCCTCAAATGAACCACTCAGTGGAGCAAAGTCTAGGCAGGGCCTGGGGACAGGAGTGAGCATTCTAAGTCCCATCAGGACCCAGTCCCTCAACCAGAAACAGGTGCCACCCCCCAACCCTAGGCAGCCACACTGAAGAGATGGCCTGTCCAGAAGCCAGCATTCACCCTAATTCATTGGGGCACAAGGCATGACCGTCTCCACTGAATGAATGAGGACAGTGAGTGAGGCTCAGGCTGGGATGCCCATGTTCACCAAGCTGGAATTCAAATCCAGTTCTGAGCCCACCACCACCACAGCAGAAGCTACACCCAGGATCCCCAGCTGCTGAGCTCTGGACCTCTGGAGGTCCTGACCATTCTTCCTTCTGGAGACAGCATTACCTTCTCTCATCTGTGGTCACCTCAACCCCTAGTTTGTAAGGCCTCTGAGGTCTGTGGCCCCACTTCTCACTCCTCTCAGGGCCTGGGACCACGTGTTCCTATTCCACCCTGAACTGACTCACTGAGAAACCCACAGGCCAGCTTAGGGGTGTCACGTGCCTGCCCACAGAACCAGAAAAGCTCAGGCTCCCAGAAGTTAAGCAACATGTCCAAGGTCACATAGCCGGTAAGAGGTGGAGGCAGGGACTCCACCCAAGCCTGCCTGACACTACAGCCAGCAGAGGCGGGCCCTGTGCTCTGGAGGACCTCTTCCCTGGCCTGGGTAGAGGGGCAGCCCTTGGCCCTCACCCGCGGGAGCCAAAGTAGCCGTCTGTGTCGGGGAAGGCAGAACAGTACTGGCGGAAGTAGCAGTTGAGGGGTGAGGCGAAGCACTCGAAGCTGACGCCAAAGAGTCGGTGGAGGGCCTCAAAGACATGCACAGGCAGCGATCCCTGCAGGCCAGTCCCCTCGTAGAGGCCCACGCCGAACATCATCTGCGGAGTGGCCACCGTCAGCACCTGGGGCTCACCCTCCCTGTTCCCTCCTGGGGAGCCCTCCCTGCTGCCCCAGGCCTGTACCTGGTACCGTCGGAGAAGACACCAGACCCGGGGCAGGAACCTCTCAAAGGCAGAGTCATCAATGCAGCTGTAGCGGTAAAGGAGCCACTGTGGAGCGGGACAGAGAGGAGGAGCCTTCAGCAGTGCTCCCTCATGTCCTCATCACTGGCCTCCTGCTGGGGACTCTGCTCAGGAAAGATCCTAGGCCCTGACTCATGCCATCAGCTAGGGCCTTCCTCCCCGCAGCTCTTACCAGCTTGCTGAAGTAGTTGCGGCTGACCTTGACCATCTCTCCCTTATACCGGATGCAGACCACGTTGTTCTCCATGTGCATCTCCACGCTGGGCATGGGCGGTGCAGACACAGCCAGCCGGACTGGGTAGCAGTACACTAGGCGGGGCTCCACCTCAGGGGCCTCCACCTCCTCTGTGGGCAGGGAGAGCAGTGAGGGACCACACTCCTCATTCTCACGCTGCAGCCACTGTGGGCCACATGCTTTGTACCGAGAGAGGGAAGTCCCATTCCACAGATCAGTATACTCTGGCCCAGTTCAGTAGAAAGGGAATGAAAAGCCATAAAAAGAAACCAGCCAGGCAACTGGCCGGGGCAGAAACTGGTGGCCTGTGTCAACACACTCAGTACCGAAGCAGGGCCCCGTATGCCGTGCCTTGGGCTGTCAGGCAAGAAGGCTCAGGCCCGTGGGTTGTGCTGCCAGGCAGAAGAACGAGAACTGCATCGCCGTCATCGTAATAGCGACGATCCTTTATTTGGGGATCTTTTGGGGCCACATGGTTTACTTGAGTTACCTATGAGTACTCACACAATCCTACCACCAGGTGCTACACTTCAGTCTGGGGAAAGTAAGGCTTGCAGAGAATGGATGTAAATTCAGGTACACCTAACTACGACTCCCAGCTTATCTTCACCACCACCATCTGGCTCTCCCTTTATCACTTCTCCGTTTCCCAGAGAAGTACAGCCAAAGGACACAGGCAGGTTCTGCCCCAAACCAGTCCCTGGCCTTGAGGCTCAGTCTCACTTGTCCCTTCCATCAGGGTATAGAGCTGACGGCATCACAGCTGGCTCCTCCTTCACCTTTCCCCTACCTGAGATGTTGTTTTCCTTGAGGATGGCAAGGTGCTTCTCTCGGATCCGTTTGACGTACTCCAGGGAGATGTGGTAGATCTTACTGCAGATGCCTTCCACGGAGTCCTTGGCTGCGGCCGAGACGTGGGGGCCACACTGCCTCCGCAGATGCTCCAGGCGATCCTAGAGGACACATTCTGGATCAGGGCGCTAGTGGAGGCCAGAGGGGCTCAGCTGGGCTGGCAGGTAACCGCAGGGCTGTTGGAGTCCAGCAGTCCTTGTTTTGAAACCAGCTCTGCTGCTGACTAGCTGTGTCACTTGGACAAATCCCCTGGCTTCTCTCAATCTTATTCCTCAAGTGTCAAGGGGACACGAGATACCTAACAGGGCAGTTTGAATATTAAATGTGATCATTTCCCTTAAGGGCTTGCCAAATGCCTGGCATACAGTAAGTGTACAATAAATGCCAGTAGCTTTTGTTGGGGTTACACTGCTAGATCCCATGATAATTACCGGAGAAACAGACAAACCAGCACAGTCCCAGCTTATGGTGTTTGCAGTCTATTGGGGAAAGACACAATTACAAAACAGGGTGCTTGGTTGCTGCAGACTTGAGATTTGAGCTTTTAGCTACTTGCAAAGATGACTGTCGGGATTTGTAATTTTGCTGAATCACACGTGTAAAACTGAAGAGTGAGAATGAGTCACTCTGGCTAGTGAGTACACCTACCTTTGTCACTCTCTACGTGTCAAGTACACAGTTACTATCGTGAAGTGCGAAACCTTGTCTCTTGTGAAATATGGTCCTGAAAAGAAAGCCCATTGCTAGTGCTGGTGGAGAGGTTTAAGAAGTGATAGGTTTTGGCCAGAAAACAGAACTGTTTTGGACACATTAAGAGTAGGGAATTGAATCTGATGGTAGCTCTTAACCATGATATGAACACACACACCCAAAAAAAGCAGGCTGTCAATCTGTTTCCAAAAATCTACAAGGGAGATGCTGAACATTCATTAGGCTGAAAGGCAGCTATCTGTGGTGTGTGGCCAAGCATAAGACTCCATTAAGATTGTTAATGGAAATGTTCTGTGGGAGAAAGCCAGGAGCCCAGAGAAACATCTCCACAGTCATGAGTTTGGGGACTGACGAATGTCGAACGTCTGCCATACTGCACAAGAATAGGCCGCTGGGGGAGGCCTTGCCCAGCCTGGACAGGCAGAGTAGGCTTCCTGGAGGAAGTGGCCACAGAGCCCTAAAACTGGCCTTCTCACCCGGGGACCCACTCACCATGTAGTCCTCCTTGGAGGCTGAGTGGTCCTTCCGAAGCCAGCTAAAGGTGTCTTCCACATTCCATTTGACCACCTTCCTACTGTCAGGGGATGCACTCCTGCCAGTCAAGGGGAGGGCAGAAGAAAGGAATGGCTTGGCTCCACCCTCCTCATCCCAATTCCATGGGCTCGCTGGGTATCAACCCCTAGCTTCCATCACAGCCCTTGTTCTGCCTTTGGGAGCTGGCCCCACTTCTGCCACCGAGAGCAATGACAGCCCTGCATGAGACTGGGCAAGATGGCCTATGACCTGCCACTTTAATCACAGACCCATCTCGCCTGGGGCAGAAGACAGGCAAACCTGGACTCGATGAGCCGCCTGGCGGCCTCCGCATATTTAAAGAGCAGGCGCTTGGCTTCCTCCCGGAACTTGATTCGGGATAACCTGCGTTTCAGAGTGGGCAGAGTTAGAGGCCTTCTATACATGACTGGGCACAGAAACCAAATGGCCCAGGGTCATCCCCAGCTGTGGAGCTGTACCTGATAGGAATGTCGTTCATGATTTCACGAAACATGGAAGGTGACACGACTGGTTCACAGTTGCTGGGCAACAGGGGGTCAGATCCTTTGTCTACCACCTTGCGCTCCAGCATCCAGCGGTTGAAAGACTCCCGTGGAGGCTCAATGCCTGCAGGACAGGAGAGCTGCTGAAGGCCTGGATTTAATCAAGCAGTCCCACTTGGAGCTTGGCACGTATAGGAAGCATCGCATTCAGCAGTAAGCAAGACACAGTCCCACTTCAGAAGCTTCTAGGCTGCATTTCCCAAAATATATTCTAAGAATCACTAGTTTTATAGTGTTGATAAGTATCTAGCCAGGCGTAGTGGCTCACATCTGTAATCTCAGCACTTTGGAAGGCTAAGGTGGAAGGACAGCTTGAGCCCATGAGTTCAAGACCGGCCTGGGCAACACAGTAACAGCCTGTCTCTACAAAAAAAAAAAAAAAAAAAAAAAAAAAGAAATTAGCTGGGTGTCCCAGCTCCTCGGGAGGCTGAGGCGGGAGGATCGCTTGAACCCGGGTGGCTGAAGCTGCTGTGAGCTGTGGTCGTGCCACTGCACCCCAACCTGGGTGACAGAGCGAGACCTTGTTTCAAAAGAAAAGAATAAAAAGGCTGGGCGCAGTGGCTCACGCCTGTAATCCCAGCACTTCAGGAGGCCGAGATGGGTGGATCACCTGAGGTCAGGAGTTAGAGACCAGCCTTGCCAACATGGAAAAAACCCATCTCTACTAAAAATACAAAAATTAGCTGGGTGTGGTGGCATGTGCCCATATTCCCAGCTACTAAGGAGGCTGAGGCAGGAGAATCGCTTGAACCTGGGAGGCAGAGGTTGCAGTGAGCCGAGACCGTGCCATTGCACTCCAGCCAGGGCAACAAGAACAAAACTCCATCTTAGAAAAAGAAAAAAAAAAAAAAGTATTACATAATGTAAAAAAAAAAAAAAAAAGGGTGGGCCGGGTGCGGTAGCTCACGCCTGTAATCCCAGCACTTTGGGAGGCCAAGGCGGGTGGATCACAAGGTCAAGAGATCGAGACCATCCTGGCCAACATGGTGAAACCCCATCTCTATTAAAAGTATAAAAATTAGCTGGGCGTGGTGGCAGGCACCTGTAGTCCCAGCTACTCAGGAGGCTGAGGCAGAAGAATCGCTTGAACCCGGGAGGTGGAGGTTGCAGTGAGCCGAGATCACGCCATTGCACTCCAGCCTGGGCGACAGAGCGAGACGCCGTCTCAAGAAAAAAAAAAATTAAAAAAAAAAAAAAAAAGGTGAAAGGCCAGAGGATTCTATATTTGAGCAAGGTTAAATAGGTTTATTACTAATCATAAAAATTAAAAACTAGGCCAGGCATGGTGGCTCACATCTGTAATCCCAGCACTGTGGGAGGCCAAGGCAAGCAGAAGGCTTGAGCCCAGGAGTACAAGACCAGCCTGGGCAACATAGCCAGATCCTGTCTCTTAAAAAAAAATTAGCCAGGTGTGGTGGCTCATGCCTGTAATCCCAGCACTGTGGGAGGCTGAGGCGGGCGCATCACAAGGTCAGGAGTTCAGGACCAGCCTGGCCAACATCGTGACACCCCCATCTCTATTAAAAATACAAAAATGAGCTGGGCATGGTGGTGTACACCTGTAATCCCGCTACTCGGGAGGCTGAGGCAGGAGAATTGCCTGAACCGGGACCCAGGAGGAGGATGATGCAGTGAGCGGAGATGGTGCCACTGCACTCCAGCAGGGGCTACAGAACAAGACTCCATCTCAAAAAAAATAAATAAATAAAATTAAAAACTACAGTTCATTTAATACTTATTCATTTTACTTAATGGTTATCATAGAATCCTAAGGTATAGATACTCTTGTTTTTTTGAAAGAGGGTCTTGCTCTGTCACTCAGGCTGGAGTGCACTGGTGTGATCATGGCTCACCACTGGGCCCCACTCCGCCATCCCCAAACTGGCCTGGCCAAACCTGGCTCATGCTAAAGGTGGGTGGAAATAAAGGAGGCTGCAGCCCAGAGGCAGGTACCCTCTCGCTGCTGGCACAGCTCCCGATAGTGCTGCCGAAGCTTCAGGATGAGCTGAGAGCGGAGCAGTTCCACTTCGGGATGCGGGGGCAGCACCTCTGAAGGCCCCCGGTGCTTGATGACAGCATTGGTCTGGATGTCCAGGTCCCAGTAGACCCTTGGGGCACAGAGAGGAGTGATGAGGATGTCCTGCCCACCCACACCACCCCACAGTCCCAGACAGGCTGACATTAGCAATGGGTGCCCCCAAGCCAATCAGCAGGGACTCACTCAGTGGGTCGTAGGAGAGCTGCCTGCTGTTTATCTTCAGGGGACGTACCCCACATCTTCAGCGTTGGGGTTCCTGGGATACTGGGGGAGCTGGGCACCGACTGGCCTGTGGGTGTCACTGGGATTTCAATCTGTAGTGAAAGTCACAAAGGTGTCAAGTCAGGAGATTCACCAGAGAGGCTCCATCCAATACAGTGCACACCTGGTGAACTGTGTCCCAGGCCCCCCTCCTGGCTGGCCTGCCAATGCCCAGCCCCTGCAGGGAGCCTGCAGGCGGCCCGTCTGAGCCGGCCGCTCGGCAGCCGGCTCCTGGCCACAGACACTCACCTTGGGCTTCTTCACACCATTGCCGCTTGGCTGCTCTTCCGAGAGCTGCCGCTTTCTGGGCTTGTTCTCAGCCGGGGGAGTTTCCACCAAGCTTGAGTCTTGGGGCAGTGGGGTCGCATTCAGCCCCAAAGGGTCCGACTGGTGGAGGGAGACCAGCAGAGTTGCAACCAGGGCCAGCGGCTTAGGAGCCACAGGACTTTGAATCCTCACGCCCTCCCACCCCTGCTCCTACTCCTTAGGGAAGAGCAGAGGAGCTGGGATACAGGCAGAGAACACTGGGCTCCAGTCCTGCCTGCAACTTGCAACTGTGCGACAGGGTGTGTTACTTCCCTTCCAGTTCTCTCACCTTCAGAATGGCCATGCTAATCCCTACATCACCACTGAGATTATTAAATGAGTCAGTGAATATGACCTGCTTAACATGGCATCTGGCATGAGATCAGTACTCATTACACATTATTTTCCTCAAGAACAGAATGAATGTGAGGAATAAATGAAAAGCTCAAAAACTGCTTATTGTTGTAAAAAGCAAGGCCCTGCAGATGGGACTCTTGGTAACACTGAGAGAATGCATGGTGGTGAGTAGTGTGGCCCTGAACTCACATCAGGTGTGCGTCCTGCTCTGCCTATTACTGTGAGGTCTCGTGCCAGTCGTTCCCCATCTTTGAACCTCAGTGTCTTCACATGCAAAATGAAGATGCCAACTGTCTCAACTGTGCCCAGTAAAGAAATGCTGCCCCAGCTGAGAAGGACCCAAAAGCCCATGTTCCCACCAGACAGCCCATGCCTGTACTTCCCGTCGTACTGACATGTCAGATCCTAGAATGTTCTTTTCCTCCCCACACTCACTCACTCTCTCACCTTAAACACTCATTCTCAGAGCTTTTCCCATCTCCTTGCCTTCCCCAGAGTATGTCAGGATCTAGATGTATTCTAACACTATTCCTCATACACGGACCACAAGTGTAATCCTGCTGTCACCTGGCAGCCCATGGGTGCTCTGCGACCGTAGGGAGCAAGTCTGCCTTGTTCATTCCTGCCTCGCGGCACAGCACCCACCGTGCAGCAGCCATGCAATCATCTGTTTACTTGTCAGTCTACCCCATTTGAGTGTAGGTTCCATGAGGGCAGGGGCTGTGTCTGTCTTGCTTGTCATTGTATCTGCAGGTGCCAGCACAGGGCTGGGCACTGAACGGCTGCTCAGGGTACATTTGGGGAAGGCCCAGGTGCCAGAGGCCACTCTGAGACCCCCCCACCCTAGGCTGGCACTCACAATCACATCGTGCTGCCCCAGCACGGGCATCTCCCACAGGGACTGGTTGGTGAATCGGTTGAAGTAGTAGGGACGATTCTCCCTCCGGCTCCAGCACTTCTCCCAGCCTGCATGCACCAGCTCCTCTGCAAACAGGCACGGAGCCCAGCCAGGGTCAGGACTGCTCCCAGGGTGCCCTTCCTACCCCACCACCCCACTACTGCTCCCCCTCAGTACCTGGGAGGTCCTGAACCAGGCGGATTGGCTTTGGAGAACAGGGCTGGCTCTGATTGGAGGTACCTGGGGAGTGACTCAGCAGGGACGCTTCCTCCCGGGGGCTGCCGTGATTCTCATTGGCCATCTCCACACCCACACAGGACCTGCCACACAGAGGACCAAAGAGTGTCAGCTCCACCCCCTCACCCGCCAATTACAATCCACCCAGGGCCCCAGTGACCACCCACCGATGTGGAGAAATCCAATCAGGTCCTATCCTGGAGGGCCAGCATGGTGCCACACAGCAGCCCTGGGATCTAAGCTGCAATTCCAGCTGTTCAATGGGTGCACTCCTGCTGCTTCCTCTGCCTGAAATGCCCCTCCCCCTCTTCTCTGCCTGGCTTGCTACTGGGTTCACATCCTCCAGGAAGCCTTCCTTGACTCTCCCCTCCCCAGGCCAGGTGGTCAGAGCTCCTCCTCAGGGCCGTGAACACCTCTGTCGTAGCACTCAGATGGTCTCATCTATCAGCTGGGTTTGTCTCCCCACTAAACTGTCAGAACTTCCAGAAATAGGAACTGCGTCCAATTCAGCTCTCTCCTGTGCTCAGGCCTAGGACCTGGACCCAACAGGAGCACTACTGATTCTGCAAATATTTACAAAGCACCAAGAGCAGCAAAAAAGACAGAACAGGGTCTGCCCTTGAGAAGCGATTCCTACAAGAAGGAATAGTAACAACTCCCAGAAGGAGATGGGATTTTACTGCTCTCATCCAGTAAAATCTAAAAGGAACAAAGCACACTAGGGAAGGGCATGGAATCTAATTGGTCACCTTATTTTACACTACATGGCAGGAAGCAGCTATTGCTAAAATAACCAATGCAACCAAGAAGGACTATCTAATTGACTCCTTCATAATCCCCAGGTGAATATTTACTGTAAGTACCAGCAAGGAGGCCAGTTCCTTCAGATCTGTATTCCCTACTCCCCCACCCAAAGCACACCCAGCAACAGCCTCAGGAGCCAAAGTGCTTCTGGCCTGGGGCTGTCAGACAACTGGGAGCTAACTGAGATAGAACTGGTGATGCTAAAGTTGTTTTCAGTAGGTCACACCACCCAAAAGAAATCAAACTTTTGCCCACAACAAGACCACAAAGGCAGGCTTAAACATCAGTTATCTTTTCATGCTGAAATTTTATCAACTCATTGTGGTCACACTGATTATCTCATGCTGATCAGAAGCTCTGATTGGTTGTTGATGACATCATACGAATCATTGGGACACTGATTTTATTGTACACTCCATCATAGACGTCTTCCTTAATTTAGGAAGGGAAAAGTCAATGGTTACTCCATCAGTACAGTTTGGCAGATAAAAATGCAGGGGGCAACAGGACATATGTACAACAAAAAGTGCCTTGATAACAAAAAGGTTGAGAACCACTGACCAAGGTACGAAAAAAATGAAGCTGCCTTGATTCTCTGGGCAGGAAGAATTCCTGATGCCTTGGGGGCTGAGCACACAGGTTTCAAGACTGAATGAAGTCCCCCTTTCTCTCACCCTCTGGGGTCTGCAACGTTAGCATGAGAGGCTTTTCTTCTCCAGCCGGATGGACCCCCACAGGGTCCCACAGAGGCAAGGAAAGGCCTGCAGGAAGACTCAGCACAGGCGAATGGGCTGGTCAGCAGTGGAGTGGACGGGAGCCCAGGGGATTCCTTGCATCAGCAGCTGGAAAGCAAATAGGAAAACAGTCACAGACCTGTGGGATGCTGCAGGGCAGGGACAAGAGGGACAAAAACAAAGAGCAAGTTGGGGGCCTCCAGGGCAGGACACACCGGGAGAGGGGATGAGGGAATACAGGGGATGAAAATGATACCTCTTAAGCTTTCTCACCAATAGGTTTGCTTTCATGGGCATGTGACCTGCACGGCTGCACAGGGATCCACATTCAGGAAAGCCCTGAGCTTGGTGTAAGGCTCTGCCGTCACTGTCTTAAAATTTTTAATAACTTTTTAACAAGGAGCTCACATTTACATTTTGCACACTGGGCCCCACAAACTCTGTAGCCAGTCCTGCCAACTGAAGTACCCTTAGGCTGGGCACGTGGCTTTGGCAACTTGGGAGCTGGGCTAGGAGTTCAAAACCAGCCTCGGCAACATAGTGAGCCCCCAGCTCTACAACAAATAAAGCTTTTTGTTTGGTTGGTTTTGGTTTCCTTTGAGACGGAGTGAGACTCCATCACCCAGGCTGGAGTGCATTGCACGATCTCGACTCACTGCAACCTCCAACTCCTGGGTTCAAGCGATTCTCCTGTGTCAGCCTCTCAGTAGCTGGGATTACAGGCATGAGTCACAGCTGGCTAATTTTCTGTACTTTTAGTAGAGACGGGATTTCACCATGTTGGCCAGGCTGGTCTCGAACTTCTGACCTCAAGAGATCCACCCACCTGGGCCTCCTAAAGTGCTGGGATTACAGGTGTGAGCCACTGCGCCGGGCCCAAATAAAAAAAAATTGCACCTGCAGTCCCAGCTACTCAGGAGGCTGAGGTGGAAGGGTCACTTGAGCCCAGGAGTTCGAGGCTGCAGTGAAGTATGATCATGCCACTGTGCTCCAGCCTGGGTGACAGGGCAAGACCTCATCTCTTAAAAAATAAAAGAGGCCGGGCGCGGTGGCTCACGCCTGTAATCCCAGCACTTTGGGAGGCCCAGATGGGCGGATCACGAGGTCAGGAGATCGGGACCATCCTAGCTAACACAGTGAAACCCCGTCTCTACTAAAAATACAAAAAAAAAAAAAAAAAAAAATTAGCCCGGCGTGGTGGCGGGAGCCTGTAGTCCCAGCTACTCGGGAGGCTGAGGCAGAAGAATGGCATGAACCCAGGGGGCGGAGGTTGCAGTGAGCTGAGATCGCGCCACTGCACTCCAGCCCAGGCGACAGAGCAAGACTCCGTCTCAAAATAAATAAATAAAAATAAAAAATAAAATAAAGTACCCTTAGACCAGAGAAAAATCAACAAACATACCTATCACTGATCTGTGGGGGCACAATCCCAAGCCTCCCACAGCAAGTCAAAGACACGCTCTGAATAATGTCTTGCAAAAACAAAAACATGCAAACACATTATGTGACACATCTTGTTCGCCTTTATTGAAAAATATTTTCCCCAAGAAACATCCTGTGATATTGATGCACCGGGTAGATGAACTTTGCAGAATACGCACAAGCGGCACAGCTTAGTGTGAGGCTAAATGGGGACACTGCAGTATTTCCAAAGCCAGCTGTGCATCAGAATCATCTTGGAGTTTGTAAAAAAAAAAAAAAAATCAGACTCCTGTGCCTCACTGCGCATCTCAGAAGCCAGAAATAAATACGGAGGTGAGGCACACAAGAATTTGTATTTTTAAAACGCACCGTAAGAGTGACTGGGAGACAGGATGACTCATTTTTTCACACTATTTGAAAAAATGTACCCATTTTTTGCAATTAAAACCATTTTTAATTTCCTATGTGACTTGAGCGCAGCAGGTCTGTGGCCGAAGTACCAGCCCCTGGGTTGGACAGACCCGGATTCCGGGCCCTTCTGCTTTCCGGCTTATAAACCGGAATCACTCGACCGTTATATGTAGAGTCCAGCATTGTACGCTCCCAGTAAGACATAACTGCTCTTAAGTTAACGTCTTTATTTATCCTGTGGCTTCCCGACCCCCACGCATACCGCAGTTTGAGAATTACCGCTGCTCAAGGATAAACAACTCTATCTGCGCAACCAGAAAAACCCACCAGAAGCCAGAGTCCGAGTCCGGGATTGGAGGCACGTGGGGCGGGACCATCTCCGCAATGTACCAATCAGAATTCTCCGGCCCAGTAGGGAGGAGTCAAAGGGCGAACAAAGTACGCAGGCGCGACGGCGCACGAAGGCGAGAGGCGAGCTCCAGCGCGCGCGCGCGCGCGCACCTTCCCCTCCCCCTACCCCAGCGAGGGTGGGCTGTTTGGCGCGCGCGCGCGCGCCGGCCCATCTCTCGGGCTCCGCCCCCCGCCCCGCCGCGCGCTCCCGCCCCCGGGCTGAGGCGACTCAGAGTCGGAGCCCGACACAAAGGCGGTGGCGGCGGCAGCAGCGGAGGGGCCCTAGAGCCCGCTCCGCTGGGGCTCTCCGGGCCCACCTCCCTCACTTCGGCCACCGGCGCGGCCGCCCACCCGCGGGTCTAAGATGGCGGCGGCAACAGAGACAGGGCAAGCGGCAGTCCCGAGCAGAAAGCGCCGGAGGGGCCGCCGCCCCCCAGCTTCGGATCCCCAGACCCTGGCGCGGCTCGCTGCGGGACCATGGCTTCCTGGGACTCTTACCTGCCCGGAGCGGACTGGAGGGGACGCGGCTACACGTTCTGCTCGACCGCCCGTTTTGCCGCCTCCGCCTCGCCCTCCCCAGCGCCGCTGCCGCCATCTTGTGTCCCGGGCCGGGACTCCGCGCTGCGCATGCGCTGGTACCGCCTCTGAGGGACCTCGCCGCGGCCGCGCCGCCATCTTGAGTGTGGCAGGGTCGGCTGGCTCCTCGCACCCAGCTTGCTTTCGGCCCCCTCCCCTTCTTCCCATCCGTCCCTGCTGTTCCTTGTGGCGCTGAGGAAGGGGAGACAGCTTTGTAGGCCTGCGGGTGGACTGAGGAAGGAATGAATTCACTGGCACGTCCCCGCCTCAGTTTCCCCCTCGAGCACACACGCAGGAGCCGGATGTTCGCGGTGGGCGGTGCGCGGCGGGGTTGGACTGAGCGTGCGCACTGGGGGGCGTGGGGGCTGTCTTAGAACCTGCGGGGGTCTCGGGTTCTGCCGCCGGCCCAGGGGAGGCATCGTGGTGACGTAGGCTCCGGACGTAGCAAGGACCTGGGTCCTGGCACCCGCGCGGCTCTGCCTCTTCCAGCCAGTCTCTTTCCCTCTCTGGGCCTTTGTGCTGCGTGGTGTCCAAATGTTAAGAAGCCCTGCCCCATGCCCGGGCTACATATACATCGAACCCAAGCTGTAAATGCTCTTGAGTAGAAGCAACTTAAACTAGCCTTCGGGGGCAAGTAATAGAGATGGCTTTCGGCAGAGTTGGGAAATCAACTAAATGCATTGTAGGGCCTTTCCAACATTGACATCTGTGGCCATTAGTTGCAGTTCAAAGCCTCACTGAGCCCTCAAACCAGCTACAGCGGGTAGCCTGGCAGGGAACTGGCAGCTGTGAGGTGCTCCTCATCCGGCTCCCTGCAGGATTCTTTTTGGTAGGAGCCTGCAGGCGTCCGAGTGGTAGCTCCACCCATCTCCGGTCTCCCCAGCAAGCATCCCTTCCAGTGCTAGCTTGAGAAGAGGAAAAGCTTGCCACCTGCTGTCAGACCGGCGCTTGTGTGGAGCCAGGGGCTGTAGGTACCCCGGCTGAGTAGCCTCTCAGATGTCCATGGTCCTGGCTGCACGCCAGCGTGGGGGCAGGCAGGCGGACGCTCAAGAAAAACGGAGGCACCGATATGAGTAGTAATTGAGAACGAGGGTTCATGATCCTCATCTGATTTCAATCCCTGCTCCTCCACCCAAAATGTGTGGCCTTGAAGGAGTTAACCAATTTAAATTTTAGTTTCCTCAGTGGAAGATAATAAATCCGCCTACCTCATAAAGGTTTGGTGAGAATTAACTCAGGTGATGCATGTGAAGTCCTCAGCGCAATACCTGGCGCTTCCTAAGTGCTGAATCGGTTAGCCGTGATCATCTCACAGTGGCATGAGCATTGCTCCAAGTAGATTTGAGCCCTCCAGAAATAAGCCAGCTCTATATAGGCACAGCAGTTCTGCCCTCGCAGAGCTTCTCGTTCAGATAAGAGGCCTGATGGGAAACCAGACTCCTGGGTCCTGTCTCAGTTCTGGAAGGGTGGGGGGCCAGCTTTGATTTATGCCTGCTGCCCTGGCATAATTACTAATATTGCCTCCTTTTTCAGAAGTGCCCTGCTTTGGGCCGGGCGTGGTGGCTCACCCCGGTAATCCCAGCACTTTGGGAGGCCGACGCAGGTGGACCACCTGAGGTCAGGAATTCAAGACCAGCCTGGCCAACACGGCGAAACCCCGTCTCTACTAAAATTACAAACATGAGCCAGGCCTGGTGGCGCGCGCCTGTAATCCCAGCTACTCGGGAGGCTGAGGCAGGAGAATCACATGATCCCGGGAGGCAGAGGTTGCAGTGAGTCGAGATCGCGCCACTGCACTCCAGCCTGGGCGACAGAGTGAGACTCCTGTCTCAAAAAAAAGTACTGCTTTGGGCAGTAAACTACGTGGTCGCTCTTGACCTACGGGATAACCAGTTTTCCATGCTCATGCCCCCCAGCTAGCCCGCGCTTTCACTAAAGTTTAAAAACCATGTAGTGATTATTACCCTTTTTTTTTTTTGAGACGAAATCTCGCACTGTCGCCCGGGCTGGATTGCAGTGGCGCGATCTCGGCTCACTACAACCTCTGCCTCCCGGGTTCAAGCAATTCTCCTGCCTCAGCCTCCCAAGTAGCTGGGATTATAGGCACCCGCCACCACTCCCACCTAATTTTATTTGTATTTTTAGTAGAGACGGTGTTTCACGATGTTGGCCAGGCTGGTCTCAAACTCCTGACCTCATGATCCGCCCGCCTCGGCCCCCCAAAGTGCTGGGATTACAGGCGTGAGCCACCGCGCCCGGCCTTTTATCTATTCTTTTATGTTTTCAAAGTATTTTCTCATTCATTGTTCAGATTCTCTTAATTGATAACCAAGATACCAAACATCCCAAGTGCCTAGTCTTCTGTTTTATCATGGAATTCTGTGAATTATTACCTAAATCTGCACATGAGCAAACAGGTTGGAGCGAGGGGCAGGGGCGAAGTCATTGTCCAGGTTCACACAGCCATCAACAAGTAACAAAACTGGGATTTTAAGCCCGGAGTTCTCAACACCAAAATGCAGGGCTGGTTCCATTAAACCACTCTGGCCTCCCTGTTTTGTGAAGAAGGGATCTAGATTCAGGCGATGTGACTGGTCTGAGTGGACACAGTGGCCCTGGATAGTTCAATCTTTTTTTTTTTTTTTTTTTTTGAGACGGAGTTTCGCTCTTGTTGCCCAGGCTGGAGTGCAGTGGTGCAATATCGGCTCACTGCAACCTCCGCCTCTAGGGTTCAGGCGATTCTCCTGCCTCAGCCTCCTGAGTAGCTGGTGTTACAGGCATGCGCCACCACGCCCGGCTAATTTTGTATTTTTAGTAGAGACGGGGTTTCTCCCTGTTGGTCAGGCTGGTCTCGAACTTCCCACCTCAGGTGATCCGCCCACCTCGGCTTCCCAAAGTGCTGGGATTACAGACGTGAGCCACCGCCTCCGGCCTGGATAGTTAAGTATCTTAAAGGTTTCTCTATCTCACAGTGTTCAGCACTGCTTTTCACCTGATACATGCCTCATCTTCTCCGTTTGCTCACTTTCCGCATGTCAAAACCAGCCTCTTCTCAGCTGGGTGCGGTGGCTCACGCCTGTAATCCCAGCACTTTGGGAGGCCAAAGCGGGTGGATCACCTGAGGTCAGCAGTTTGAGACCAGCCTGGCCAACAGGGTGAAAGCCCATCTGTACTAAAAATACAAAAATTAGCTGGGCATGGTGGCAAGCGCCTGTAATTCCAGCTACTCAGGAGGCTGAGGCAGGAGAATCGCTTGAACCCGGGAGGAAGAGGTTGCAATGAGCCGAAATCACACCATTGCACTCTAGCCTAGGTGACAGGAGCAAAACTCCGTCTCAAACAAAACAAAACCCAACCTCTTCTCACCATTCTAATGACTACCTTAAGAGCTGGCGTTTCCCACCCCTACCCCCCTTTTTTTTAGAAGCAGAGTCTCAGTCTATCTCCCAGACTGATGTGCACTCATAGCTCATTGTAACCTTGAACTCCTTGCCTTAAGCAATCCTCCTGCTTCAGCCTTCCAAAGTGCTGGGATTACAGGCATGAGCCACCACACACAGCCCAATTTTGTTTTGTTTTTTGAAAAGGAGTCTTGCTCTGTCGCCCAGGCTAGCGTGCAGTGGCGCGATCTCGGTTCACTGCAACCTCTGCCTCCCAGGTTCAAGTGATTCTTCTGCCTCAGCCTCCCGAGTAGCTGAGATTACAGGTGCCCGCCACCATGCCCGACTAGTTTTTTTTTTTTTTTTTTTTTTTTTTTTTGTATTTTTAGTATAGACGGGATTTCACCACGTTGGCCAGGCTGGTCTCGAACTCCTGACCTCAGGTGATCCACCCACCTCAGCCTCCCAAAGACAAATTTTTAAAACCTTTTTATTGTTAAGAATAGCATATGGGGCTGGGTGTGGTGGCTCACACCTGTAATCCCAGCACTTTATCCCAGGAGGCCTAAGCGGGCAGATCATGAGGTCAGGAGATCGAGTCCATCCTGACCAACATGGTGAAACCCCATCTCTACTAAAATACAAAAAATTAGCCGGGCACGGTGGCACGCGCCTGTAGTTCCAGCTACTCCGGAGGCTGAGGCAGGGACACCACTTGAACCTGGGAGGCAGAAGCTGCAGTGAGCCAAGATCGCACCACTGCACTCTAGCCTGGTGACAGAGCAAGACTCCGTCTCAAAAAAAAAAAAAAAATAGTGTATGATAGACTGGCACAGTAGCTCATGCCTGTAATCACCAACACTTTGGGAGGCCAAAGTGGGAGGATACCTTGAGGTCAGGAGTTAAGAGACCAGCCTGGGCAATGTAGCAAGACCCTGTCTCTGAAAAATGTTTTAAATAAAATTAGCCGGGCATGGTGGCATGGGCCTGTAATTCCAGCCACTTGGGAGTCTGAGGTGGGAGGATCACTTGAGCCCTGGACGTCGAAGCTGCAGTTAGCTGCACTCCAGCCTGGGCGACAGAGACCGTGTCTTAAACATAGCTGGGCGCAGTGGCTCATGCCTGTAATTCTAGCACTTTGGGAGGTGGAGGTGGGTGGATTGCTTGAGTCCAGGAGTTTAAGACCAGCCTGGGCAACATGGTGAAACCTGCGTCTCTACAAAAAACACAAAAATTAGCCAGGTGCGGAAGCACACACCTGTAGTCCCAGCTACTTAGGGGGCTGAGGTGGGAGGATCACTTGAGCCCAGGCGGTCAAAACTGCAGAGAGCTATGATCATGCCACTGCACTCCAGCCTGGGCAACAGAGCAAGACCCTGTCTCAAAAAAATGTATACAAAATAGACTGGGCATGGTGGCTCACGCCCGTAATCCCAGTACTTTGGGAGGCCGAGGCGGGTAGATCACAAGGTCAGGAGTTTGAGACCAGCCTGGCCAACATAGTGAAACATCGTCTCTACTAAAAATACAAAAAAATTAGCTGGGTGTGGTGGTGCATGCCTATAGTCCCAGCTACTCAGAAGGCTGAGGCAGGAGAATCGCTTGAACCTGGGAGGCAGAGGTTCGATGAGCCGAGATCAGACCACTGCACTCCAGCCTGGGCAACAGAGCGAGACTCCGTCTCAAGAAAAAAAAAAAAAAAAAGAATAGCACACATGGAAAAGTGCACAAAACATAAATGTAAAACCTAATGATTTATCAAAAAGTGAGCCTGGGTTAGCATCACCCATGCCATGGTACTGAACAGTCAAGCAGAAGACCTCTGCAGGGTAATTGGTGTTCCAACTACTTTTGTGATAATCGCTTCCTTGCTTTTGGAGTTGTACCACCTGAGAATGTGTCCCTAAACACTGTAGTTTCGTTTTGTCTGTTCCTTGAACTTTATGTAAATTGAATTATACAGTATTATTTTGTGTCTGCCTTCTTTTGCACAAGAATACACTTGCAAAACTCCTTTATGTTGTTTCATATAGCTGTGGTGAGTTCATTTTCATTGCTGTTTTTTTGTTTTCCACTGTATGTTTATCTACTCTATTGTTAAGGGATATAAGTGAAGCCTCCCACCTGCCATACCTCTCAATTTCTTTTCTAAAAATTATTTTTATTTTTATTTATTTTTTTAGACAGAGTCTCGCTCTGTCGCCCAGGCTGGAGTGCAGTAGCGCGATCTCAGCTTGCTGCAACCTCTGCCTCCTGGGTTCAAGTGATTCTTCTGCCTCAGCCTCCCAAGTAGCTGGGATTACAGGCACCCGCCACAACACCTGGCTAATTTTTGTATTTTCAGTAGAGACAGGGTTTCTGCATGTTGGCCAGGCTGGTCTCGAACTCCTGACCTCAAGTGATCTGCCCGCCTCGGCCTCCCAAAGTGCTGGGATTACAGGCATCAGCCACCGTGCCTGGCTTTATTTATTTGTTTATTGAGTCTGGCTCTGTCACATGGGCTGGAGTGCCATGGCACAATATCAGCTCACTGCAGCCTCCGCCTCCCAAGTTCCAGCAATTCTCCTGCCTCAGCCTCCCAGGTAGCTGGGATTACAGGCACACGCCACCACGCCTGGCTAATTTTTGTATTTTTAGTAGAGACAGGGTTTCACCGTGTTGGCCAGGATGATCTTGAACTCCTGACCTCAGGCGATCCACCTGCCTCTGCCTCCCAAAGTGCTAAGATTATAGGTGTGAGCCACCATGCCCAGTCTCTCTCTCTCTCTCTTTTTTTTTTTAACTAGAGATGGGGTCAGTATGTTGCCAAGACTATCTCTAACTTCTGGGCTGAAGCAATTCTCCCACCTCAGCTTCCTAAAGTGCTAGGATTACAGGTGTGAGCCACTGTGCTTGGCCATACCTGTTAATTTTCAAAGTGGCCTTCTGATCCTCCAGCCTTGCTTCTCTTCTAGTTCATAATCCACCAAGGAGCCACGGGGATCTGGCCATATAGCAAATCTCATCAAGTCACTCTGGGCTTAAAGCTCTTGAATGTCTCCCCATTGACTACGGGACAAAATCCCAAACCCTTAATTTGGCCTACAAAACCAGAATTATAATGAGCTACCATGGCAGAATATTTACTATGCACAACGTCAAGCACTTTACACACATTCATTTTATTCATGATCTGGACCTTCAAACCATCTCTTCTTGATCCAGTCCCAGCTACCATGAACTACTTCATAATTTCCCTAAATGTGCCAGGTTCTTTCATGACCCTGATCCTTTGTGTTTTTGTTTATTTCTTTCTTTGTTTTGTTCGTTTTTGAGCCAGAGTCTCCATTTGTATCCAGGCTCACTGTAGCCTTGACCTCCTAGGCTCAAGTGATCCTCTTACCTCAGCCCCCTAAGTAGCTGGGACTGCAGGAGCACACCACCACCACACCTGGCTCATTAAATTTTTTTTTTTTTTGTAGAGACAAGATCTCACTATGTTGCCCAGGCTGGTCTCAAACTCCTAGCCTCAAGGAATATTCCTGCTTCAGCCTCCCAAAGTGTTGGGATTTCAGGCATGAGCCACCGTGTCCAGCTCCTGAGTCTCTGCATATGCTGTTTGCCCTTACTCTTCTTCCCCTCTTGACCTAATTCAGCCTTCGAGTCTTAGCCTAGATGTCGCCTCCACCAGGCAGCCTTCCCTGAACTTCCTTCTACCCCGGCTAGGACAGGTTCCCTCTCTTGTACTACCACAATGGTCTAAGCTCATAATGTTTGTCAATTTTCCTCATCCACTAGGCTGTGCGCTGCTTAAGGGTGGGGCCTGGGGCTTATTCACCCTTGTAACCCCATGCTCAGTACTGTGCCTGACCCTCTGTAAATATTTGATGACCATGAACAGACCACTCTGGGTTGAAGTCTAGGTGGCTTTTTCAGGTAGCCCGTTTATTTATTTATTTTTTGAGACAGGATCTCCCTCTGTCGCACAGGCTGGAATGCAGTGGTGTGATCTTGGCTCACTGTAACCTCTGCCTCCAGGATTCAAGCGATTCTCCTGCCTCAGCCTCCGGAGTAGCTGTGACTAAAGGCACACATCACCAGGCCCAGCTAATTTTTGTGTTTTTAGTAGAGATGGGGGTTTCACCGTGTTGACCAGGCTGGCCTCGAACTCCTGACCTCAAGCAATCTGCCTGCCTCGGCCTCCCAAAGTGGTGGGATTACAGGCGTGAGGCACTGTGCCTGGCCAGGTATCCCCGTTTCTATTCCAGGCTCTGGTTTCTGTGGTGGGAACACCAAGGCAGCACCCTGTGGGCTGCCTGCTGTGGCCGAGTCTCTGTCAGTAGCCTGGAGTCTTTTATTCCCAATATAGGGATGAGCAGTTGAGCAAAGATCCTAAGGCTTTCCATTTCTCCAGCTACTTTTCTGAACTAAGAAGCCTGGGTAGACAATAGGTCTGGGCTGAGAGAGGTGGTTGGAATAAGCTGGGCTCCTCTCCCTGGCACCAGGGCCGGCTGCATAGATTTAGAAAGGCCCATGCTTACTGGGTGTGGAGGCTCATGCCTGTAATCCCAGCACTTTGGGATGCCAAAGTGGGAGGATTGCTTGTGGCCAAAAGTTCAAGACCAGCATGTGCAACATAGAACCCCATCTCTACATAAAATAATAATAGTAATAATTAGCTGGGCATAGTAGGTGCTCCTGCAGTCCTAGCTACTTGGGAGGCTGACGCAGGGGGTGATTGCTTGAGTCCAGGAGTTCGAGGCTGTAGTGAGCCATGATTGCACCACTGCACTCTAGACCCTGTCTCAAAAAATAAAAACAAGATGAAAATAAAAATAATAATAAAAAAGAAAAGTCTGTGTTTGGTTTAATGTTCTACTGTCACCATCTTAAAAATCTTAATAATTTTGGAACAAAAGTCCCACGTTTTCATTTTGCCCTGAGCCCTGAATATTGTTTTTTGAGACAGCGTCTTGCTCTGTCACCCAGGCTGGAGTGCAGTGGTGCAATCTCGGCTCGCTGCAACCTCCCCCTCCCAGGTTCAAGCAATTCTCTTGCCTCAGCCTCCCCAGTAGCTGGGACTACAGGCACGTGCCACTGGGTCCAGGTAATTTTTAGATTTTTAGTAGAGATGGGGTTTCACCATGTTGGCAAGTCTGGTCTCACACTCCCAACCTCAGGTGATCCACCCACCTTGGCACCCCAAAGTGATGGGATTACAGGCGTGACCCATCATGTCCGGCCCTAGCCCTGAAAATTATGTCACCACTCCTGGCTGGTCACTAGCTGCCAGGGCCTCTGAGGACCCCTGCCTCAACTCCGGACAAAGCCAAGCCTCCACACTAAAGCAGAAACATAAACAACCAGCTCAGGTTGCCACATAGCTTAACCCCCTTGTTCTCTGCCACTGCAGCAAGAAGCTGCTGAGAGGGAACTTTCATCCCCTGAGGTCCTGGCAGCTGGGGAAGGGAGACTCTAGCTGGATCCCACTCCAGGTTGCCCCCGCCTAGGCTGGGCTTGAGCTGGCCATGGACCCTACACTGCAGTTTAAATTATGCAAAGGGAGTTTCCAAGGCAAGTGGGTCTGGCCCCCGGAAAGCTGTGGAAAGGAGGCTTCCACCCCAAACTGTGGTTCCCACAGGGAGTGGCTCTTGGGCCATTCTGGGACCAGATGAGAGAAGCCATTTAGGCCAAGAATAGATGAGAGGAATGGGGGCGTCTCCCTTGGTCTTCCTGGCCTTGGAAGCGTCTGATGTGGTGTACTATTCCCTCCATTTCTTCCCTTGGCCTGTCCTAGAGTCTTGAGAATAAGCGATAAGTAAGACGGACAGACGGTTTGTCTTAGGGAGCCCACAGAGCAGTGTGGGAGGCAGACATATACATGAACCCTCTGCCACAGGGAGATGAGGGCTCTGGAGGGATGGCAGGGGCTGGGGGTGGTGGGCACACAAAGGAGAAAGCTTCAGAGGAGATGACAATGAACAGATTCTTATTGGAAAAATAGATTTTCCAGGTAGGCAAGGAAAAGGGGAGGGCACAGCGTGTGCCAAGGCCTGGAGGTATAGAAAGGGAGGGTGTGTTTGGAGAGCTGGTCAACCTGAGCACAGCCAGGGAGCAAGGGAGGTGCAGGTCCTACCAGGACCCTGGAGTCCAAATTCAGTCCTTGCTCTGGGTTAGTGCTCAGCATCCCAGGCGGCGTTTGGTCATATCAAGATAGGGGTGGGCCACCTGTGGTGGTCCCCTCCACTCTCCCACCCATTCCCTGTGATGCGCTTTTTTTTTTTAAGACAGTCTTGCTCTATCGCCAGGCTGGAGTTCAGTGGCGCGATCTCGGCTCACTACAACCTCCAACTCCCTGGTTCAAGCGATTCTCCTACCTCAGCCTCCTGAGTAGCTGGAATTACAGGCACATGCCACCATGCCCAGCTAATTTTTGTATGTTTAGTAGAGATGGGGTTTCATCATGTTGGCAAGGACAGTATCAATGTCCAGACATCATGATCCGCCTGCCTCGGCCTTCTAAAGTGCTGAGATTACAGGCGTGAGCCACCGTGCCCGGCCGTGATGCTCATTTTTGCACTTCAGTCAGAGTGGCCAAGAGCCAGGATGTTTACTCCCATATGAGCTGAGTCTGCAGAATTCCAGACTTCTTCAAAAAAGAAACAAGAGCGACAGCTGGTAGCTTCCTGAAAGTCTGAGATCACAGAAAACTGACTTAGAAAGGAGAGAAAGGAGGACACCCCACCCAGCCTGGGTCCCAGCTGGGTTCCCAGGACACATCTAACCCAGAGATCTCAACCCGAGCTAGGAAAATGTTTTTAACAGCTTTATTAGGGTATAATTTACAGACTACAAGACTCACTTGTTTTCAGTATACAATTCTATCACGCCTGTGATCCCAGCACTTTGGGAAGCCACGGCAGGCGGATCGCCTGAGGTCAGGAGTTCAAGACCAGCCTGACCAACATGGCGAAATGCCATCTCTACTAAAAATACAAAATTAGCCAGGCTCAGTGGTGTATGCCTGTAATCCCAGCTACTTGGGAGGCTGAGGCAGGAGAATCCCTTGAACCTGAGAGGCGGAGGTTGCAGTGAGCTGAGGTCACGCATTGCACTCTAGCCTGGGCAACAACGGCAAAACTCAGTCTCAAAAAAAAAAAAATACAAAAATTAGCTCGGCGTGGTGGTGGGCGCCTGTAATCCCAGATACTTGGGAGGCTGAGGCAGGAGAATCGTTGAACCAGGGAGGTGGAGGTTGCAGTGAGCTGAGATCATGCCACTGCACTCCAACCTGGGAGAGATTCCGTCTCAAAAATAAATAAATAAATAAATACATATACAATTCTGGCCGGGCACAGTGGCTTACACCTATAATCTCAGCACTTTGGGAGGCTGAGGCAGGAGGACTGCTTGAGCCCAGGAGCTAGAGACCAACCCAGACAAGACCTTGTCTCTACTAAAAATAATAATAATAAGTAAATGAATAGGCCGGGCACGGTAGCTCACGCCTGTAATCCCAGCACTTTGGGAGGCTGAGGAGGGTGGAGGTGAGGAGTTCGAGACCAGCCTGGCCAACGTGGTGAAACCCTGTCTCTACTAAAAATACAAAAATTAGCCAGGTGTGGTGGTAGGCACCTGTAATCCCAGCTACTGGGGAGGCTGAGACAGGAGAATCGCTTGAACTCAGGAGGCGGAGGTTGCAGTGAGCCGAGATTGCACCATTGCACTTCAGCCTGGGGGAAGGAGAGAGACTCTGTCTCAAAAATGAATGAATAAATAAATAAATAAATAAAATTTGTTTTAAGTAAATGTATAGAGTTATACAATTGTCAACACAGTTCTGTTTTAGAACATTTCCATTACCCTAAAAGATTTCTTGGGCTTGTTTGCAGTCAGTTCCTGTTCCCACCATCAGCCCCCAGCAACCACTGGCCTGCTTTCTGTCCCTATAGAGCTGCCTTTTCTGAACATTTCATATAAATAGAATCACACAGATGTAGTCTTTTGCAGCTTGCATCTTTCACTTTGCATTATGTTTTTGAGCTTCATCCATTTTGAAGCATATATCAGTAGTTGATTCTTTTTTTATTGCTGAATAGTGTTGCATTATACAGATATACCATATTTTATTTGTTTACCAATTGATAGTTGAATTGTTTCCACCTTTTGGCTATTACGAATAACACTACTATCAACATTCATGTACAAATGCATTCATTTTCCTTTTCTGTGGGTAGACCCTTAGGAGCGAAATTGCTGTATGGTAAATTTGTGTTCAACTTTTTTTTTTTTTTGAGATGGAGTCCTGCTCTGTCGCCCAGGCTGGAGTGCAGTGGTGCGATCTTGGCTCACTGCAACCTCTGTCTCCTGGGTTCAAGCAATTCTCCTGCCTCAGCCTCCTGAGTAGCTGGAATTACAGGTGCCCACGACCATACCCAGCTAATGTTTTTATTTTTGGTAGAGTTGGGGTTTCACCATGTTGGCCAGGCTAGTCTCGAACTCCTCCTGACCTCAGGTGATTCGCCCACCATGGCCTCCCAAAGTGTTGGGATTACAGGCGTGAGCCTGCTGGAAGGTGAGGTAGAAGGGGCCTGGGGGTGGGTTAGGTCAAGGAGTCCCGATTTCTGCTCAGCCCACTGAGATCCTGTGGGGGCACCTCCCATGACCTTAGGCGTCTCTCAGGCCTCTGGGGAGATTAGGAAAGTATGACATTCTTGGCTGCAGACCAGCTCCAGATAACCCCGGCTAAATGCAAGGAAATGGGTGGTACCAGCAGAAAGCATAGAGCTTAGAGGCTCAGCCGGGGATTAGATCAGGGCTACAGAGTGCACCATAAAAGCTGCTCCTTCTGAAGGGTCTAGGGATGATAATAACACCCCATCTTGAATTCAACAAACATCTTTTTTTTTTTTTTCCTGAGATGGAGTTTCGCTCTCTTGCCCAGGCGGGAGTGCAGTGGTGTGATCTCAGCTCACTGCAACCTCTGCCTCCCAGGTTCAAGTGATTCTTCTGCCTCAGCCTTCCAAGTAGCTGGGACTACAGGTGTGTGCCACCACGCCCGGCTAATTTTTGTATTTTTAGTAGAGACGGAGTTTCACCATTTTGGCCAGGCTGGTCTCGAACTCCTGACCTCGTGATCTGTCTGCCTCGACCTCCCAAAGTGCTGAGATTACAGGCATGAGCCACCGTGCCCGGCCATCTTGAATTCAACAAACATCTATTGAGCATTTTCTGTGTGCCAGACCCTGTGCTGGGCACTGGACATATGGCCATGAATAAGAGTGGCAGGCTCCTGTCCCCGCCCTGGGGAGCTTGCAGTCTACTGGAAGAAACAGGCAATAAAGAATTAAACAAACAGAATGACAGGTAATGACACAGAGGGGGCCTCTTCTGTGGGGGTGACATTTGAGTAGGGATCTGAGTAACTCTGCATGGGTATGTGTGTGGGATGATGTGTCTGGTGGAGAAAAGAATTAAGGAAAGTCTGAGGCTGAAGGCACTTGGTGTGTTCCCAACAGTGGTAGAAGATGGGCTTGGAGAGGAAGGTAGGCAGGAGCTAGTTCACCTGCAGTGTTTCCAGAGGTCGTGGCCAGAGTCTGGGTTTTATTTTGTGTGTGATGGGGAGGATGTTGAGCAGGATAGAAAAATTCTATGATTCCCATTTTTAAAAATATCACTTAGATTGATGTAGAGAGGCTAGACCTACAGGAGAAATGGTGAGACAGGGAGATAAGGCAGGTTGTCCCGGTAACCAATGAAAATGGCTTGAAGTGGTGTTGGTGCTGATAGAGAGAATTGTATAGATGTGGGGCATCTTTTTTTTTTTTCGAGGCAGAGTCTCGCTCTGTTGCCCAGGCGGGAATGCAGTGGCGCAATCACAGCTCACTGCAGCCTTGACCTCCTGGACTCAAGCGATCTTCCCACCTCAGCCTCCCAAGTAGTTGGGACTATTGGCGCATGCTACCACACCTGGCTAATTATTTTTTGTAGAGACAAAGTCTCACTATGTTGCTCAGGCTGGTCTTGAACCCCTGGGCTCAAGTGATCCTCCCACCTCAGCCTCCCAAAGTGCTTTGATTACAGGCATAAGGTGAGGCGTCTTTTGGAGTTAGAGACACCGGGATTTGCTGATGTGGGGTATAACAAAAAAAGGAAGTCAAGGATGACTCCTATATTTTTGACTTGAGCACTGCATAAAGCTGGTGCCATGACCTGTGATGGGGAAGCTTGGAAAAGGAGCAGGATTTGGTACTTGCTAGGGTTGGGGGGGAGCTAAAATATGGATCTAGCTGGGTGGAAGAGAGGAAGAAGGCCAGAGGGCGGTGACATCCTCATGATTCCTGGCTAGGGGTTGGCAATCTTGTTAGACCAAAGCCTGGGTTATGCGGGGGACTCCTGCAGTATTAGGACACCTGGAAAAATTCGAGTTGCATTATGTTGACCACTTCTTGCAACATTTCAGCAAGCCCTGCAGAAAAGGGACAAGCTTAGGCTGAAGATGGTGGCCTATCCTTATTATCAAAGGAAAAAATCCCTTCCTTTGGGGCCCCCTCCCTTCACTTACTTTGAAATGTTGTGACTGGCTTATGAAATCCAAACATCTAGACAGAGCTGCTATGGATCCTCCACCTCTTCCTCAAAACAAGTAGAGGCTGGAAAGCCCACGTGGAGTATAAGGAAAGCACAGACGGTTAGGAGGCTTAGAGGACCACAGAAAGAGGTCCCCATGAGTCAGAGTCAGCTAGCAGACTGACAGAGGCATAGAAACTGGGAAGAAGGGTGGGATATGAAGAAGAAAAGAAAAGGGAAGTCAGAGAGAGAGTGAGCTGCCCAAGGCTGACATCCGAGCCCTGATGGAGAGGCACCAGGTGTGGGGATACAATGCCCTAGGACCGAGGACCCAGGGAAAGCAACACCTCATAAGGAACCTTAGAATCCTTGAGTTTCTAATCTGGAGGTGACTTCAGACACCAAGTGGCCTGTTCTTCACACAGAAAATGGACTGGCCTTCAAGGAGGAAATGGGAAAGAAAGAAGAAAACAACAGATCTCCCAGCTTTAGAAATCACGGAAAGTCAGTCCACAGCTTTGGCCTGGCTGAACTCAGCAAGCCCCAGCCCTTTTAGATTCCTTTTACCCATTTGGTAAATGTCCAGCCCTCACGCGGACTGTTTTGTCCAGTTGCATTCTGGAAACAGATGATCATTTCGCCTGTCTGGAGAGATGTAATCGGGGTCTTCCTGGCCTGAGATTTGTCCTCCTCAGATAATCCTCCTCTCATTCCAGCTGGGTCCCCTGTCACATGTCCCCAGGTGCACCCATGCTGACCAACACAGGCGCATGAGCTGCAGTGCTCATATGCTCAGGCAGAGTGAGGAGAAGGGGGTCACTCCCTGAGGGGTAGCTGGGGTGGGCGTTGGGGGTGGGGACTGGGCAGGAGAGGAGATGGGCTGACGCAGCTTCTCCAAGCCATGCAGAGATCCAAAGAAAACACAGCTGGAGGCACAGCGAGGGAGGAGGGGGCCAGAGCAGTGCATGTTGACATGTTGGGCAGCAATCCAGCTTGGCCTCCTGTGGTCAGTGGAGCCCGTGTTTACTTCCTTGGACCAGTTATTTCCTCGTACTGAACCTCAGTTTCCAAATCTGCAAAACAGGGCCAATAATAGCTATCTCAAGGCACTGCTGTGAGAGTTACATGGGATAATGAAAAAGAGAGAGACAGAGAGAGAAACCTAGTTACAAGCATAGGCTCTGGGGCCAGACTG
The DNA here is from genome assembly GCF_000001405.40 of Homo sapiens. Classification (NCBI taxonomy): domain Eukaryota; kingdom Metazoa; phylum Chordata; class Mammalia; order Primates; family Hominidae; genus Homo; species Homo sapiens. The sequence goes on along the minus strand of NC_000020.11, from coordinate 45,919,603 downwards.
ACTTGAGCTTATAACTGCTGGGCCTCAGTTTCCTTATCTGTAAACTGGGGGTGAGGATACCTATCTTGTAGGATGTTATGAAGTGTAAGTGAGTTAATATGTGGAAGCACTTTCTGGCCAAGTGTGGTGGTTCACGCGTGTAATCCCAACACTTAGGGAGGCCGAGGCAGGCAGATCGCTTGAGGCCAGGAGTTTGAGATCAGCTTGGTCTACACAGTGAGATTCTATCTCTACAAAAAAATTTTAAAAGTTAGCTGAGCATGGTGGTACATGCCTATAGTTCCAGCTACTCGGGAGGCTGAGATGGGAGGATTACCTGAGCCCAGGGAGGATGAGGCTGCAGTGAGCCATGATCGTGCCACTGCCTTCCAGCCTGGGTAACAGAGTGAGACCCTGTCTCAAAAAAGCACTTTCTGTTTGTTAAGCAACTATGACAACTATTAATACTAATAATCAGGCCAGGCACAGTGACTCATGCCTGTAATCCCAGAACTTTGAAAGGCCAAGGCGAGAGGATCGCTCGAGCCCAGGAATTCTAGACCAGCCTGGGCAACAAAGTGAGAGCGCCCCACCCCGCCACCAAGTACTAGGTTCCACACTTTGTATACTTTATCACTTTAAATCCTCACTGCCACCCAGGGAGGTAGGTAAGTACTAGATCATCCCATTTTACAGATGTGGAAACTGAGGTTCAAAAAGTGTTTTTTTTTTTTAGAGACAGGATCTTGCTGTGTCACCCAGACTGGAGTTCAGTGGCACAATCATAGCTCACTACAGCCTCGAGCTCCTGGGCTTAAGCAATCCTCCTGCCTCAGCCTCCCAAAGTACTGAGATTATAGGCATGAGCCACCATGCCTAGCCCAGAAAGAGATTTTTCATTTCCTCTGGAACAGGGGTTGGTAAACTATGGCCTGTGTGCTAACTCCAGCTCCCAGCCTGTTCGTTAGATATTGTTTATGGCTGCTTTCATGCTAAAGTGTAGGGCTGAGCAGCTGCGATAGAGACCACAGGGTGTGGAAAGCCTAAAATATGTACACTTTGGCCTTTTCAGGAACAGCTTGCTGACATTTGTTCTAGAAAAAGGCAGAAGCAGGACTTTGCTATCCTGATTCCTTTACAGGAACAGCTTGCTGACATCTGTTCTAGAAAAAGGCAGAAGCAGGACTTTGCTATCTTGATTTCTTACCAGTATTGCTGTGCTGGGTACACAACTGAGGCTGGAAAGGCACTTCCTTCCTGTCCCTCTGAGTGCTGGGAAGCCTCTCCTTCTCTCTTCAAAGCCAGGGATGAGGCCGGGCGCAGTGGCTCATGCCTGTAATCCCAGCACTTTCAGAGGCCGAGGTGGGAGGATTCCTTGAGGCCAGGAGATGGAGACCAGCCTGAGTAACACAGTGAGACCTCATCTCTACAAAAAAAAAAAATTACAAACATTAATCAGCCGTGGTGGTGCATGCCTATAGTCCCAGCTACTCAGGAGGCTGAGGTGGGAGGATTGCTTGAGCCCAGGAGGTCAAGACTGCAGTGAGCCAAGATTGTGCCTCCGCACTCCAGCTTAATAGGCAGAGCCAGACTCTGCCTCAAAAGACAAACAACAACAAAACCAGGAGTGAAAGTGGGAAGGGATTTGGGGATTTGGCTCTCTCCATGTCTCAAGCCCGGTGATGAGCACTCGAGGAGGCTGCCAGAGCCCATCCCACGCTGCACATCTGCTGACATCACTCTTAACGTTTGAGGGTTGTGTGCACCATATGTTTTAGAGGAAAAGGGAAATCAATGTATTAAAGAGGGACAGGCTGAGTGGGGAAGGCCCTGGATTCAGGGCCAGTGACTGCACCTTCTCCTCCACCAGCCCAGGTCAAGGCTGTATTTATTTATTTATTTAGAGACAGAGTTTCACTCTTGTTGCCCAGGCTGGAGTGCAATGGTGCGATCTCAGCTCACTGCAACCTCCACCTCCTGGGTTCAAGCGATTCTCCTGCCTCAGCCTCCCAAGTAGCTGGGATTATAGGCACCTGCTTCCACACCCGGCTAATTTTGTAATTTTAGTAGAGATGGGGTTTCACTGTTTTGGTCAAGCTGGTCTGGAACTCCTGAACTCAGGTGATCCACCTGCCTCAGCCTCCCAAAGTGCTGGGATTACAGGCATGAACCACTGTACCCGGCCGGTCAGAGCTGTGTTTAGGGTCAATTGAACTGAGGCTAACATGGTACAGGAGGAGATAAAGGATCTGGGTTGGCATAGGGATCGCCTGCTGCCCAGGGACATTCAAGGACTCCAAACCAGTTCAATCACTCAGTAAATATTTAGTCAGTACCTACTGTGTGCCAGGCATGGTTCTAGGCACTAAGGACACAGTGTTGAACAAAATTCCAGCTCTCACGGGGACAGACAACAAACAAGAAAGAAAATATTCAATAGTAATAAAATCTATAAAGAAAATAAACCAGGCTGATATGATTGAGAGCGATTAATAGATAGGCAGGCAGGGAAGGCCTCTCTGAAAAAACGCCATTTAAACTGAGACAAAATGCTGGGCGTGGTGGCTCGAGCCTGTAATCCCAGCACTTTGGGAGGCTGAGGCGGACAGATCACTTGAGGTCAGGAGTTCGAGACCAGCCTGGCCAACATGTGAAACCCCATCACTACTAAAAATACAAAATTAGCTGGGCGTGGTGGTGCACGCCTGTAATCCCAGCTACTCAGAAGACTGAAGTAGGAGAATTGCTTGTACTCTGGAGGTAGAGTTTACAGTGAGCCGAGATCATACCACTGCACTCCAGCCTGGGTGACAGAGCGAAGCTCCGTCTCAAAAAATAAATAAATAAAATAAGCTGAGACAAAATGACAAGGAAGATCAGGTGGAAAAGCATTCCAGGTAGAGGGAACAGCAAATGCAAAGGCTCTGAGCAAGAAGAACTTGCACATTCAAGGAACAGAAAAACCAGTTTGGCTGGAGCCGAATGCAAAGGGCAAGAGAGGTGAGAGGTGAGACAGAGAGAGTAGGCCCTATCACATGCCAGGGAATCAGGGTACTGAGGCAGGAGTCTATTCCAGTATGGTGAAAAGCCACTGATGGCTGATCATGCTAATGATTGTAGGTAACATTTTTTGAGCCCTTAGGAAATGCCAAGTACTTATTAAACCCTTTCAATGCATTAACTCATTTAATCCTCACAAGCAATCCTAAGAGGGAGGTACCTGGATCATCCTCATCTTACAGATGAGGAAACTGAGATCCAGAGGGGTTAGGCCACTGGCCAGTGAATTGCATGGGACAAGACCATTTAAGAGATAAAAATGATACAAAGATGAAGCCTGGATTCATCTGGGTACACAACTGAGGCTAGAAAAGCATTTCTTTCCCATCCCTTTGATTGCTGGGAAGCCTCTCCTTCAGTCTTCAAAGCCAGGAAGAGTGAGGCCAGGCACAGTGGCTTACGCCTGTAATACCAGTATTTTGGGAAGCCAAGATCGGAGGATCTTTTGAGGCCAAGAGATTGAGACCAGCAAGGGCAATATAGCGAGAAATATTTCACCTAAGAAAATGAGAGCAAGGCTGGGCACACTGGCTCACGCCTGTAATCCCAGCACTTTGGTAGCTCAGGAGTTCGAGACCAGCCTGGCCAACGTGGTGAAACCCCATCTCTACTAAAAATACAAAATTAGTCAGCTGTGGTGGTGTGTGCCTGTAATCCTAGCTACTCTGGAGGCTGAGGCGGGAGAATCGCTTAGAACCCGGGAGGTGGAGGTTGCAGTGAGCCGAGACAGCACCACTGCACTCCAGCCTGGGTGACAGAGTAAGACTCTGTCTCAAAAAAAAAAAAAAAAAAGAAAAAAAGAAAAAGAAAACGAGAGGAAAGGCCAGATGTGGTGTAACACCAGCACTTCGGGAGGCTGAGGTGGGTAGATCTCTTGAGCTCAGGAGTTCAAGACCAGCCTGGGCAACATGGTGAAACCTCATCTCTGTGAAAAATACAAAAATTAGCTGGGTATGGTGGCACATACCTGTAGTCTCAGCTACTCAGGAGGCTGAGGTGGGAGGATCACCTGAGCCTGGGGAGGTTGAGGCTGCAGTGAGCCGTAACTGCACCACTGCACAGCAGTCTGGGCAACAGAATGAGACCCTCTCTCAAAAAAGAGGGAAAAAAAGAAAGAAAAGAAGAGAAAACAGCCAGGTATGGTGGTGCACACCTGTAGTCCCAGCTACTTGGGGGGCTGAGGTGGGAGGATTGCTTGAGCCCGAGAGTTGGAGATCAGCCTGAGCACATGGTGAGACCCTATCTTAAATAAATAAAATGTATTTTGTTGTTGTTGTTAAAAAAAAATAAAAAAGGGCCAGGTGCACTGGCTCATGCCTGTAATCCCAGCACTTCGGGAGGCCAAGGCGGGCGGATCACCTGAGGTCAGAAGTTCGAGACCAACCTGGCCAACACGGTGAAACCCTGTCTCTAAAAATACAAAAATTAGCTGGGCATGGTGGCAGGCGCCTCTAGTCCCAGCTACTCGGGAGGCTGAGGCAAGAGAATCACTTGAACCTGGGAGGTGGAGGTTGCAGTGAGCCGAGATCGTGCCACTGCACTCCAGCCTGGGTGACAGAGCGAGACTCCACCCCACAAAAAAAAAAAAAGAAAAGAAAGGAAATAAGAGGAAAGAAAACTAACATCCACCAGGTTTTCTGCTTGAGCCAGGCTCTAGGAAGGTTACTAGAGTTCAAAGGAACACAGATACTTCCTCCTCTGGATACTCTTAACACTTTCTCTGTTCTCCCTCTACACCTTTTCTGCTTTGTTTGCTCGTGGTATGTGCCCCTAATTAAGATAGCTAGCATTTATTTGGCACTAATGATGTGTCATGTACCAGGCCCATTTATTCTTGCAATAACCTTAAATTATTGTTTCCATTTTAGGATGAGGAAATTGAAGATCTGAGTGCTTAAGCAAGGGATCAATGTCATACACCTAAGAACTGACAACCTGGGGTGTAAACTCTTGTCTGTCAGACACAAGAGTCTAAGTACATAACTACCGGGCTATAAAGCCCACCTTCCACTCTTCCATGAACAGTCTACGGATTCCCTAATAGCAGCCACAGAATTGCTTCAACCTCTACTTCCTGTTAAAGAGGGTTCATAATAGTGCCAGTCTGACAGGTTGTTAAGGTTAAATAAATTACCTAGAATTCGGATGACCAGTTGTAAGGTTTCCCAGGGACTGAGTGGGTTCCCAGGAATGGTTTCAAAATGGGGATGGCTGGATGTGTGGCTCACGCCTGTAATCCCAGCACTTTGGGAGCCCAAGGCAAGAGGATCACTTGGGTCCAGGAGTTCAAGATCAGCCTGGGCAACATGGTGAGACCTGTCTCTACAAAAAATACAAAACTTAGCTGGACATGACATGGTACCACCTGCCTGTAGTCCTAGCTACTCAGGAGGCTGAGGTGGGAAGATCGCTTGAGCCCAAGAGGTGGAGGCTTCAGTGAGCCGTGATTGTACCACTGCACTCCAGCCTGGGCAACAGAGCAAGACCCTGTCTCTAAAAATATAAATAGGCGGCCGGGCGCGGTGGCTCACGCCTGTAATCCCAGCACTTTGGGAGGCCAAGGCAGGTGGATTGCCTGAGGTCAGGCGTTCGAAACCAGCCTGGCCAACATAGCGAAACCATATCTCTACTAAAAATACAAAAAATTAGCTGAGCGTAGTGGTGGGTGCCTGTAATCCCAGCTACTTGGGAGGCTGAGGTAGGAGAATTGCTTGAACCTGGTAGGCGGAGGTTGCAGTGAGCCGAGATTGCGCCATTGCACTCCAGCCTGGGCAACAAGAGAGAAACTCCATCTTAAATAAATAAATAAAAATAAATAAATAGGCTGGGCATGGTGGGTCACACCTGTAATCCCAGCACTTTGGGAGGCTAAGGCAGGCGGATCACTTGAGGGCAGGAGTTCAAGACCAGCCTGGCCAAAATGGCAAAACCCTGTCTCCACTAAAAATACAAAAATTAGCCAGGTGTGGTGGCACATGGCTGTAGTCCCAGCTACTTGGGAGGCTGAGGCAGGAGAATCACTTGAACCCAGGAGGCAGAGGTTGCAGTGAGCCAAGATCACACCACCGCACTGCAGCCTGGTGACAGAGCACGACTGTGTCTCAAAAAAATTAATTAATTAATTAAATAAAAAAGGAAATGGAACTATTTTTGTGAATCTGTGGATTATATCAGAAAAAAAAGACACAATGGGGAAAGTCCTAGGCAAATCAGGATGAGTTAGTCATCCTTCCTAGATGAGTGTTTGGTGCTAAATACATGCTCAGCAGACATGATTATTGCTTCCCCTTTCTTTCGTCCATTTGGCAACAAAAAGGTGGCAAGCACCCACTCTGTGCCCTGTCCTAGGGTCCGGGAACCCTGTAAGCAGTAGATGGAGGTGGGGGTGGGGGTGGGGGCGGGGATGCTGTTCAGAGCACCTTGCTCCAAGGGTTCATTAAAAAATCCACCAGTGGACCGGGCGCGGTGGCTCATGCCTTTAATCCCAGCACTTTGGGAGGCCGAGGCGGGCGGATCACAAGGTCAGGAGATCGAGACCATCCTGGCTAACACGGTGAAACCCCGTCTCTACTAAAAATACAAAAAAAATTAGCCGGGCGTGGCAGCGTGCGCCTGTAGCCCCAGCTGCTGGGGAGGCTGAGGCAGGAGAATGGCGTGAACCCGGGAGGCGGGGCTTGCAGGGAGCCGAGATCGCGCCACTGCACTCCAGCCTGGGGGACAGAGCGAGACTCCGTCTCAAAAAATAAAAATAAAAAAAATAGAAAAAACAATCCACCAGCCACGATAAATGGCAGACCTCCTTCTGATTTCAGCCGGTGTGGTATGTTCCTGGGCTGACAGCACTTGTCTAGTCTTGCTTTCCCAAGTGGGAAAGGTCTCTGGGACCTTAAGGTCCCCAGGTGGTGACACAGAGACAGGTAGGGGGGCCCATAGCAAAGCCAGGCAAGGAGGTCCCGAGATGATTGTGGGTGGCAGGGAAAGAAAAAATATTCCTTGACTTTGTGCCTGGACCTGGTTGTAATAAAGGCCCAAGAGGTAGTTCCTATCATCGTGCACATTTCGCTGAAGGAAGAAACTGAGGGTCAGTGACCCAAGTGAAGTGACTTGCCCAAGATCATGCAGGAAGACATGGATAATTGTAATTTGAACCAAGGTCCCAGCAAAGTGGGATTGTTGGGGCTGAGTGGGCCGGCTCCTGCATTTCCTTCCCTCTCCCTGGGCTTGGGTCTCCCACTTGTCCAGACAGCGGCCGGGCTTGTCACGGGGCTCTGTGCAGCCTTTTCCACTCTCCCGGCTGCCAGCGTCCCGCCCCGTCCCCTCCCAGCCCCCAAGGGAGGAGGGGAGAGCTGCAGAGAGGAGGAGGGGTCGGGGAGGCCGGCTTTATAAAGGCGGCTGGAACAACCCTGCCCGCCAGACCCCGTCGCCCGGATCCCCTGAGCTGCCCGCCATCCCACGTGACCGCGCCGCCCCCCAGCTCCACCGCTGAGTGAGTTGGGGCGCGTCCCTATCCCGTTCCCAGTCCCTCGCCGAGCCGCGTGGTGCACTGAAGCCGGCGTGGGGAGGAGAGCCGATGAAGGAGAACGCTAACATGGGGGCTCCAGGCAGAATCTCTAATGGGAGAGATTTAGGACCTGAGGGAGCCGGGAGACCCGGGAGCCCACGGTCTGGTCGGCCACCTCCTCTCCTCCCCGGGCGCGAGGCCTAGGAGACCGCAAGCCACCCTCCAAGAATGCGCGTGCAGTCGTTGCCGTGGCAACGTGCAAGCCTGCATGGGCCCACCGCTAAAGGAAAGGGGAGGTTGTTGGGGGTGTGGGGGCTGGTCCCCTGGAGGTCCAAACTCATCACGCGGCGGTAGCACGAGGGAACTGGGAACGTCCCCTCCCCCGTGTCCCAAATCCTCTGGGAGCCAGAACGCAAGTCGCATCGCCTCTCTGAGCCTCAGTTTCCACATCTGCCATATGGAGGCAAGATTATTGGTTCCAAGTTCCCCGAAGAGTTATCTGGAGGGTAACGATCCAGGCTAGTTCCCACTTATGGTTGGACGTCCAAGGAATGGGTTTAAGCGGCTCAGATAACTCCTGCGACCCCACCCCACCCCCAGGCCCGCTCGCCATGGCCCTCTTCGGGGCCCTCTTCCTAGCGCTGCTGGCAGGCGCACATGCAGAGTTCCCAGGCTGCAAGATCCGCGTCACCTCCAAGGCGCTGGAGCTGGGTAAGGCGCAGGGGCAGACAGGGACGGACGGGAGCGGACGGGGTTGGGGTCGCCCCAACAGTGGGCACGGGAGCTAAGTAAGGGTTTCTCTGCTGCTTCAGTGAAGCAGGAGGGGCTGCGCTTTCTGGAGCAAGAGCTGGAGACTATCACCATTCCGGACCTGCGGGGCAAAGAAGGCCACTTCTACTACAACATCTCTGAGTAAGTGGGGGGCGGGGCCTCGCGATCCGGGGCGGGGCCTCGGCGGTGGAGGCGGGGCCCGAGAAATCTCAGGGTCTCGGGAGACTGGAGGCTGAGTGGGATGGGGCGTGGCCAAATCGATGAGGCAAGACTTAAGAAACCGGATGGGGCCGAAAAGATAAAGGCCAAGCCAGTCATCATAGGCGGGACCAGGCAGATGGGCGTGGCCTTGAAAATGTAGAGGGGGCCAAGAAGGAAGCAGGACCAGTGGATGTGAGGCGTGGTCGAAGAACAACAGAAAGGTGGAGTCAAGGAACTTCCCAATAGATGAGAGTGGAGTCTCGGGCACGGGGTGGAGTTAATCGGAGGGGTGGAGAAACTGAAGGCTCTAAGTATGGTTTAGGATGAGGGAGGGGGAATAAGGAATTGAGATGTGAGACGGAGCTTAGGTGATGGAGGCAAAGTGAACGGACTCTATTAAAAGACCGGGTGTAGCAACCCCAGGGTGTGGGAGGGGAGGGGGTGCAAGCAAACAAGACTTTTTTTTTTTTTTTTTCTGAGAGGGAGTCTTGTTCTGTTGCCCAGGCTAGAGTGCAGTGGCGCGATCTTGGCTCACTGCAACCTCCGCATCCCGAGTTCAAGCGATTTTCCTGCCTCAGCCTCCCGAGTAGCTAGGACTACAGGCGCGTGCCACCACGGTCTGCTAAGTTTTGTATTTTTGGTAGAGACGGGTTTCACTATGTTGGCCAGACTGGTCTCGAACTCCTGACCTCAAGTGATCCGCCCTCCTCGGCCTCCTAAAGTGCTGGGATTACAGGCATGAGCCACCACCGCACCTGGCAAACAAACAAACAAGACTTTTAAGCGATGGGGTGAAGCTCATTTTTAACACCTGGATCAGGAAGACCTCCTCTCTCAGCCACCCAAGTTCAACTTTGAGCCACCCAAGTCTAAGTTGGGCACTTGAGGGACAATGGAAGAATTCATTCCACCCACTCCCGCTTCCCCAGGCCTGGACTTGAAAGGGGAGCAGACAAATTTCCTGTCGTTGGGGGAAGTTCCCTCTTCTTGGCCCTGGATCTGACCCTGAGGCCTCCTGTAGGGTGAAGGTCACAGAGCTGCAACTGACATCTTCCGAGCTCGATTTCCAGCCACAGCAGGAGCTGATGCTTCAAATCACCAATGCCTCCTTGGGGCTGCGCTTCCGGAGACAGCTGCTCTACTGGTTCTTGTAAGGACCCAGCACCCTCAGGGGAGTGGAGAGTGGGTCAGGAGGGCTGGAGGTGCTGTGGGGCTGTGGGCAGCCCCCTTAGCCTTCCTGAGTTTCCGTTTCTTCATCTGTGTAACAGAAACAGGCATATGCATTTCATACGAGTTGATAGGAAGGTTTGGTAGGATGTGTGGAAAGAGGTGAAACCTTATTAAGAGGTATGGTGATGCATGGGGGCACTGAAGACTCAATTGAGCTCCTACCTGGAGTGAATATTAACCCCCCTGGCAGCTATGATGGGGGCTACATCAACGCCTCAGCTGAGGGTGTGTCCATCCGCACTGGTCTGGAGCTCTCCCGGGATCCCGCTGGACGGATGAAAGTGTCCAATGTCTCCTGCCAGGCCTCTGTCTCCAGAATGCACGCGGCCTTCGGGGGAACCTTCAAGTAAGCCCCAGCCCCAACCCCAGCTCACCCTTTTCGAGCCCCACAGCTCATCTGCCTAGCGCAATGCAAAGTGCATAGGCCTGGGAATCAGACCAACTGGGTCCAAAGCTCAGCTCTGTCACTTCCTGGCTGTGTGAACGTGGCCAAGTCACTGAAGCTTGGTGCCTCAATATCCTCATTTTATAAGATCCTATTTTATAAGATCGTTGTCAGGATTATTTGTGTTGGTATATGTAAAAAATATTTAGAACAAGGCTGGCTGTGGTGGCTCATGCCTGAAATCCCAGCAATTTGGGAGGTCTGGGCGGGCGGATCACAAGGTTAACAGATCGAGATCATCCTGGCCAACATGGTGAAACCCCATCTCTACTAAAAATACAAAAATTAGCTGGGCGTGGTGGCACGTGCCTGTAGTCCCAGCTACGTGGGAGGCTGAGGCAGGAGAATCGCTTGAACCCGGGAGGCGGAGGTTGCAGTGAGCTGAGATCGTGCCACTGCACTCCAGCCTGGTGACAGAGCAAGATTCCATCTCAAAAAAAAAAAAAAAAAAAAATTTAGAACAGCACCTGGCATATGATAAATGTATATTTAAGTGCTGGCCACTTAGATAAGAGTAACTGTGAGGACTATCTGATATGCACATTTGGCCATGTACTGGATTCTCAATAATTGGTATCTCTAAATAATAATAACAAAAATAATAATTTTTTTTTTGAGAGGGAGTCTCACTGTGTCACCCAGCCTGGAGTGCAGTGGCGCCATCTCGGTTTACTGCAACCTCCACCTCCTGGGTTCAAACGATTCTCCTGCCTCAGCCTCCCAAGTAGCTGGGACTACAGGCATGCACCACCATGCCCAACTACTTTTTTTGTATTTTTAGTAGAGACAGGGTTTCGCCATATTGGCCACGCTGGTCTCAAACTCCTGATCTCAGGTGGTCTGTCCGCCTCGGCCTACCAAAGTGCTGGGATTACAGGCCTGAGCAACTGTGCCCGGCCTATTTTTTTATTTTTGCTGCTGAGAAGGGGATATTGTTCTTGTTCTGGAAGAGGATGGGGGAGAGAAGATGATGGATTATAACCTGGTGTTGGTACACTGTCAGTATTATTTATTCATCAAACAAAGTGTATGCCAGTCCCTGAGGATGCAGGAAGGAGCTCAGAGCCTATCTGGAGCAAAAAACATTTGATATCAGGGCCTGGAGAGAAGGACTAAGAAAATGCTTTGGGGATTCAGAGGAGGGGAATCTGGGAAGACTGCCTGGAAGAGGAAGCATCTGAGCTCAGATGGGAAAATACAGAGTAGGAATGCAGAGGGCGGAAGGGAGGGCATCAGTAAGCCGATGGATGTGGGGATGCTCAGAGTGGGTTTGAGGCAATGTGGGTGGATTCATTTGACTGATGGGACCAGAGAGTAGGTCAGGAGGTCTTGAGAATTAGACTGGAGAGGGAATTTGGGCCTGGTTCTTGGAAAACCTACGTGGAGGAGCTGTTATTCAGGCTGAAGCTGAGGACTCCTACTGCCACTATTTCCCTAGTCACTGATTTCTCCTGGACCTGGACTGGGGTGGAGGCAGGTTCTGGGCTCATCCGGCCTCTCCTCTCCTCACAGGAAGGTGTATGATTTTCTCTCCACGTTCATCACCTCAGGGATGCGCTTCCTCCTCAACCAGCAGGTGTGGGCAGCGACAGGTCGCAGGGTGGCAAGGGTGGGCATGCTCTCACTTTGAGAAGGCCCTGACTCTGGCTCCCACCTCGCAGATCTGCCCTGTCCTCTACCACGCAGGGACGGTCCTGCTCAACTCCCTCCTGGACACCGTGCCTGGTGAGTTGGTGGCGGGTGAGTCTGGGTGTGCAGCTGTCATGCAGCACCTCAGAGCAGGCCCCTTCCGAGCCCTGCTGTTGAACAGTCCTGGGTTCAAATGTGGCCCCTGGAGCTGACTTGTTGTGCGATTTTGGGTGAAGTGCTCATTTCTGTCTGGGCAAAGTGCTTGTTTCCTCACTTGGCTGGCAGTGCCTCCTCCTGGGGTTGCTGTGAGGATTATCTGAGAGAATAGTTGTCAAGGTCCTCAATATGTGCATGCTGATCACTGGCATCCCATTTGTCTTCATCACCTAGCATCTAATAGGTGCTCAATTAACATGAATTCCCTTTTTCTTTTTCTTTCTTTTTTTTTTTTTTTTGCACGGAGTCTTACAGTCTCACTCTGTTGCCAGGCTGGAGTCCAGTGGCGCGATCTCAGCTCACTGCAATCTCCACCTCCCGGGTTCAAGCAATTCTCCTGCCTCAGCATCTCGAGTAGCTGGGACTACAGGCGTGCACCACCATGCCCAACTAGTTTTTTGTGTTTTAGTAGAGACGGGGTTTCACCATGTTGGCCGGGATGGTCTCGATCTCCTGACCTCCTGATCTGCCCACCTTGGCCTCCCAAAGTGCTGGGATTATAGGCATGAGCCACTGTGCCTGGCCATGAATTCCCTTTTTCTAAGCCATGACCTCTGTCTACTGTGGGGCAAAGGTATTTTCCCATCACACCTAACACACAGGCATGGGAAGCGAAGGAGGAGGTAGGAGAAACCAAGGGAAAGGAACCTCATGCCATCTTTTTTTTTTTTTTTTTTTTTTGAGATGGAGTCTCGCTCTGTCACCCAGGCTGGAGTGCAGTGGTGCAATCCTGGCTCCCTGCAACCTCCACCTCCCAGGATCAAGCGATTCTCCTGCCTCAGCCTCCTGAGTAGCTGGGATTACAGGCGCCCACCACCATGCCCAACTAATTTTTGTATTTTTAGTAGAGACGGGGTTTCACCGTGGTGGACCAGGCTGGTCTCGAACACCTGACCTCAGGTGATCCGCCCGCCTTGACCTCCCTAAGTGCTGGGATTACAGGTGTGAGCCACCATGCGCGGCCCCCCCATGCCATCTTGTTTAGTTATTTTTTTGAAACCTCTATAGTGGTAGTAATAATAATAACTAACATTAATGAGCACCTAACTACACACCAGGCCCTAAGTGCTTTCCACATAAAACTAATTTGACCCTCATGACAACCCTGTGAAGGATGTATCCTCATTTTATGGGTGGGCCTCTGAGCCTGGAGAGGTTAAGCACCTTATCCCACATCACACAGCCGTGAGTGACTTGAGCCCCTTCCTGCAGTGCGCAGTTCTGTGGACGAGCTTGTTGGCATTGACTATTCCCTCATGAAGGATCCTGTGGCTTCCACCAGCAACCTGGACATGGACTTCCGGGTGAGCTGCTTGGGCTGGTGTATGACCTCTGACTTCCTAACAAGACCTCTTTCTCTGCTAAGTTGCAAGATTTTACTTCTTAAAGCACAGCTCTGATGAGGCCACTCCCATTACTGAGAATGCTATGGCTCCCTGTTACTACAGAATTAGGTTCAGCCTCCTGGGTCTGGCATTTGAGCCCCTGTTAATCTTACCTGGCCCCACCTTTTATATCTCATCCTGTTTCTTTGCAGCTGCTCTTTCCCAAATTGGACCCTGGCTTCCCACCTCAGGGCCTTTGCTCATGCACGGCCTTTCCCCAACTCCCCCGAAGGAGCTGGACATAAATTTCTATACAAATAATCTCATTTCATTCTCTCACAACCCTGTGAGTCAGGTACTAACATCATCCTAATTTTAGGAATGTGGAGACTTACTCATAGAGGTGACGTCACTTGCCCAAGGCCACATAGCCAGTGTGTAGCCACTACCTTTGGTCTCCCAGAGGAGTATAGCAGTTTCAGAGTGCAGACTCGGGAGCTAGAATCAGTCGGGTGCAGTGGCTCATGCCTGTAATCCCAATACTTTGGGAGGCCCAGGCGAGAGGATCGCTTGAGCCCAGGAGTTTGAGACCAGCTTGGGCATCATAGTGAGACCTCCTTCTCTACAAAGAGAAAAAGAATGCCTGAAGTTCAAATCCTAGCTCTGCCACTGACTAGCTGCACGGCCCTAAGCATAAGTTTTCAGTTGGCCAGTTTCCTAACATGTAAATGGAAATAATCTAGTAAGAAAACACACGTTGTTATGCAGATTAAAGAAGTCGATCTATGTGAAGAGCTTAGAGTACTTGGCAAAGAAGCATGAGTATGCACAATATATGTAAACAGTAGCTGTTGTTACTGCCTCTAGCTTTCAAGGCCCACTCAGATGTCACCTCTTCCCTGAAACCTTTCCTGACCCTCCCTCCTCCAGTCTGACGGGCTCGCCCCCTGGTAGCAGGTGTCCTCCTTCCAATGCCTTTTAAGAGATGTGCTTGTGAATCCTCCAAGAACAGCAGCTGGGTTCCCACCATCCCCCCACAGTGCCTAGCACGGGGCTGGGAGACACCTGCTGTCAGTCCAGGTGCCAGGCCAGTCTGCCTTGACCCTGACTGTGAATGCCCCACCCCAGGGGGCCTTCTTCCCCCTGACTGAGAGGAACTGGAGCCTCCCCAACCGGGCAGTGGAGCCCCAGCTGCAGGAGGAAGAGCGGATGGTGTATGTGGCCTTCTCTGAGTTCTTCTTCGACTCTGCCATGGAGAGCTACTTCCGGGCGGGGGCCCTGCAGCTGTTGCTGGTGGGGGACAAGGTATGTCATGGCCTGTTTGTGGGATGGGCAAGAGAAGGTCTGTGACAGAGCTCACTCCCTCACTCCTGATTCCCCTGTTCAGGTGCCCCACGACCTGGACATGCTGCTGAGGGCCACCTACTTTGGGAGCATTGTCCTGCTGGTGAGTGCTGGCGGGGGCAGGGATAGGGCCACCTGCACACCAGTGAGACCAAGGAGGGGTGCAGGTGGGGCCCCCAGTGGCAGCCACGCAGACAGGGCCCTGGCCTCTTGTCTGTGGCCAATCCCCCTCGCCTTGTCATGGCTGTTCCTGTCTGTGAAGCGGTCTGCTCCTTCCTGCTCCTTCCTGCCCCATCTCCTTCGCAGAGCTGCTGTGAGGATTAGTGAGAACCCAAGCTTTGCAAGTGTGAGGGCTTTAATAATAATTCACATATACTTTTGTTTATTTGTGTATTGGGGAGGAGAGTAAGAGTTACACATTTTATTTATTTTTTTTTTTGAGACAAGAGTCTCACTTTGTCACCCAAGTTGGAATGCAGTGGCACAATCTAGGCTCACTGCAACCTCTGCCTCCCAGGGCTCAAGCCATCCTCCTGCTTCAGCCTCTTGAGTAGCTGGAATTACAGGCTTGTGCCACCACACCCCGCTAATTTTTATATTTTGTTGAGACAGAGTTTCATTATGTTGCTCAGGCTGTCCTTGAACTCCTGGGCTCAAGTGATCACCCATTTTTGGCCTCCCAAAGTGCTAGGATTACAGGTGTGAGCCACCGCACCTAGCAGAATTACAAATTTTAAAAGAAATAATTCAGTCATTATCATCATCCAATTTATGGCAGGGCAGGGTCTCTATTGTCAGACTGCCTGGGCTTCAAGCCTAGTTCTGAAACTGAGTAACTACATAACCTCTACAAGTTACTTAACCTATCTGTGCCTCAATTTCCCCATCTCAAAAATGGGGATATGGCTGGGCATGATGGCTCACGCCTATACTCTGAGAACTTTGAGAGGTCAAGGTAGGAAAATTGCTTGAGCCCAGGAGTTTGAGACCAGCCTGGGCAACACAGTGAGACACTGTCTCTATTGAAAAATAAATTTTTAGTCAGATCTTTTTTTTTCGGTGGGGGGACAAAGTCTCACTCTGTCACCCAGGCTGGAGTGCAGTGGCGCAATCTTGGCTCACTGCAATTGAACCTCCCGGGTTCAAGCAATTCTCTGCCATGACGACTCAGCCTGAAAAATAAATTTGTAAAAAATAACAACAACAAAATTGGCAGTAATAATATCGGCCTCACATGGTTATTATGAGGTTTAAAGGAACCAACACATATACAGTGTTTAGAATCATGTTTGGTGAAGATTAGGCAGTTGCATCTTATAGTATTCCTTCACTGCCTATAGAAGAAGGCATAGCAGTTTAGAGAAAGAAGATATGGCCAGGCACGGTGGCTCACGCCTGTAATCCCAACACTGTGGGAGGCTGAAGCCGGCAGATCACTTGAGCCCAGGAGTTTGAGACCAGCATGGGCAACATGGCCAAACCCCGTCTCTACGAAAACACAAAAGCAAAAACCAAAACAAAAAACAAATACAAAAATAAGCCAGGCGTGATGGCATGAACCTGTGGTCTCAGCTGTTCAGGAGGCTGATGTGGCAGGATAATTTGAGCTGAGGAGGTTGAGGCTGCAGTGAGCCGTGATCATGCCACTGCACTCCAGCCTGGGCAACAGAGACCCTGTCTCAAAAAAAAAGGAGAGAGAGAGCAAAAAGATATGGCAAGGGGTTTGGGTGTGGTGGCTCATGCCTGTAATCCCAGCACTTTGGGAGGCCGAGGTGGGCGAATCACTAGCCTGGCCAATATGGCGAAACCCCGTTTCTATTAAAAATACAAAACTTAGCCGGGCATGGCGGCAGGTGCCTGTAATCTCAGCTACTTGGGAGGCTGAGGCGGGAGAATCGCCTGAACCTGGGAGACAGAGTTGCAGTGAGCCGAGATTGTGCCACTGCACTCCAGCCTGGGCAACAAAGTGAGACTCCATATCAAAAACAGAAGACATGGCAAGGGCTGAGATACTAATGCAAAAAGGACATCCACAAAGAGTCTGGATTGGAGATAGACCTGAATATTGAGATGTATTTAGGAAGCAGAAAGAGAAGAACACATTCCTGTTTCTTTGTGTGGCAAAGGCATGAAGGCTAGATGCAGATGTGAGAGTTTTGGAAGCCAGAGCTCCCTCTGTATTTGCAATATGAGAGTCCCCAGAGGACAGAAGCTGCACCTGCCTTCCTTCCCCTTCTTCCCTGGGGGCTCCAAAGGAAATGGCAGGGACTTGACCCGCCCCTGCTGCTCATCCCCCAGAGCCCAGCAGTGATTGACTCCCCATTGAAGCTGGAGCTGCGGGTCCTGGCCCCACCGCGCTGCACCATCAAGCCCTCTGGCACCACCATCTCTGTCACTGCTAGCGTCACCATTGCCCTGGTCCCACCAGACCAGCCTGAGGTCCAGCTGTCCAGCATGACTATGGTACGGGTCCCAGAGTGGGGGCTGCTGGCTGGGGGTCAGGGAAAAATGGGCTGTGGGTTACTGACCTTCTGGGTCAGTAACATCCTCCTCCCCATGTTCCTGCAGGACGCCCGTCTCAGCGCCAAGATGGCTCTCCGGGGGAAGGCCCTGCGCACGCAGCTGGACCTGCGCAGGTAGGCAGGCGCACTTCCCTGCACCTCAGTGATTGGAGGACAATCACACCTGTCCACAGGGATGTTGCGCTTAAAGTACAGTGATACCTGTAAGCCACTGAGAGCTGGGGTCTGTCTTTGTTAATGCATGCCAAAGTGCTTTGGTAAAGTCTGACTCCTCTGCATTCTCACATGTCCCAGAGGCAGGCAGGGCAGGTATTATGAGAGATGAACAAATGGGTCCAGCAATGTTAAATAACATGCCCACAGTCACACAGCAAAGATCAGAACATGGGTTTTGACAAAAACCTCAGCACAACACAGCTTTGTGACCTTGAGGCCATTTTATCTTTTTTAAAAATGTTATTATTCTTTTTTTTTTTTTTTTGAGAAGGAGTTTCGCTCTTGTTGCCCAGGCTGGAGTGCAATAGCGTGGTCTTGACTCACTGCCACCTCTGCCTCCCGGGTTTAGGCAATTCTGCCTCAGCTTCCTGAGTAGCTGGGATTACAGGTGTGCGCCACCACGCCCGGCTAATTTTTGCATTTTTAGTAGAGACAGGGTTTCACCATATTGGTCAGGCTGGTCTCAAACTCCTGACCTCAGGTGATTCACCTGCCCCGGCCTCCCAAAGTGCTGGGATTATAGGTATGAGCCACTGTGCTTGGCCTTATTTTATTGTATTTATTTATTTTTGAGACAGAGTCTCACTCTGTTGCCCAAGCTGGAGTGCAGTGGTGCAATCATAGCTCACTGCAGCCTTGACCTCCTGGGCTCAAGTGATCGTCCAGCCTCAGCCTCCCGAGTAACTGGGACTGCATGCATGCACTACCATGCCTGACTATTTTATTTTTTGTAGAGATGGGGTCTCACTTTGTTGTCCAGGCTGGTCTCCAATTCTCGGGCTCAAGTGATCGTCCCACCTTAGCCTCCCAAAGTGCTAGGATTACAGGCGTGAGCCACCGCACCCAGCCCATTTTGTCTTTCTAGGCCTCATTTTCTCCATGTGTTTAATACAGGCAAAAGTAGCATCTGCCTTCTAGGGCTGTGCTATCCAATATGGTAGATACTAGCCACATGTGACTATTTACATTTAAATTAATTATAATTAAATAGTTTTTCAGTTGCACTAAGCCACATTTCATTAGCCACATGTGGCTAGTGACTACCATAGTAGACGGTGCAGATACAAAACGTTTCACAGAAAATCTGACTGGACAGTGCTGTTCTAAGGTTAAAGGAGATAATGTAGGTTAGGACCCTAGGTTCTAGAGGCAGCTTCTGACACTTTCCAGCTGTGTGACTTCAGGCAAATTACTTAACCTTGCAGGGCCTCATTTTCCTCATCTATAAATTAGTGCAAATCCTAATAGTGCCCACTCCTTGGGCTTGTTTTGAGGACTAAACCAGTTGGTACTGTATTTTAAAACAGTTTACTAATATTAACTTTTTAAACACGTTGGCTGGGTGCAGTGGCTCACACCTGTAATCTCAACACTTTGGGAGACCAAGGCGGGTAGATCGCTTGAGGCCAGGAGTTCGATACCAGCCTGAGCTACAAAGTGAGATCCTGTCTCTACAAAAAAATTTAAAAGTTAGTTGGTCATAGTGATGCACGCCTGTGGTCCCAGCTACTTGGAAGCCTGAGGTGGGAGGCTGACTTGAGCCCTGGAGGTCAAAGCCACAGTGAGTAAAATTACACCACTGCCCTCCAGCCTGGGCAACACAGTGAGACGCTGTCTCAAAAATAAATAAAAATAAAAAAAGAAAATAAATATGCTTAGTGTCTGACAGGAACTAAGCAATGTGAAGTTTTGTTACATAAAATAAATAACACCTGCAAAGCTACCAGCAGAAGTCTGGCACATTAGAAGTGCTCAATAAAGGCCGGGCGTGGTGGCTCACGCCTGTAATCCCAGCACTTTGGGAGGCCGAGACGGGCGGATCACAAGGTCAGGAAATCCGAGACCATCCTGGCTAACACGGTGAAACCCCGTCTCTACTAAAAACACAAAAAATTAGCTGGGCTTGGTGGCGGGCACCTATAGTCCCAGTTACTCGGGAGGCTGAGCCAGGAGAATGGCGTGAACCCGGGAGACGGAGCAGTGAGCCGAGATCGCGCCACTGCACTCCAGCGTGGGCGACACAGCGAGACTCTGTCTCAAAAAAAAAAAAAAAAAAAAAAAAAAAAGAGGTGCTCAATAAATAAAAAGTAGCAGTCTTGGAGAAAAGGAGACCCAAGTGGCAGCAATGACTGCCCCGAGGATACCTGGAAAGTTGTAGCACTTGGAAAGGTGCCTAGGTGGGCATCTGAGCCTGCAACTCAGACACCTCTGGCAGGTAGGCCTGGGTGGCCTGAGGAAGGGGAGCTTCCAGGCTTCCTGCCCACAGGGCTCCTTTCTTTCCCGCAGGTTCCGAATCTATTCCAACCATTCTGCACTGGAGTCGCTGGCTGTGAGTGGGGAAGGGTGGGTGGGCTGGGCTGGGTTCGTGAGATCCTGACCCTCACCATCCCCCCCTCCTCATATAACTGCTCACCTGCGGGCAGCTAAAGGCAAACCCAACCCTGACTCACTGCCCTGTTTCCGCCCTCGCCCCTCCCAGCTGATCCCATTACAGGCCCCTCTGAAGACCATGCTGCAGATTGGGGTGATGCCCATGCTCAATGGTAAGGCTGGGGTGTGAGGATGGAGGAAGAAAGGAGGGGTGAACTGGGCGGGCCCAGACTGAGCGGGGTGCTCCCACCCACAGAGCGGACCTGGCGTGGGGTGCAGATCCCACTACCTGAGGGCATCAACTTTGTGCATGAGGTGGTGACGAACCATGCGGTGAGTGGGGGCAGGATGGGGAAGGAGGGAGGGCCTTCCCCTCTCTCTATAGCTCCCCAGTGCCCTCCATTACCTGACCCCAGCTCCCCCATTACCAGTCGCCCCTCCCATTTTAATCTTAGACTCCTAAAAGCCGTTGCACACACTGTGACTTCTTGGAGCACTCTTCTCCCATCCCAATACCTACTAATTGTTCAGGTCTTAGCTCAGAGGTCACCTCCTCCAAGAAGCCCTCCTTGACACCCATAGTCTACACTCCTACAGCCTCATTTTAACACCTTGACATGGAATTATCCATTAGATTGAGTTCCTGAAAGACAAACACTCTGTCTCTTGATCTCTAAACTCTGGCCTCAATAACTGAATGAATAAATGAGGCTCCCCTCTCCCCAACACAGGGATTCCTCACCATCGGGGCTGATCTCCACTTTGCCAAAGGGCTGCGAGAGGTGATTGAGAAGAACCGGCCTGCTGATGTCAGGGCGTCCACTGCCCCCACACCGTCCACAGCAGCTGTCTGAGCCCTCAATCCCCAAGCTGGCAGCTGTCATTCAGGACCCCAACCCCTCTCAGCCCCTCTTTTCCCACATTCATAGCCTGTAGTGCCCCCTCTAACCCCCAGTGCCACAGAGAAGACGGGATTTGAAGCTGTACCCAATTTAATTCCATAATCAATCTATCAATTACAGTCCGTCCACCACCTCCCTGTGGGCTGTCCTGAGCTCTGTTGGGTTCCTGGGATGGAATCAGTGCATCATAAAGGGCATTCTTTAAGCAGAGAAGGGGCCAGGCCACCCCATTCAGGAACTGCTGCGGGAATAAAGTGCTAACTTGCCCCCAGGCTGTCTATGGGAGACCCTGGGCCCAGTCTGGGATGTACAGGGCTCTGGGAAGGGGGCAGTCCTGGCGGCAGAACCCGGCCTGCAGGGGCACTTTGCTTAGAAGAGGACTCTCCTAGCGGGAGAGGCTGGGAGGGGCTGCATCAGGCCGTGGAGCTGGTTGCTGTGGTCATCAGTATGGCTGCTTGTTCAGGAAGCGGGAGAACATGGTGAAGGCAGCGAGGGGCTTGTCGGTGGGAACCATGTGGCCGGCGCCCTGAGGAGCAATGTTCGTGAGCTCCTGACCCCACCATTCCCTCCTCCCCATATAACTGCTCACTCGGGGGCAATTCCTTCATCCCAAACCCTTTATTCTTCCCAGAACCCTCCCCACCCCTCTCCAAAAAAACTTGCCCATACAGGGGCCAGATGGTGACCCATGACCCAGCCTAAAAGGCAGCCAGAGGGAAAGGACGGGTGGGTCCTGCTCCTTTGCCTCCGGCCCAGTTATCTCTCAGCAGGCCCAGTCCCTACCTTGATCGTGAGAAAGGCGATGTGGGAGAACTCCTTCACGAAGCCGGCAATCTGCTCCCCGCTGTCCCCGTACTTCACTAACCAGGGCCGGCGCTGCACCTCCATCTGCCCCACCAGGAAAGACATCAGCCTACAGCAGCTGCATCCTTGCTCACAGCTACCAGCAAGACCTTAGGGCTGGGAATTCCTCCACACTTGCCCTCTGTGGGCCAGAGCCAGGCAGCCAGCTGGCCACTCCCAGGCATACCCGCTCCCAATCCTCCACAGCAGCCCCTATCCCAGGGCCAGGAATCTCTACCTTACCTTCTGGTTGAGGGAATCCACAAACCACTCATCCCCCATGAAATTGCAGGCCATGTCTACATCTCCATTATATAATAGGATCTGGTATTTCTAAAGCAGGATGGGGTAAAAATGAGGGGTGTGGAACAAGCCCAGTCCCCAGCCCTTCCCTAGTTCAAGGCCTACCCCTCAGGAAATTCAAGGGGCCAAGCTAGATAACACGAACCAGGGAATTTTCATGTTTTCTAACGACTTACTGCATGTCCAGTATTCTACTAAATGTTTTATCTGTGAAGGTAGATATCATTATTATCCCCATTTTACAGATGGAGAACCTGAGGCTCATATTTAAGAAATTTGCCCAAGATTATGTGGCTAGTACAGGGACTTGCACCCAGGCCATGTGACTCCAGAGCCCATGCTATTAACCACTGTGCTGGACAGAACCTAGTCCTAACTTGGCCCTGCCAGTGCTTCCTATATCACCTTGTGCAAGGTCTCCTCCCACCCTGGACCTCTGCTGGCCCATTTTTGGCATGAATGAAGCTCTTCTCACCCTTAAGACTCCGTGGCTGATGCAGACCCCTAGGCCTCCTATAGCAGGACAGCATGGGTGGGGACAAACCCAGGTTCAAATTCTGACCCCACCAATCACAGGACCCTGGGCTTCGCCTTTCGGAGTTTCAGCTTCCCTTGTCCTGACAGGAAGTCTCAAGGGCCCCCAGCTTGCTGTGCTACTCTGGGGTCCTAAGGCTGCTGGTGATCCAGCTGTGCTCTCCCCACTCACCTGTGAGCTAAGCAGCTTCAGATACTGGGAGTTCATGCTTCGGTAGAGACGGCGGTACTGTAAGTTTACCAGAAAGCTGCCGGGAACATACGAGCAGGCCCCAGGAAGACCAGGTCGGGGCGAAAAGTAGTCAACAGATCAGACCTTCTCTCCTATCTCCAAGCTCCAACCCAGAAGGCAGACAGCTGGGTTCCACTCCCCTTTTTGGGGGGGGGCCACCTCTCTAGGACTGACTTGGATGTTGGGCTGGATGGGCTGGGATTCAGACAGCCTCAACTCACCACCATTTAGAAAGGTACAGGGATGCTGGGCGTGGTGGCTCACGCCTGTAATCCTAGCACTTTGGGAGACCGAGGTGAGTGGATCACGAGGTCAGGAGTTCGAGACCAGCCTGACCAACATGGTGAAACCCCGTCTCTACTAAAAAAAAAAATACAAAAATTAGCCAGGCGTGGTGGTGCGTGCCTGTAGTCCCAGCTACTCAGAAGGCTGAGGCAGGAGAATCACTTGAACCCGGGAGGCGGAGGTTGCAGTGAGCCAAGATCGCAGCACTGCACTCCAGCCTGAGTGACAGCAAGACTCCATCTCAAAAAAAAAAAGAAAAAGAAATGTACAAGGGACGCATTTTGGTTGTTACGAGGACTGGGATGCATCTGGCATTTAGTGTCTAGGGGCCAGCAGGTGTGGGAGTCACAACATACAACAGGGTAGAGTGTGAGCACTGACCAATCAAAATGGACCTGAGCAGCCCTGCTGGGCCCAGTGTTACCCTTTTACTTGGGGTTGTGGGGGGGGGTGGCCACAGGAGACTGGACATGGAAGTTAACAGTTTGTTATTGTTGTTTGAGATGGAGTTTCACTTTTGTTGCCCAGGCTGGAGTGCAGTAGCATGATCTCAGCTCACTGCAACCTCTGCCTCCTGGGTTCAAGCGATTCTCCTCCCTCAGCCTCCTGAATAGCTGGGATTACAGGTGCCCAACAGCACACCTGGCTAATTGTTGTATTTTTAGTAGAGATGGGGTTTCTTCATGTTGGCCAGGCTGGTCTCGAACTCCTGACCTCAGGTGATTCCCCCACCTCAGCCTCCAAAAGTGCTAGGATTACAGGCGTGAACCACTGCGCCCAGTCGGAAGTAATAGTTATTAACCAATGTGATGGCCGGGTGTGGGGACCCTCGCCTGTAATCCCAGCACTTTGGGAGGCCAAGGAGGGAGGATTGCTTGAGACCAAGAGTTTGAGACCAACCTGGACAACATAGTGAGACCCTGTCTCTACAAAAAAATTTTTTAAAAATTAGCCAGGAATGGTGGCATGTGCCTGTAGACCCAGCTACTCAGTAGACTAAGGTGGGAGGATCGCTTGAGCCTAGGAGGTTGAGGCTGTAGTGAACTGTGAAACAACAACCAATGTGGCTACGTAATGAAATGGGGCTGGGCGGGGTGGCTCATGCCTGTAATCCCAGTACTTTGGGAGGCTGAAATGGGCAGATCACTTGAGCCCCAGAGTTCAAAACCAGCCTGAGCAATGTGGTAAAACACCATCTGTACAAAAAATACAAAAACTTGTTGGGGGTGGTGGTGCGTCTGTAGTCCCAGCTACTGGGGAGGTGGGAGGATTGCTTGAGCCCATGAGTTTGAGGCTGCAGTGAGCTATGATCACACCACTGCACTCCAGCCTAGGTGACAGAGTGAGACCTTGTCTCAAACAAAAAAATTTTAAATTTAAAAAAGATAAAAGAATGAATTGGCTGACTCTCAATCCACTGAGGGGTCAGGGATGGATGTTAAACATCCTCTACAGCTCATCTCATTGAGAAACTCTACACAGAAGATCCCTGAGAAACCTGCCGATGCCCACAAGCCCCAGCAACCCACCACCCCAAGTCACAGGTGGCCACGGAACCTCACTTGCACATGTCCCATTGTGGCAGCTGCTCCGGGATGTTGAGGGCCTTCCGCACGTACGGGTTGTTGAGGTAGGTGGAAGCAGCTGTTGTGTTGGTGCAGGGGGGGTCCATGCGCACTTTATCCCCTGAGCGCAGCAGTGCCTGGAAGGCACAGACAGTGGGTCAGGGCCTCTGCTTCCCTGCCCCTCCCCCTGCCCCCACCTCACCAGGAGGAAGCCCACGCCCTCGCACACCTGATGCCACATCCGCTTGAGTGGCAGGCGAGTGAAGATGTTGCCCAAATCCTGGACCACAACAGTGTCCTTCTCATACCTGCAATGTGAGGTGGGGGAATGGGTGTGGAGCCTCCAGATGGGGCTGGGGTTGGCTCCAGGGGCACCCAGCAGCACCTACCTAAAATGGCTGGGCACCCCTCCAGCACACGGGGCATAGAGATTGTAGATGTTGAGGCCAGAGTTGCCCACGATGCGGGCCACTTCCTGAAGCTGCAATGATACACCAAGCCACCATGCTTTACAGATCCCCAGCCTCTCCACGACCCCACCAAGTTGTCCCAAGATTTACTGCTCTTGGATTTCACCTCTTCACCCACTTTTTTTCACAGGTAGGGAAACTGAGGCTCAGTGGCAGGAATCTTCCCAGACCTGGGTCCAAATCCTAGCATCACTGCCTCCCAACACTGTGACTTCAGACAGTGATTTCAAAATTCATAGCCCTCAGTTTCCTTATCTGGAAAATGTGGGTAGTATGATCTCATTTGAGGGGGAATCTTGAAGCTTAAATAATCTACATAGACACAGTTCAGCACAGTGCCTGCCACGTTGCAGGTGTTTGATAAATGTGAAGAAGTCCTTTCTCCTCACGGAGGTTATGGGATTTGCCACCATAGGAGGTGGTGGTGGGAATACACACTTAGACACATGTCCCAGAGAACACTAAATTGCTTAAAGGTGCAAGAAAGCAATGAGGGACGGAGAACAAGGAGTCCCCAAGGAGGGAATGTGGTCCTGTTCTCAGGATTAGGGATGGGAGAGCTCATGCAAAGTGATGGCAGAACCTCACATTGGTCACGCATTCCAGGTCTTTGTTGTCATAGAAGTTACACTTGTTTTGAGAGCAGCAGTGGGTCTGGAGAGAAGACCAAAGCCTGTAGGAGATGAGAGTGAAAAGCGCATCAGCTGCTGGTGGGAAGAGGAAGGCAGAGGAGGCGAGCATACCCCCCACCTCCCACCAACCTCCCTGACCCTAGGAGACTGGGAAAGATATCACAGGGTGTGGTCTGTATGTCATCTAAGCTAGCTCCCAAAGAGGTGCCCCAGGGTCATACAGACAGGCCTCCTTAGTTCCTTTAAAATCTGATTTCTGGCTGGGCGCTGTAGCTCATGCCTGTAATCCCAGCACTTTGGGAAGATCATTTGAGGCCAGGAGTTCAAGTCCAGCCTGGCCAACACAGCAAAACCCCATCTCTACTAAAAATACAAAAAATTAGGCAGGTGTGGTGGTACGCGCCTGTAGTCCCAGCTGCCTGGGAGTCTGAGGCATGAGAATTGCTTGAACCTGGGAGGTGGAGGTTGCAGTGAGCTAAGATCGTGCCACTGCACTCCAGCCTGGGTGACAAAGTAAGAATCTGTCTCAAAAAAAAAAAAAAGAAAGAAAGAAAAACTGATCTCTATTCTTTGGCCTTTCAGCACTAGGTTCTTTCTGCAACCCACCTGCTGCTCATAAACCTGGGCTGGGCCTGTCATATCATGTGCCTGGAGGACAGACCTGAGATCATGTGACCTGCCTCACCCCAGAGATTGCCCAACTGCCCTATCCCATACCTGTTCCCCAGAAGGCCATGGTAGTAGGCAAAGTAGACCAGGGAGTTGTCATTCTGCTCATAGGAGGAGAGTCCATTGCCCACAGCCAGCCCCTGTGAAACACCCAGGGTGCTCAGCTCATGTGGAGGGCAAAAAGGAAGAGCCTCCCTCACCCTACCACCCAGACCTTCAGCAATCCGGAAGCTGAAACCCAGGGTGGTTTATGTAGGCCGGTGGGTATGAGAGGCCACTCAATGCAAAACACAGAGCTGGCAGCCTGACAGGTGAGTTTCCTGTGTGGGAGGCACACAGACAGACCTAGGGCAGCCGGTGGTGGGGAGGTTATGCAGGAAGCTGGGTTGGATGGGGACATTGACCAGTCAGTCTGACCTTGCTAACTGTAAGGCCACAGCCTCAAGCTACCTCCCTTCCCTCCTGCAGCTACCCTGCACCTGAAGGTTCATGCTGGGATCCTGCATGACCAGCACGGCCAGGGTGGGGATGTAGATGCCAGCATAGCTCTCCCCGGTCAGGAAAAGTTTGTTGTTCTTGTACTCCGGAAAGAGGCGGAAGAAATCTTGAAGGGCCTCAAAATTGCTCTGGGCGACCTGGGGATGGCAGAGCAAGACAGAGGGAATCAGGAAGCTTTGGTATTTGAACTGGAAAGAACTTCAGAGATAATGACATTAACCCACCCTATTTGTGCAAGAGGAAGTGACTGGCCACCATACCACAATAGCATATGACAGAGCGAAAAGTAGACTCCAAGGCCATGCTCTCTCTCCCAGCATCATGCCATGGATGGAGGACCGGGGAGCCTGGGGCAGATGGGCAGGCACCAGACTCACCTCAGTGTCATTAGTTGCATAAAACTTGTCATCGGAGTAGGAGAAGCCCACCCCAGCTGGGGACTCCAGGTATAACACATTGGCAATCTAGAGGGGAGGGAAAAATTAGCTAAATGCCACCCCATCCAAGTGCCCAGACACACCCACAGCTCCAGCTATACCAGATTCCAAGAATAGGGGTTGTACTCCAGGGTGACACCATCTGGCTGGACCTGAGGAGGAAAGAGATGGCTGAGTAAGTCCCAAGGGCCAGCTGGGTGGAGGGAAAGGGCCACCATGAGAGGCACTTTACATGTGGGTAAAACCTCTGAGAGGTACAGGCAGCAAAGCCAATGGCATAGAGGAAAATCCCGAGGCTTAGAAGGAAGGAAACTTTTTGGAAAATCACAAAGCCCCTCTCTCGCTTTCCCCAGCCTTTTACTTTGGGAACTGTGCTTTCCCCCTGCTGTCCACTCACCAGGAAGGGGCCATGCTCTGTGAGGAGCCCATCTAGTGAGCTGCAGCCGGGACCCCCATTGAGCCAAAGCACCACAGGGCTGTTCTCGGGATCCTTCTGGGACTCCACAAACCTGGGAGGGGGGTCAGGGCAGGGTTGGCGCAGTTGGAGGGGCCCTTTCCAGCCCTCCCGGCTCCCAGGCATCCTCAGGGGTCTGCAGAACTACCCCCCATCCCTCATCCGTCATCTCTTCTCCCAATCCCGCCCAGAAGGCAGGGCGGCAGACCAGTAGTGGAGGTGCTTGGAGCCGGAGCCTTTGAGGTAGCCGGAGTACTGGCGGAAAGACGGCTGCTTGGCCAGCCCGGGGAGGCGCTGGATCTCGTCCTGGTCGGGGGCTGCCTCGCCTCGGGACGCCCAGGACACTAGCAGCAGCAGCAGCAGCAGCAGCAGGAACAGCGGCGGCGGCGCGGCTCGGATCATCTACGGGAGGCAGCAGAGGGGCTGTTGACTCGCTCCTCAGCGCTTCCGTGCAGCAGCCCCCGGGGAGTTGCTGGCGGCGCCTCCGCGAGGGAAGCCCCGGCCCCAGCGCCAGCTCCCACCCGCGAGCCTCCTCTGCCGCGCACCGATCCCGGGCTCGGGGATCCCCTCCAGCCTCCGGTGCCAGCTCACCTCTGCTCCCCCGCGTCCTTGCTCTCCAGGAGGCGCCCGGGGACTGGAAGTCATGTGTACGAGTCACGTGAACTCCGGCGCCACGTGACAGTCTTCCTCCCGCCCCTTCTTTGGTCCCTACGGACCTGGGGGGCGGTGGCGGTCAATGCCGGGTCAAGGTCCGCGGGCCTCGCAGATCGTAGCCCGGGCGCACGCGATCAGATGATCCTGTTGTGGACGGCTAAGTTGTAGGCGGGATGGCTGAGAAAGCGGCGCTAGGACCCCCGGGCAGAGGCTCGGGGAAGGGAGTCAGGGGGGAAATGCCTTACAAGGTCGCCTTGCGGTCACCATCATTGCCCGCCGCCCAAAATAGCCCCCGGCGCCAGCTGGCCTGCCCTATGGCCGAGAGATGGCTGCTGCCTCCGAGCCCGTGGATTCGGGTGCACTCTGGGGACTCGAGCGCCCGGAGCCCCCTCCCACCCGCTTCCATCGGGTGCACGGTGCCAACATCCGCGTGGACCCCTCTGGGACGCGGGCCACACGCGTGGAGAGCTTCGCCCACGGCGTGTGCTTCAGCCGCGAGCCGCTGGCCCCGGGCCAGGTCTTCCTGGTCGAGATCGAGGAGAAAGAGCTGGGCTGGTGCGGACATCTGCGTCTCGGTCTGACCGCGCTGGACCCCGCCAGTCTGGCCCCCGTTCCCGAGTTTTCTCTGCCCGATCTGGTCAACCTGGGCCACACCTGGGTCTTCGCCATCACGCGCCACCACAACCGCGTGCCCCGGGAGGGCCGCCCGGAGGCGGAGGCAGCGGCCCCCAGCCGACCTCCAACCCTCCTCGTGGAACCATATCTGCGCATTGAGCAGTTTCGCATTCCCCGGGACCGCCTGGTGGGCCGCAGCCGGCCAGGGCTCTACAGCCATCTCTTGGACCAGCTCTATGAGCTGAACGTGCTGCCTCCGACCGCGCGCCGTAGCCGCCTGGGTGTCCTCTTTTGCCCGCGCCCCGATGGCACGGCCGACATGCACATCATCATCAACGGCGAGGACATGGGCCCGAGCGCCCGGGGACTGCCAGCTGCGCAGCCCCTCTACGCGGTGGTGGACGTGTTTGCTTCCACAAAGAGCGTGCGCCTTGTCCAGCTCGAGTATGGCTGTAGGTATCCCTGGGCAGCGACCCCTCCTGGCTCAGTGTGGGGACTGGAATCTACTAGGGCTCCGTAGCCCATGTGCTAGGCCTTCGTCTGTCCGGCACTAGTTTAAGAGTGGGAGAATCTAGCTTCAAATTGCACCTCTGCTTGTGATCTTGCACAAGCCTCTACATGGTTTTGGGCCTTGGTACCTATCTTGGTTGATTGATTAAGATGCCCTACAAGTTCCCTTTTAGTTTTGATAGTGTTTCCTGTATTCACCTAGGGCAGGGATTCTAAACCAATTTTAGATATTAGGGGCCTCTTTGAGAATTGTTTGCCCTTTTCTTAGAAACATGCTTGGCCGGGCACAGTGGCTCACACCTGTAATCCCAGCACTTTGGGAGGGGGAGGCAGGCAGATCACTTGAGGCCAGGAGTTCGAGACCAGCCTGGCCAACATGGTGAAAGCCTGTCTCTACTAAAAATACAAAAAGTAGCTGGGTGTGGTGGCATGTGCCAATAATCCCAGCTATTCAGAAGGCTGAGGCAGGAGAGTCACTTGAACCCGAGAGGTGGAGGTTGCAATGAGCCGAGATCTCACCAGTGCACTCCAGCCTAGGCAACAGAGCAAGACTCTGAAAAAAAAAAGAAAGAGAGAGAGAGAGGAAGAGAGAGAAAGCAAGCAAGCAAGCAAGCTAGCTAGCTCAAGCCTGGGCAACAAAGTGAGACCCCATCTGTACAAAAAATTAAATAATTATCTGGGCATGGTGGTGCATGCCTGTAGTCCCAGCTATTTGGGAGGCTAAGGCAGGAGGATCGCTTGAGCCCAAGAATTGAAGGCTGCAGTTCACTGAGCACTGCACTTCAGCCTGGGTGACAGAGCAAGACCCTCTCTCTTTAAATAAAAAAAAAAAAAGAAAGAAAAGAAAGAAACATGCTCATAGACTTGGGCATATTGGCTATTGGCTTCGAGGCATAACAAACCCCAGACTGAGAGCTTCTTAATGCTGAGTATGATTCATTATAGCCCTGGTAAGCATTGCAGTTATACCTCTCATCACATTTCATGAACTCAATGCACCAGAACCCTCTTTGTGCCAGGCCTGTGCTGGAGGCTTCAGTTGCACAGGCAAATCAGACACTACCCCTGCCCCCAGAAGCTGCTAAGTGAATGGGGAAGGGATTGTGCTAAGTGTTATGATATAAACAGGGCTGCAGCTTTGTGGCAGCTCTCAGGAAGAGGTGCTTCTCTCAGCCCCATGAAGCAGGCTGGGCCCAGAGAGCAGTAAGGACTTGCCCACATTTAATGACAAAGTGGGGACCATGACCTAGACCTTCTGGATCTTGGCCTCAGACCCACCCTCCAGTTCAGTTTGCCTTTCACAGTCTTCTTCCCACAGTGCCATCCCTGCAGACTCTGTGCCGCCTAGTGATACAAAGGAGCATGGTGCACCGGCTGGCCATTGATGGGCTCCACCTGCCCAAAGAACTTAAGGATTTCTGCAAGTATGAGTGAAGACCCACAGTGCACCAGAGCACAGCTGCATCCTGGAGCCCCAGACCTGTGGCTGGCTGGTCCGAAGTTGGCCACATTGCTGCCAGCCAAGACCAGAAATAAACAGCCGATGCTGACATCTTGATCACTGGAAGGTCTCCTTGCCCCTACAGCCTATGAGAGTCACTTCGTTTAGAATCACTGCAGGTCAGCAGGTCGGAGCAAAAGAGCAGGGGTCCCTAGGCTGGCTGCTTGTTAGAGTCATCTTAGGATATGTAAAGAGTGCTGGTGTCCCACATCCCATCCCTAGGGATTCGTATTTGATTTGTTGGGAAATTAGGCCTAGACATTGTGTTTTGTAAAAGCTTCTCAAGAGATTCTCATGTACAGCCAGGGTTGAGAAGTATGTCCCTAGAAAAAAGGTTCCAACTTTGTCATATATTATAATCACTTGAGGAATTTTGAAAAATACCAATACCTGGCCTGTAATCCCAGCACTTTGGGAGGCCGAGGTGGGCAGATCACTTGAGGTCAGGAGTTTGAGACCAGCCTGGCCAACATGGTGAAACCCTGTCTCTACTAAAAATACAAAAGTTAGCCAGGTGTGGTGGCAGGTTCCTGTAGTCCCAGCTACTCGGGAGGCTGAGGCAGGAGAATTGCATGAACCCAGGAGGCAGAGGTTGCAGTGAGCTGAGGTCTTGCTCCTGCACTCCAGCCTTCCAGTCATGGCGACAAAGTGAGACTCTGTCTCAAAAAAAGAAAAAGAAAAATACCAATACTGGGTCTGACCCGAAGTCTTACTCTACAAGGCACGAAGCACTTGGCTCCTGTGTTTCCATCTCTGGTCATCTGCTTCCATACAAATGATCTCATTTCATCCTCAAAACTCCTAATGAGGTAGTGGGCAGTCATCAGACACACTTTACAGATAAGGATATCAAGGAACAAAACTATCTGGGTGACTCGTTCAAGGTTAGGGCAAGAACCTAGAACACCCAGCTCCTGGTCTGGTGCTCTTTTAACCTCATCCTATTGTCATGTCCAGGTTCTAGAATGAATAGGTCAACGCTGTAAAGTGGATTCCAAGTGTGAAGGGGAGGGTCTATGAGGTGACATTCTAGAAGGGTGAAGAAGGGAGGACAGGCGGCAGATCACTATTCCCTCACAAACCGGGGCTTTGGGGAAGCCATGTCCTACTTCAGGACTCCACAAACTCATCCAGGTCCTCTGCCTTCCGGCCAAGGTGAGCGGGGGGCACCTGCAATTGGAGGGAGTGCGGCAGCTTCCCCTGAGAAGTTGCTTTCTGGCTCTGGGGAGGTGGCGGTTCTGCTGGGCATTTGGGGGCTGGCCCTAGAATCAATTCTTTTAGAAGAAAAGCCATTCCAAACATCCTTGCCAATCAATAACTACCCGCTTGCTCACTATTCATTAATTCAACAAACGCTTCTCCATCACCTACTCCGTGTTGGGGACTGGGAGTGTGGATATGAGTAACACCTAGTTCCCAACCTCTAGACAGTCCGCTGGGGCTGGTCTTAGTTACGCCCCCAAGCTCTGCTCCCATGCCCTGCCCCTCAGGGCCCCCTCCTCAAAGAACTGAGAATAACGTTCCATTTCATTCCTGTCTCTGCAGGTGGGGCTGCTTCTCCAGGCTTGTCCCTTGGCCTCTGTAGTCCTGTAGAGCCAGTGGTGGTGGCCTCTGGTGGAACAGGCCCACTGAGCCAGAAAGCTGAGCAGGTGGCACCTGCTGCCCAGGCCTGGGGCCCAGCCCTGGCAATGCCACAAGCCAGGGGCTGCCCTGGGGGGACTAGCTGGGAGACACTACGGAAGGAATACAGCCGAAACTGCCACAAATTCCCGCATGTGAGGCAGCTGGAGAGCTTGGGCTGGGACAATGGCTACTCCAGAAGCAGAGCCCCTGACCTGGGTGGCCCCAGCAGGCCTAGGCCCCTGATGCTGTGTGGGCTGTCACCACGGGTTCTACCGGTACCCTCTGAGGCAGTGGGGAAGGAGGCCAGCTCCCAGCCTGATATCTGCATCCTCACCCTCGCCATGATGATCGCTGGCATCCCCACCGTGCCCGTCCCAGGAGTTCGGGAAGAGGACCTGATCTGGGCCGCTCAAGCTTTCATGATGGCCCATCCGGAGCCAGAGGGTGCTGTGGAGGGGGCGCGGTGGGAGCAGGCACATGCCCACACAGCCTCTGGGAAGATGCCCCTAGTGAGATCTAAAAGGGGCCAGCCTCCTGGCTCCTGCTTGTAGATGGATGAAATAGCACCAGATATGTAGGGTGGTTTCTCCGTATGGTTCTTGGGCAGACAGGGTTGGGAGGAGGGCCTATGGCAGGGATGGGGATAGAGCTGGTGGTTGAGCCATTCTGACAAATTCCAGTCCTTCATCAGGGACTTCCAGACCCTAAAGTTTCTCCAGATACCACTAAGACAGGAGATAGGTTTTGTCAGGTAGATACAATGGAAATTATCTGAGGTAGGGGCCCCTGCTTGGAGAGTTAAGGCTGCTTTTATGTTGTTTTGAAGACTTGATCAGAATTTTTTTTTTTTTTGAGATAGGGTCTCACTGTGTCACCAATGCTGGAGTGCAGTGGCACAATCACAGCTCACTGCAGCCTCAACCTCCTGGGCTCAAGTGATCTTCCTACCTCAGCCTTCCTGAGTAGCTGGGACTACAGGCACGTGCTACATCCAGCTAATTTTTGTATTTTTTGTACAGAAGGGGTTTTGCCATGTTGCCCAGGCTGCTCCAATCTGCCTGTTTTGGCCTCCCAAGGTGTTGGGATTAGAGGCGTGAGACGCCGTACCTGGCCTACCCAGAATTTTTTTTTTTTAATTTTTATCTTTTAGACAGAGTCTTGCTCTGTCACCTAGGCTGGAGTGCAATGGCATGATCTTGGCTCACTGCAACCTCCGTCTCCCAGGTTCAAGTGATTCTCCTGCCTCAGCTTCCCGAATAGCTGGGATTACAGGTGCCTGCCACTACGCCCGGCTAATTTTTGTATTTTTAGTAGAGACACGGTTTCACCATGTTGGTCAGGCTGGTCTCAAACTCCCGACCTCAGGTGATCCGCCTGCCTCGGCCTCCCAAAGTGCTGGGATTACAGGTGTGAGCCACCATGCCTGGCCAGAATTTCTTATATTAAGTCCTAGGTATTTGAATTCTCCTCTTGCCTTAAATTTCCCAGCATGTTGAAGGCAGGTCATAGGACCATAGGCAAGGAAGGAAAATTAATACTTAATTGAGCACCCACTAGGTATGCCTGCTCTGTGAACATACCCTGTGGAGATCCCCATTTTTACAGATAATCAGGTTGAGGTTTAGAGGGGTAACTTATCCTAATAAGTCTCATAGCTAGTAAAAGGCAGAACCAGGCACAAAAATCAAGCAGGGAAGGAACCAACCAGGATTCACATGTTGTATAACACTCTAAAGTCTATTCTCTCCATGATATACCCTAAACTGCCTTCTATGGAACAAAAAAAAAACTAGACAAGTGCTAGAATATGCAACATTCAGTTTTATTGACCCCAGGATGGGACAAGGAAAAAAGTTCAGGGAGCCTGGCTGAGTCAGCTCCCCAGAGGGGCCTCTTCCCCTGTAGGAAGCCTCCCAGCCCAGCTCACTTAAAGGAGACGGGTTAAGTGAGTCATCTCATGACTGGGGCAACTGCTACCAAGCCCCAAACCTCAACCTCACCACCTGATGTTTTATCTCTTATCTTAGACCAGGGGTTGCCATTTATTTTATTTTTTTTAGATGGAGTCTCACCCTCCCAGGCTGGAGTGCAGTGGCAGCAGGATCTTGGCCTACTGCAACCTCTGCCTCCCAGGTTCAAGCGATTCTCCTGCCTCAGCCTCCCGAGTAGCTGGGATTACAGGGCCCCCGCCACCACACCTGGCTAATTTGTGTATTTTTAGTAGAGACAGGGTTTCACTATGTTGGCCAGGCTGGTCTTGAACTCCTGACCTCAAGTCATCTGTCCACCTCAGCCTCCCAAAATGCTGGGATTACAGGCGTGAGCCACCATGCCCAGCTGGATTGCCTGCTTTTTTAAAGACCTTTGAGCTAAGAAAGGTTTTTACCTTATGAAAATGTTAAAACAGGCCGGGTGCGATGGCTCACGCCTGTAATCCCAGCACTTTGGGAGGCCGAGGCGGGCAGATCACGAAGTCAGGAGATCGAGACCATCCTGGCTAACACGGTGAAACCCCGTCTCTACTAAAAATACAAAAAATTAGCCCGGCATTGTGGCGGGCGCCTGTAGTCCCAGATACTCGGGAGGCTGAGGCAGGAGAATGGTGTGAACCCAGGAGGTGGAGCTTGCAGTGAGCAGAGATTGCGCCACTGCACTCCAGCCTGGGTGACGGAGACAGACTCCTTCTCAAAAAAAAAAAAAAAAAAAAAAAGAAAAAAAATATTAAAACAAAACCAAGAATATACAACAGAGACTGTATGTGGCCACCTGAGTAAACTAAACAGATTAAGATTTGCTGACTCCTGTCTCATTGAGCTAGACACATGCTAGGTAGCAGGCCATGGTAGATGAGAAGACCCTTCAACCTTGTCCTTGTTGTCCTTGTTCTGGAAGGAGGGCCCACGGAAGTACAACAGTGTAAGGGAGTGTGTGTGTGTGTGTGTGTGTGTGTGTGTGTGTGTGTATGGGTGGATGTGAGTGTGCACAGGTGCATGAGCATCTCTGGGCATCGAGAATAATCAGAGTTGGACCTGCTCATAAGGCCCAATCCAGCTGTCGGCCAGTTCCCGCAGGGTGCTATACCTCCGCTCAAACTCCTCCTTGGTGCAGTGCTGCAACAGCTGACCCACCTCCTCGGTGAGGTGAGTCACTGCCAGGTGCTTATCCAGGGTCTCACTCCACTTGCTGCCCAGGATGCTGTCTAGACTGGTAGCACAGCCTGCCGTCCACTGAGCCGGCAGCATGTCGGGCTGGAGCACCTGGCGGCGGGCACTGAGCATGGCTAGGATGTGGCGGCAGGGCAGGTGGAAGGCCTGGTTAAAGTAGCAGCTGCAGCTGGCAGGGGGCTGGGGCTGCACCTTATGGGTATCTTCCAGGATCTGTATGTTCATCTTTTCTGAGCCAGAGCCAATGAGGTGTGTGGATTTCTGGACCACAGCAAGCTCGCCCAGGCACAGTTGGGCTGCTGGCCCTGTGCAGATGGCATTGAGGGAGTGCTGGATGTGGGATTCTACCAGCTGCTCCAGTTTGGGGCTTTCGGGGATGGTGTCTGAGGGAGCATGATTGTTCTGGGCACACAGGCCCTGGTTGAAGTTTGCCTTGTCTGCAGAGTTCTGCTGCATGTAACGGAACAGAGAAGCCATACCTTGTTTCTCAGATGGGGTGGTACCAAAGAACTGGCTGAGGATGTGGGTGGTGACCTCGAGGCTCTGGAAGTAGTGGCTGCTCTCAGCTCGGCTTCTCCAGCGGTGAGCCAGCCAGATGCGGTCGTTGAGCAGCCAGTGTGAGTGAAGCTCGGGCAGCTTGGCTGGAGGGATGCAGTTGCTCAGGAGTGTATACAACTTTCTCAGGTTGCCTGCTGTGGCTGAGCACATTGTGCTCTGCAGGGAGGTCAGGAGCAGCCTTTCCACGGGCCGTTCAAGGGACAGCTGATAGAACTTGGCCTGGAGGAACTTACAAATGTGGAAGGCTGAGAGAAGGACCTCAGCTGTGGGGAACTCCATAGCTAGGATAGGCAGTGGAAGGAAATGAGGATCCACCAGGATGGTACAGACTCTCTCCCATGCTGGATTAAACTTCTTGAATACTTGGAACATCTGGGCCAGGCCTTCAGTGTCCTCCTTGGCAGGGATGGCAAAGTAGACTGCTCGGGCAAGATGACCCTCCAGCTGCACCCGAGGTCCATCCACCAGGAAGGTATATAAGACCTTACCCCTTGGGTTATAGGTCCGGTGGATAAATAAGATCTCAGGGAAATGGTCAAAGACACTTTGCATAAAGCAGCTCTGGTAGTTGAAGGTATCTAACTGGGCAGTCTTGTTAACCTGGTGCAGCAGCATAGGTGGGCTTGAGTCCTTAATCAGGAGCCCATTCAGCATTGTCAGGGCCATGGGAGAGATGGGAGCTGTCCAAATGCCAAGGTCAAAATACTTTCTTTGCAGGGCAGCTGACCACGGGGCTTTGAGTCTCTCAAGCATCAAGTAAGTTGAGGCTGGAGGCTAGACAATCATTCCCAGATCTTTTTTCCAAAGATGGGCCTATGGAGAGTAACAGAGGTTTAAGGAGACAGCAGGGACCTGGCTCTTCAATTATTCATCCACACAATATTTGTTGAACACTTACTATATGTCAGCACTGTTCTAGGGGAAGATACACAATAAACATGTAAACAAATAAGCAAATATATATCCAATAATGAAGCTTACAAAGACCATAAACCTGAGTAACATGTCAGAGAGTAAGCTGGGGAAGGGAGGGATACTTTAGTTAAAGTGGTAATGGAAGGCCTCTCAGGGGAGAAGGATGACATTGGAGCTGAAATCTAAATGATAAGAAGTTAGCTATGGAAAGATATGGTTCCAGGGGATTTAAATAGGTATGGCCAGAGCTGCATATGGCCTTTTAAAAAAATAGCATTCTAGCCAGGTGCAGTGGCTCACACCTGTAATCCCAGTACTTTGGGAGGCCAAGGTGGGCAGATAACTTGAGGTTGGGAGTTCGAGACCAGCCTGGCCAACATGGTGAAAACCCGTCTCTACTAAAAATACAAAAAGAATTAGCCGGGTATGGTGGCCCATGCCTGTAGTCTCAGCTACTCGGGAGGCTGAGGCAGGAGACCTGCTTGAACCCAGGAGGCTGAGGTTGCAGTGAGCCGAGATTGCGCCACTGCACTCCAGCTCTGGGTGACAGAGTGAAACTCTGTCTCAAAAAATAAAATAAAATAAAAATACGATTTTATATTTATAAATGACTGATTGGCATCCATTCTTTCCTTTGGTCCTGGTATGTATAAGAGAACTGCAATTGCTCCAAACTTGCTGTGTTATCTTGGGCAAGTCAATGACCCTCTCTGAGCCTCAATCCCTTCCACCATAAAATATGGCTAACAAATGTGCATAGCTTCTCCTGCCTCTACTATATCCCTCTTTTAGCAGCAATACTCTATTCCATTGTTTCCTCTATTTGGCCCCAGACCGAGTTACTGTCCTCATTTTACAGATGATAAACTAAGGCTCAAAGAAGCTAAGTGACTTGCCCACCATTACTCTGTAAGTAGCTGAAAGTTGAGTCTTTGGTTCGGGATCCTGACTGCTGTCCACAGTACCTGGGGTCCAAAAACCAACAGAGGGAATACGGCCTTTGACCTCTCACCTCTAACCTGGGTGGGAGATGTGGATGTCTGACATTCCCAGAGTCCAGCTGGAGCCGGATGAGAAGAAAACCTCCCTCCCATCCCTTTGGGAGCTGTGTGACGGCTAACTGCGGTGATCCGCTGTCTCACACTTTCACCCCTTCAGGAAGCACTCACCCACAGCCAGGCTCCGTCGCCATTTCTCCCTATTTGACCCTGCCTCCGACTCTGACTGACATCCAAACTCACCAACCACAGCGTCAGCATCGCAGTGACTCGGACCAATGTCTGAGGAATTCGCTTTCAGGCTTTAGCACCACGGACCAATCGTAGCGTGACGATTCGCGGGCGGGCCGTGTTGCCAGGGTTACAAGGAGCTGGCTGGAGGTAAAGATACTTGCATCTGGGAGAGCTGAGCCTTGAAGCTGGAGCTCCGGGGCTTCCCTTCAGGCTAGGCGACTGGAAGGACACGTTACTATGGAAACTCCCTCAAAAGCAGAAAATGAAAAGGAAAATAAATAGCAGTTATATATATATTTTTTCTTTTTCTTTTTTTGAGATGGAGTCTCGCACTGTCGCCTGGGATGGAGTGCAGTGGCAAGATCTCGACTCACAGCAACCTCCGCCTCCCAGGTTCAAGCGATGATTCTCCTGCCTCAGCCTCCTGAGTAGCTGGGATTACAGGCACCCGCCACCACGCCCAGTTAATTTTTTGTATTTTTAGTAGAGACGGGGTTTCACCCTGTTGGCCAGGCTGGTCTCGAACTCCTGGCCTCGTGATTCGCCCACCTCAGCCTCCCAAAGTGCTGGGATTACAGGCGTGAGCCACCGCGGGTTTTGTTTTGTTGTGTGTGTGTGTGTGAAACTCTAAAGCCCCTGGAATTTAGGAAACAGTGCATATATAGTCATAACGCATATTCTACCTTATGGGGAAACTGAGTTCCAGGTCTCAAATTCTACTCCTCCTTCGGGGATCAGGAGCCCAACTTTTAGAGCTGAGGAAATCCAGATCCCCTTAAACAAGCCAAAACTTGGCATTCTCTAGCCCAACCCCCTCCAGTATTCTACAGAATGATGCCATGACTTATTTAGGGTCCTACTACAGTAGTGCAAGGGCCTACTAACTGGTCTCTTGTCCTCAGTTCCCTTGAAGATGGCAGACTTAGAAAACTGGGTGTTTACCAGGCCTTGGAGGATTAAGATTACCAACTAGCAACATCAAATCAGTGTTGGTACTTACGCATCGAAAATGTTATTGGGCTGGGTGCAGTAGGTCATCCCTTTAATCCCAGCACTTTGAGAGGCTGAGGCAGGTGGATTGCCTGAGATCGGGAGTTCAAGACCAGCCCGACCAACATGGTGAAACCCCATCTCTAAATACAAAAAATTAGGCAGGCGTGGTGGCACATGCTTATAATCCCAGCTACTCAAGAGGCTGAGGCAGAATCGCTTGAACCCAGTAGGCAGAGGTTGCAGTGAGCCGAGATTCTGCCATTGCACTCTAGCCTGGGCAACAAGCAACAAGAGCGAAACTCCATCTCAAAACAAAAAACAAAAAGGTGCTTATGTAAACCTAGAGGGGAAATCTGGGATTAGAACAGGCCAACATGCTAATTTTTACAGAGGAAACTGAGGTCAAAGAAATTGCCCACAGTTCCCCAGCAAGTTGCTGGCAGTCAAGTCTAAGATTCAGGTTTTTCCCCCACACCCTCCAGTCTATTTGGCCTCTTCCCGCTAGAATATAAGGAAACCTGAAATCAACCTTGAAGGCTTAGTTGTAGGAAGGAGGCAAATTAAGACGCAGATTGCCAAATCCTTGAATGTGAGGCATCAGGTTCTATTTGGCTCCACAACCCCATTAGGTTGCTAATACTTAATTTTCTTTTCTTTTTTTTTTGTTGTTGTTTTTTGCTTGAGATAGAGTCTCACTCTGTCACCCAGGCTGGAGTGCGGTGGCACGATCTAGGCTCACTGCAACCTCCGCCTCCTGGGTTCAAGCGATTCTCCTGCCTCAGCCTCCCAAGAAGCTGGGATTACAGGTGCGCCACCACGCCTGGCTAATGTTTGTATTTTTAGTAGAACAGGGTTTCGCCATGTTGGCCAGGCTGGTCTCGAACTCCTGACCTCAGATGATCCATCCACCCGCCTCGACATCCCAAAGTGCTGGGATTATGAGTGTGAGCCACTGCGCCTGGCCTCAATTTTCTTTAAAATTAATAAATCCACCTAGAGCAGCCACTTCCTAACTGTAAAGTCGAGTCCTATTGCTATGCAATTCCTCTTCCTTCCCTGATCAAGCAGAACACATTTCCCTTGTTTAATTTTATTAAAAACAACTTTAATATGAATAAAAAGTTACAAATAAGATTCTTCATAAAGAGCAGCAACAGCCAAAGATCATCCTCATTCCCTTTGTCCCTGAAAACAGGCCCTTTTACCAGACCGATTTTGTCTCACCCTAACCTGAGGCAGGGATTCATCTTTGCAGAGCAAATAAGATCTGATCTCAGGGGCTGGGGGAGGAAGAGGGTGACCTTGCAGCACGGAGATAACTTTGGCCTTGAACAACAACTGAGGCTCCCAAGGAATGCCAAAAGTAGGGCTGAAAAGGGGCAGATTGAAAGGACTGTCACACAGTGGAGTTCCCTTCCTCTCTACTGTAACAATATTCCTAGCCCCACCTAGGAAGACATTGGCTAAAATGCTAAACCCTAGTATGTCCTGCCCACTTTAAACTCTCACACTTCCAAGGAGAAGTGTTTGTGGTCCAATGCTTCAGCTAAAGTGCTTCAATAATGCATCACAGCTGTAGCAGGAGGGAATCCCTCCCCTTCTTCTTGCTTTCCCCAGAGGAAAGGGAGGCGGCCCACGTCCTTAAAGTCTCCTGGCTGCTGAAAGAGCTCAGATGGCTGGGAGGGGCCAGCCCAGATATCCACAATCTTGCGCAGGGTGGAGTAGCGTTCCTCCAGCTCTGGCCCCTCGGTCTGCATGAGCAGGTTTGCTAACTCCCTGCTTAGGTCCTGAATCATGTCGTTCCGTCCTTGCTTCTCAGGCTGGCCTGTGTTTGGGACCATACCACGATCCTGGAGCTCCCCATTGGGCCCAAGGAGGTACTGGTACTTCTTCTGCCACCGGCGGCACACCATGGCTTCACCAACCGGCTGCTGGCTGGTGTGCAGCAGAGCCAAAATGTGTCGGCATGGCAGGTGGTACCATTGTTGAAAGGAACAGCTGCAGCTACAGCCATCTTTGCTAACCTGGTGAGAGTCCTCTAGCAGCTGAACGTCCACTGAAGAGCCAGCCATGTCCACCAGGTGGGTGGAGTTCTGTACCACCTCCCACTCATTGTGGCACAGCTTGTAGGCTAGTTCAGAGCCACTCTGGTGCAAGGTGTCCAGCATGCCAACCTGCGAGGGCGGCACTT
The DNA here is from genome assembly GCF_000001405.40 of Homo sapiens. Lineage (NCBI taxonomy): Eukaryota > Metazoa > Chordata > Mammalia > Primates > Hominidae > Homo > Homo sapiens. The sequence continues at coordinate 45,878,014 of NC_000020.11, read as the reverse complement.
GTGACTGCTGCTGTACCTGTACCTGCTGTGCGTCTGGCTTGGTCTCTTCTGCAGGGAGGCTGGTAAGGCTCTCTCCACAGATTCCAAAAGCCTTCTTGGACTTCAGTGGCATGCTTGCCGGCCGAGCTCTCTTTAATTTGGGAGGAGGTGTGGGCAAGTTCTTCAAGCCTTTGGTATTAAAGAAGTCTATGTAATCCACAAAGCAGAGGATGCAGTCCAGCAGCGACTGCTGTTCCCGAAAGAGGCTTGACACCTTGCTGGTGACAATGTCTAGGCTGTCCATGTAGGTGTTACACGCAAGCAGGCCCTTCCTAACATGCATGTACCACAGCAGTTCACAGGTGAACCAGTGGGCCTGCAGGAAGTTGAAGAGATCCTCATCCAGTACGGCCTGGGACATCTGGCAGAGATTTTTCAGGCTGGCTTCAGAAGTGACAAACACGGCCTCCCGCAGGGCTTCCTTCATGAGCCTTTTAAAGGATGGATTTGCTGAACTACGATGCAACTTCTTCTCCAAGAGTCGGGTTGTGTGGTAGATGGAAAGGAGGATGCGGGCAGCAGGAAAGATCTCCTGCAGGATAGCCCGGTAATGGAATGAAGGGTCCACAAAGACCACCTTGACCTTGGGCCAATCGGAGTTGAACTCTGTGAAGATGCTCAGCATCTTGGCCACAGAGGTGACTGTCTCCGCCTTGAGCACAGCAAAGTGCACCACTCGACTTTCTCGTTCCTTGTTCTCCACCAAGAAAGCATAGAGGATGTGGCCCTGGGTGTTCTCCACCCGGTGTAGCAAGAGATTCTCTGGGAAGCGGATGAACAGGTCGGTCATCTTACTGCTCTGGAAGCTGAGCCGGTCCAGGTGCTGGCTGTCACCCACACTGAAGGAAGCCATGGAACCCTCATCTACCTTAAGAAAGTTCTTCATCACTTTTGCTATCTTGGCCAGGTCAGAAGGAGTGATGCCTTCCTGCTCTGGCTTTGAGGACACTTGTACCTTATCTAGGCAAAACGATGGCTCAACCAGGGACTTCTCGGCAGTGTCAAGGTCTTTTTTGGTTGTGGGCTGCACAGGCTGGAGTCTCTGCAGGCACATTGTCTTTTGAGATTTGCCAGTGGTGTCTCCTCCAGGACTAGCCACTTTAGAGTCACCATGTATGTGCTGTGTGTTTAGTTCACTGATAAATAGTCTATCTAGTCTCTCGTTGTACCTTAGGAGCAAGTACGCTGGGCACATGTCTGCCTCCCGCGTTCTCTTCCTGTTTGATTGGGTCCGAATGCAGACAAATTTCACCTGCACATACCTAGGGAAGGTAGAGGTAACAATGAGAAAGGTGCTGACCACCCCCCACCCCTTATAAAGATAAGACCCTGAAGGGGGCTGGGTACAGTGGCTCATGCCTATAACCCCAGCACTTTGGGAGGCTGAGGTGGGAGGATCACTTGAGCCCAGGAGTCTGAGACCAGCCTGGGCAACATGGAGAGACCCTGGCTCTACAAAAAATTTAAAAATCAGCCAGGTGTGGTGGTGTATTCCTGTGGTCCCAGCTATTCAGGAGGCAGAGAAGGGAGGATCGCTTGAGCCTGGGAAGTTAAGGCTGCAGTAAGCCATGTTCATGCCACTGCACTCCAGCCTGGGCAACAGAGTGAGACCCTATCTCAAAAAAACAAACAGCTGGGCGCGGTGGCTCACACCTGTAATCCCAGCACTTTGGGAGACCGAGATGGGCGGATCACCAGAGGTCAGGAGTTGAAGACCAGCCTGACTACCAACATGGAGAAACCCCGACTCTACTAAAAATACAAAATTAGCCGGGCATGGTAGTGCATGCCTGTAGTCCCAGCTACTCGGGAGGCTGAGGCAGGAGAATCGCTTGAACCCGGGAGGCGGAGGCTGCAGTGAGCTGAGATCGCGCCATTGCACTCCAGCCTGGGCAACGAGAGCAAACTTCCGTCTCAAAACAAAAAAACAAAAAAACAAAAAAACAAAAAACAAACAAACAGGAAAAACCCGTAGTAGGGCCAAGTGTAGTGGTTCCCAACTGTGGTCCCAACTACTCGGGAGGCTGAGGCTGGAGGATTGCTTGAACTCAGGAGTTTGAGGCTGCAGTTAGCTCTGATTTGTGCCACTGCACTCCAGCCTAAGCAACAGATCAAGAGTCTATCTCTTTTTTTTAAAAAAAAGAAAAGGATTCATATATTAATAGAATTAAGGAAGGCTGGGCATGGTGGCTCATGCCTGTAATCCCCGCACTTTGGGAGGCCAAGGAGGGCAGATCACAAGGTCAGGAGTTTGAGACTAGCCTGGCCAACATAGTGAAACCCTGTCTCTGTTAAAAATACAAAAAATTAGCCAGGCATGGTGGCAGGCACCTGTAATCCCAGCTACTCGGGAGGCTGAGGCAGGAGAATCCCTTGAACCTGGGAGGCAGAGGTTGCAGGGAGCCGAGATCACGCTATTGTACTCCAGCCCAGGCAACAGTGCAAGACCCCATCTCAAAAGCAAACAAATAAACAAACAAACAAAAAAAAAAATAGAATTAAGGAAAGAAGGAAGGCTGGGTGCTATAGCTTACGCCTGTAATCCCAGCACTTTGGGAGGCCAAGGTGGGAGGACTGCTTGAGATCAGCCTGGGCAACACAGCAAGAGACTGTCTCTAATTAAAAAAAAATTTTGGCCAGGTACAGTGGCTCACGCCTGTAATCCCACCACTTTGGGAGGCCGAGGCGGGTGAATCACGAGATCAGGAGATCGAGACCATTCTGGCTAACATAGTGAAACCCCGTCTCTACTAAAAATACAAAAAATTAGCTGGGTGTGGTGGCAGGCGCCTGTAGTCCCAGCTACTTGGGAGGCTGAGGCAGGAGAATGGCGTGAACCCGGGAGGCGGAGCTTGCTTGCAGTGAGCCAAGATGGCGCCACCGCACTCCAGCCTGGGTGACAGAGTGAGACTCTGTCAAAAAAAAAAAAAAAAAAAAAAAGTTAAAATTAAAACCCCCCCCAAATCAGGGCACGTGTTCTCAGGATCTCCTGAGAGTTGTGTCATGGGGAAAAAAACAATAACAACAAAATCCCCATGAACCAAGAAGAGATTTACATTAACTCTCCAGTCCCAATATAGTCAGCTCTTTCTTTAAGAGCCTCTCCAACTCCAGCCCCCTTCATATTCCTCTACCGCACTTCTAAGCCCCAACTCCATTCTCTCTTGGTTGCCATTTGTAGCTGCCAACAATTCACCCTGAGGCAGGACAAGAGGGCAAATAGACAAGCAGCAGCAGCAGAGTGCTTAGCTGGTTACTCCCGTTTAAAATGTCCCCATTGTTTGTGTCTTTTGGGAACTACCGCTGTCTCTTCCTTCTCCAGATAGCAAAGATAAAAGCGAGGATCCCAGGACATTGGACTAGATCAGTGGTTCTCAACTGAACTTTTCAGGGAATGTTTTGGGGCTAGGGAATGTTTGGTCCTCCTTTTTAAGAGACAAGATTACTGCTCATCTTTCTTTTTGAAATTAAAGTCTCACTCTGTCACCCAGGCTGGAGTGTAGTGGTGTAATCTCAGCTCACTGCAACCTCCACCTCTGGGGTTCAAGCGATTCTCCTGCCTCAGCCTCTCGAGTAGCTGGGATGACAGGCATGCAGCACTGCACCTGACTAATTTTTGTATTTTCAGTAGAGTCAGGGTTTCACCATGTCGGCCAGGCTGGTCTCGAACCCCTGACCTCAAGTGATCCACCCGCGTCAGCCTCCCAAAGTGCTGAGATTACAGGCGTGAGCCACCGCCCTCGGCCTCTTTCTTTCTTTTTTGAGACAAGGTCTCACCGTTGCCCAGGTTGGTGTCCAACTTCTGGGCTTGAGCAATCCTCTCACCTTAGCCTCCCAAGTAGTTGGGATTACAGGCATGAGCCACTGCATCTGGCTTCTACTCATGTTTCATTTAAAGAAAAATGTCCACATCCTAAGAAAATTTGATAACCACTGGGCTAGATGATATTTAGGGTCTTTTCCAGCTTTGTCATTCTAGGCTTAAAGTGATGATTCAAAACACAACGGCAGTTAAATTGATTATCTGTTCTTTTCTTATCTCTATTCAACCAGTTTCAAGGCCCAAATCAGGTGTCACCACCTTAGAAAGTCTTTGTGGATGCCCCCAAGCCACAGTAATTGCTCCTGCCTCTGAATTCATAGCATTTATCTATAAGGCTTAGCAGATTCTCTGGGTAGCACTATATCTAATGACTAAAGAGAGGGGACACTGGAGGCTGACTGGATTTGAATACTGGCTCTACTACTCATAAGCTGTTCAACCTTAGGCAAGTCAATCACCTCTCTGTATACAGTTTCCTCATCATAAAATGAGATAATCTTATGGTTGTTATTAAGATTAAATGAGCCACAGGCAAAATATTTAGTCCAAAGCCTGATTCAGCCTTTTGTTTACCCTAAATACAAGTTAGCTATTATTATTACAGCTTTTATGCCTTGTGACATTTTCTTAGATGTTTATCCAGTGCCTTTCCAATTGGATGGGGATGTCCTCAAGTGTCAGGACTATTATTCCTCAGGGTAGTCCAAGCCTCTAACACAATACTGTGCCTTCAGCAGATGCTTTTTTTTTTGAGATGGCGTTTCACTCTTGTTGCCCAGGCTGGAGTGCGATGGCTCGATCTCGACTCACTGCAACCTCTGCCTCCTGAGTTCAAGCGATTCTCCTGTGTCAGCCTCCCGAGTAGCTGGGATTACAGGCATGCGCCACCATGCCCGGCAAATTTTGTATTTTTAGTAGAGACGGGGTTTCACCATGTTGGCCAGGCTGGTCTTGAACTCCTGACCTCAGATGATCCGCCCACCTCGGCCTCCCAAAGTGCTGGGATTACAGGCGTGAGCAACTGCGCCCGGCTCAGCAGATGCTTATGGATGATGTACTGGATGAATGGATCATGGACCACCAATGGGTGGGATGGGTCACACCCCTCCCTCCTCAGGGAGTGCCCCAGCCCAAAGACCAGGGGAAGGGAAAAAAATCTCACCCCCTGGCCTGACGTGGCATAGCCTAGAAACTCCACCTGCACTTTTCCAAATACTCTAATCCAGCTGGTCCAGTTTGCTCACCCTGTGGGGCAAGCTTGGGAAAACAGGATGTGTGAGTCTCACAGTAACAGGCTGGAGGGGTTTGGGGCTGAGAGTGTCTGTACCTATTGTGTGCACAGTGCGGGGGTGGTGCCATCTCTAGCTCTGGGCCAGGAAGGGCTGGAGCAGTCCAGTAGTACAGCGAGGCCAGTGAGGGGTGACCACTTGTGGTCTCCGCTTGTCTCTCCAGCCTTGTTTTCATCACCTTGTTTTTTGTGTCCTAGAAAGACAAAATGCCTACAACTTTGTGTGTTCACCATGCTCTGTCTCACCTTTGTGCATGTTTGTCCCTTTGTCTGGAATGCCCTTCCTACCTTCCCTCCTCGCAAGCCTTGCTCATCCTTCAGGACTACGTGCACCCATTATCTTTTCTAGGAAGCCTTCCTCAAGCCCTTAGTTGGGTACTACTCTTCTGCTAACTCAACATCTTAGCCTAACTCTAGCTCATCAAGTTATATTGACTTTATGTGTACTTAGTGAACATTTGTTGAGCTATTCCAAAGAAAGGTACTAGTGAGTGCCCACCACAAAGCTCCTTGTACCATTCCTGGCTCCATTTATGTCTGCCCCTCCCAGGGCGGGAACCTGGATATTCTTTTTGATTCTTCTTTCTCACCTACATCCAATATGTTAACAAGTCTTTTAGTTCTCCCCTACCACTGCTACATGTATTGAGGATTTATTATATATCTGGCTACATGAAGCCCCCAATGTGCATCATTTTACAGTAGGAAAAGGATTCTATTATCATCTACATTTTACAGATGGGAAAACAAGCTTAAAGAGGTTCTCAAGGATGAGAATCTGGGATTTAATCCTCCAGCTAAGACCTGGGAACATGGGATTTGTACTGCTTGTTTGTCTGCAGTCTGACTAGTTAACCATTATGCTGCCTTCCTTCAAAATATTTATCCTTTCTCTGAATTCCTACTTTTACCCTCCTCATCTTGACTCCCAACATATTGGATAGGTTCAAAACTTCCTTAAGGATCTCTAAACATACTTTTTTTTTCTTTTTTTTTTTTTCTTTGAGACAGATATTCGTTCTGTTGCCCAGGCTGGAGTGCAGTAGTGTGATCTTGACTCACTGCAACCTCTGCCTCCTGGGTTCAAGCAATTCTTCTGCCTCAGCCTCCCAAGAGCTGGGATTACAGGTGCCTGCCACCATGCCTGGCTATTTTTTTCTTTCTTTTTTTTTTTTTTAGTAGAGATGGGGTTTCACTCCTGTGTAATCTCTCCCCTGACTAGACTTTGAGAGTAGAGACTCTGTAGCCTTTTGAACAACTTGTACAGTATTTGGTACACAGAATTCAGTAAATGTTTGAAATTAAACAAATGACTTGTCCAAAGTTATAGTCAGTAAGAGTAATAGTGCTAGGACTAGGAGCCACGTCTTCTAAGAAAATTCTATCCCAGTGATCTTCCTATTATACTACTTATGTCATAGGAAGAACTTTTTATGCCTCAGTCATTCATTTGACATTCATAGAGCACCTATTATGTGCCAGACACTGGAAACACCATTGGCTCCTTTACCTCTATAGTTACAGTAGAAAAACACAAACATCTACAGAGTAGATTGGAAGGAAGCAAGACTGGTTGACCCCCTCCAGATCCTGGTTAAGTGCTGTTAGATATAAGCACTAAAGGAGATTCAGGAAAGTATAAAACCATGTCCCCATCTTGAAGGGAGTTTATGCCTTTACCAGGGAGACAGTAAGTACAGATGAATATAACTATAGTGCTCAATGAATTCTTGCAAAAGATGTCTGTGCTTCAATACATGTTATATCTCAATAGAAGATTAAGGGAAACAGAAAAAAAATAACTTCAACCTAGCACTCATTAAGTTTGGAATTCATGATTCAAACAACAGCTTGCATCATGACTTCCAGTAGCTGGGCGCCGTGGCTCACACCTGTAATCCTAGCATTTTGGGAGGCCAAGGTAGGTGGATCACTTGAGGCCAAGAGTTCATGACCAGCCTGGCCAACATGGAGAAACTCCATCTCTACTAAAAATACAAAAAATTAGCCGGGCATGCTGGTGCACACCTGTAATCTCAGCTACTCGGGTGGCTGAGGCAGAAGAATCACTTGAACCCAGGAGGCAGAGGTTGCAGTGAGTCAAGATCACGCCACTGCACTCCAGCCTGGGCGACAGAGTGAGACTTTGTCTCAGAAAAGTAAAAAAAAAAAAAATAAATTCCACTTAGCTATGTGACCTTGGACAAGTCACTTCACTTCCTCTAAGCCTCCAATTTCTTCTCTCTCTATACATGGAAATAACAATATGAATAATCAGTACCACTTAAAGTGAATTAATTTAAAAAGCTATAACAGGAATTGTTGGTTGCCAACTCAACAACCTTTGTCCCTTCTTTTCTATTTTCTTCAGTTGTCATTCCTCCCCCACATCACTACATGCTTCAGGGCTAATCTAAGTCAATTAAGGTAATTGTATTAGGAATGGGCATGGATATTGGCCCAATTCGGGACAAAGAAACATGACAGGAAATTGGCAGGAAACCAAGGAAGGCTTTTTTTTTTTTGAGACGGAGTCTCCCTCTGTCACCCAGGTTGGAATGCACTGGCACGGTCTTGGCTCACTGCAACCTCCGCCTCCCGGGTTCAAGCGATTCTCCTGCCTCAGCCTCCCGAGTAGCTGGGACTACAGGCATGCTACCGTGCCCGGCTAATTTTTGTATTTTTAGTAGAGACAGGGTTTTACCATGTTGGTCAGGCTGGTCTCAAACTCCTGACCTCGTGATCTGCCTGCCTTAGCCTCCCAAAGTGCTAGGATTACAGCCACCACGCTTGGCCTTTTCTTTTTTTTTTTTTTTTTCTTGAGACGGAGTTTTGCCCTGTTGCCCAGTCTGGAGTGCAGTGGCAAGATCTCGACTCACTGTAACCTCCGCCTCCTGGGTTCCAGCGATTCTCCTGGCTTAGCCTCCCGAGTAGCTGGGATTACAGGTGCCCGCCACCACGCCTGGTTAATTTTTGTAGTTTTAGTAGAGATGGGGGTTTCATCATGTTGGCCAGGCTGGTCTTGAACTCCTGACCTCGTGATCCACCCACCTCAGCCTCCCAAAGCACTGGGATTACAGGTGTGAGCCACCACGCCCGGCAAGAAAGGCTTCTTCTTCTGGATGTGACTCCTGCATTTGTGCCACATGGGGAGCCTTCCTAAGGACAAAGCTGAGACCTGAACATGGCAGAGTGGAAAAATGCAGAGTCCAGGCCACTGAGACAATGACCTTTGGAGGCCCACCTCTGGGCTTCTAAGTATCTGCAATAAGCCATTTTGAGTCAGGGTTTTCAGCTAATTGCAGCCAAAAACATACCCAGACACATTTCTTTTTTTTTTCTTTTGAGACGGAGTTTTGCTCTTATTGCCCAGTCTGGAGTGCCGTGGCATGATCTCGCCTCACTGCAACCCCTGCCTCCCAGATTCAAGTGATTCTCCTGCCTCAGCCTCCCGAGTAGCTGGGATTACAGGCGCCCACCATCATGCCTGGCTAATTTTTTGTATTTTTAGTAGTGACAGGGTTTCACCATGTGGCCAGGCTGGTTTTGAACTCCGGGCCTCAAGCAATCCACCTGTCTTGGCCTCCCAAATTGCTAGGATTATAGGCATGAGCCACTGCGCCCGGCCACCCAGAAACATTTCATAGGGAATAGTGATAAACAAGATCTGGGTGGAACTTTATCACTACCACCCAGATAGTGATAAACAAGATCTGGGTGGAAAATGAGACTAAAATTATAAAGTTAATATTATATTTAGCAGGGCCGGGCACAGTGGCTGACGCCTGTAATCCCAGCACTTTGGGAGGCCGAGGCGGGTGGATCACCTGAGGTCAGGAGTTCAAGACCAGCCTGACCAACATGGTGAAACCCTGTCTCTACTAAAAATACAAAAATTAGCTGGGCATGATGGCTTGTGCCTGTAATCCTAGCTACTCAAGAGGCTGAGGCAGGAGAATTGCTTGCACCCGGAGGTGGAGGTTGCAGTGAGCCGAGATTGCGCCACTTCACTCCAGCCGGGGTGACAAAACAAGACCCTGTCTCAAAAAATAAAAATAATGATTATTATTATTATATTTAGCAAAAGTAGGTTATAATGGCAGCTATATGCCAATTCTCAGAATAATCAAAGAATGACTTAAAGCAACTATTCTTTTCCTAGTATAGTTTTCCCAAACACTAGGCCAGGTGCAGTGGTTCATGCCTGTAATCCCAACACTTTGGGAGACCGAGGCGAGTGGATCACCTGAGGTCAGGAGTTCAAGACCAGCCTGGCCAACATGGTGAAACCCTGTCTCTACTAAAAATACAAAAATTAGCCGGGTGTGGTGGCGCATGCCTGTAATCCCAGCTACTCAGGAGGCTGAGGCTGCAGTGAGCCAAGGTCGCACCACTGCACTCCGGCCTGGACAGGAGAGCAAGACTCTATCTCAAAAAAAAAAAATTCCCAAACACTATACTTCATTTCCTGTCTCACTTTTGCAACATACAAAAGATGGTTTTGCCAAAATATTCCTTAGCTTTACTAAGTTTCCGAAGGGCTTAATTTTTCCTAGGCAAATCCTCTACTTTTCAAGTTTTTACCATCTCATCATCTTTGTTGATTTCCCTTCTTCCTTTGTTAACTGGTATAAGGCTGAAGGTTTTCTATCATCACTTGCAGGGATTTCGCCTAGTCCTACAAGTTTTGGGAGATGTGCCATTTCAGTCTACAGTCAGTTTTATTTACATTTGCATTACCTTGATGCTTAATGTATCTCTTCATCAGCCAGAAATTGACTACCAAACATGTTAATGGGACTGGCAGGGATAAGCAGAGGGATGGTTAAGTAGTGACTAATTTTATAAGTAGTTTGTTAGCAAGATTCTTGTGTGATGACTTTTGCTTTTCTATATAGCCTTGTAACTATGGATACATGGATAATGAAAACTCTGATAACAAGGGTCCTGCCAAAGGTGTGGTAGGATTGAGACAATTCTTGTAAAGTTCCTAGCAGAGAAGGAATGAGCTCCAACAAAGTGTTTACAAATGGTGGCTGTTAACCTGAACAGCAATGGAGAGAGACAGCCAAGTACTTCATAGTTTAAGAAACATCAATCCCTCAAATGGCATAACAAAAAGAAAAACAACCGTCATAAAAATCTGAGAGGGGAAACTGGGCATAAAGTCACATACTCTTCCCAGTTGATAGCAATGTTTCAAGAAAAATGAAAGTGGAGGCCACAGTTTAGATATACTCCAAGGCCAACTGCCCACAGCCACATAGCCGGAATTTAAGATATCCTGATTCCCTGAAATGTAGCTCTAATCAATCATAAACAGAACACAAAGCTTTACATCCTTGTCAGCATAATTCAGTAAAATTAAAGGAATCAACTATAGACAAAACAGTTTGAACAGCTCTACTGGCTGTAAACAGATTGTTAATGTATAACAGCCAATCACAAAAAAGGTCAAAATCCTTCCTTAGGCTTTATTAACACTGCCCTCACTACAGTGACTGGAGCATCTGACTAATCTCCAACTGTTCTTTTGTGTGCATAATAAAATTTTTTCTGGCCAGGTGCGGTGGCTCACACCTGTAATCCCAGAACTTTGGGAGGCTGAGGTGGGTGGATCACTTGAGGTCAGGAGTTCGAGACCAGCCTGCCCAACATGGTGAAACCCTGTCTCTACTAAAACTACAAAAATTAGCTGGGCGTGGTGACGGGCACCTGTAATCCCAGCTACTCAGGAGGCTGAGGCACGAGAATTGCTTGAACTCGGAAGGCGGAGGTTGCAGTGAGCAGAGATAGCGTCACTGCACTCCAGCCTGGGTGACAAGAGTGAGATTCTGTCTCAAAAAAAAAAAAAAAAAAAAATTTCTAACTTGATCTGATTTTATTTTTTTGACGTGAACTTTTGGTCATTTAGTGGTAATTCCCAGAGCACGTATCTTTGACTCTCTTTCAAATAACTACCACTTTCTACTACATACTATAGTTACAGCTTCAGCAAACATTTACTGAGCACTGTTTTAGGTGCTACGAGCATTTTCCTTTCCTTTTCTTCTTTCTCTCTTTTTTTGAGACAGGGTCTCTGTTGCTCAGGTAGGAGTGCAGTGGTGCAAGCATGGCTCACTGTAGCTTCAAACTCCTGGGCTCAAGTGATCCTCCGGCTTCAGCCTCCTGAGTAGCTGGGACCACAAGAACATGTCACCACGACCAGTTAATTTATTTTTTGTAGAAATGGGGTCTCGCTATGTTGCCCAGGCCGGTCTTGAACTTCTGGGCTCAAGCAATCCTCCCACCTTGGTCTCCCAAGTGCTGGGATTACAGGCATGAGCCACTGCCCCTAGCCTGAATTTCCTTAATCATCCCCACACCCTTCTCATTTTGTAAAGGATGAAACTGTGTCAAGAGGTTAAGTTTTGCCCAAGGTCAAGGGCAAGGGGGGGTCTTTTTTACTCCAGAGCTCTTCCTTTTAACCGTTAGGCCAGTTTTGTAGAAAAAGAATTCCCAATGACCTTTACATCTGCCATAGCCACCCATATAATATTTGCACTATTATTTTCAATTTTATTTTTTGAGATGGAGTCTCGCTCTGTCACCAAGACTGGAGTGCAGTGGTGAGATCTCAGCTCACTGCAACCTCTGCCGGGTTCAAATGATCCTCCTGCCTCAGCCCCCTGAGTAGCTGGGATTATAGGTGCCCACCACCACACCCGACTAATTTGTGTATTTTTAGTAGAGACGGTTTCACCATGTTGGCCAGGCTGGTCTTGAACTCCTGGGCTCAAGCAATCCTCCCACTTTGGCCTCCCAAGTGCTGGGATAACAGGCATGCCCCCTAGCCTGAATTTTTTTTTTCTTTTTCTTTTTTTTTTTTTTTTGAGACAGAGTCTCACTCTGTCATCCAGGCTGAAGTGCAATGGCGTGATCTCGGCTCACTGCAACCTCTGCCTCCCAGGTTCCAGCAATTCTCCTGCCTCACCCTCCGGAGTAGCTGGGATTACAGGCGCCTGCCACCACGCCCAGCTAATTGTATTTTTAGTAGAGATGGGGTTTCACCGTGTTAGCTAGGATGGTCTCAATCTCCTGACCTCGTGATCTGCCCGCCTCGGCCTCTCAAAGTGCTGGGATTACAAGCATGAGCCACCACGCCCAGCCCTGAATTTTTCTTAATCATTGCCACACCCTTCTCATTTTGTAAAGGATGAAACTATGTGAAGAGGTTAAGTTTTACCCAAGGTCAAGGGCAAAGGCAGTCTCTTTCACTCCAGAGCTCTTCCTTTTAACCCTTGGGCCAGCTTTTCCAGAAAAAGAATTGCCAATCACCTTTACATCTGCCATAGCCACCCATATAATATTTGCACTATTCTTTTCTTTTTATTTTTTGAAATGGAGTCTCACTCTGTCACCCAGGCTGGAGTACAGTGGCACGATCTTGGCTCACTGCAAGCTCCGCCTCCCGGGTTCACGCCATTCTCCTGCCTCAGCCTTCTGAGTAGCTGGGACTACAGGCGCCCGCCACCAGGCCTGGATAATTTTTTTTTTTTTTTTTTTGAGACAGAGTTTTGCTCTTGTTGCCTAGGCTGGAGTGCAATGACATGATCTTGGCTCACTGCAACCTCTGCCTCCCAGGTTCAAGCGATTCTCCTGCCTCAGCCTCCCAAGTAGCTGGGATTGCAGGTGTGCGCCACCACACCCAGCTATTCTTTGTATTTTTAGTAGAGATGGGGTTTCGCCATGTTGGCCAGGCTGGTCTTGAACTCCTGACCTCAAGTGATCCGCCCGCCTCGGCCTCCCAAATTGCTGGGATTACAGGTGTGAGCCACTGCGCCCCGGCTACATGCCTGGATAAATTTTTTGTATTTTTAGTAGAGACAGGGTTTCTCCGTGTTAGCCAGGATGGTCTTGATCTCCTGACCTCATGATCCACCCACCTGGGCCTCCCAAAGTGCTGGGATTACAGGCGTGAGCCACCACGCCCGGCCCTGCACCATTATTTTCAAAAATTTTTTTGAGATGGAGTCTCACTCTGTCACCCAGGCTGGAGTGCAGTGGCGTGATCTCAGCTCACTGCAGCCTCCGCCTCTCGGGTTCAAGGGATCCTCCTGCCTCAGCCCCCTGAGTAGCTGGGATTATAGATGCCCATCACCGTGCCTGGCTAATTTATGTATTTTTAGTAGAGTTGGTTTCACCATGTCGGGCAGGCTGGTCTCAAACTCCCGACTTTAAGTGATCCGCCCGCCTCGACCTCCCAAAGTGTTGGGATTATAGGCGTGAGCAACATCCAGCTGTAAATGGTTTTCTTTAAATTAGTTCACTTGCTTTACTTTGCTTATCAAGGAACTTTATGTCTACATTTTCACATAAGTATTAATATCATCTCACCTGACCACCCAGTAATATGTGTATTTGGCTGCAGAAACATGTACTAAATTACCTCCTAAAAACATTTCCCCCACCAACCCTCCAGTCCCCCAAGACACCCACGTATCACTCAAAAAGCCCAAGACAGTGAGCTCTGCACAGAGCCAGTTTGCAATAAATGATCCAAGAATGTCCTTTATAACATCACAACCAGCAGTCAACTTGTTTCTGCTAAAGACCTGTGCTGCTCATGAATTCACCGCCTCCTAAGCTATCTCAGTCCGCTATTGTCCTCAGGGGTGGAGCCTACAATTTCCTCATCTTTGTACTCCAGCTCATCTTTGTACTCCTGGCCCATGGTAAACACTTAGCCTCTTACCACAAGTTTGTTGAGGGAAAAATGGACAAGTGACATTAGAAAACTATTAGAGCCCAGTGGCTAAGTACAACAATTAAGAGCTCTGTCAGTAAATAGGCTGGGTCTAATTTTCAGTTATTTATGCTGTTGTTTTGAGACAGAGTCTCGCTCTGCTGCTCAGGCTGGAGTGCAGTGGTGCCATCTCAGCTCACTGCAGCCTCCTCTTCCTGGGTTAAAGTGATTCTCCTGCCTCAGCCTCCTGAGTAGCTGGGATTACAGGCACGTACCACCATGCCTGGCTAATTTTTTTATTTTTAGTAGAGAAAGGGTTTCACCATGTTGGCCTGGCTGGTCTCGAACTCCTGACCTCAGGTGATCTGTCTGCCCTGGTCTCCCAAAGTGCTGGGATTACAGGCATGAGCCACTGCGCCTGGCCCTAAACTATTTGTCTCTTAATGTTTGACTTCTCCTGGCTCTGTCTCCCCATCTGTAAAACAATACAATATTTGTGGACTATTTTCCATCTACAAGGCACTGCTGTAAGCACTTTACATGTATTAACTAATTTAGTGGGAACAGCAAAATTTGCCTCTGACAAGGTTATTCAGAGAACCAGGTCAGGTAATAAAGGTGAATGTGCTTTGTAAAGTATCTGCAAAATCTCAGGGCTGACAGTTTTTTCTGAGCAAGAGCCTGCATTGGTTTAGGGTGTCAACCAGCACCCCCACCCTGTTCCTGACAATCAGAATAAGTGTCACCATCACCCCTCCACAGGGCACCCTGGGTTTTTCCTTTGGAGCTCTACTACCACTTTAAGGAAATTATTATTTCTGTGATTATAGATTAGTATTTGTCTCCACAAGAGCAGAGATTCAATTTATATTTTTCAACAACGTATCTCCAGACACCAGCATGGAGTAACTTTTTAGTTAACAACTGCAAAAAACAAACAAAAAAACAAACAAACAAACAAAAAAAAAAACAAGGAAATCAATGAAAGTCAAATCAAATTGCCCATACGGTGGCATAATTTCCAAGATATATTGGTAAGTGAGAAGAGCCAGGTACAGCAGGTACAGAAGGCTATGTCTAAATAGCATGCTGCCACTTGTGTTAAAACAACAAAAAGATGCAAATGCATATACAAGACATGTTTGTTCAGCCTCAGTATCTCTCAGGAAGGTAACGCTGATTGCCTCTATATAATAATGCAGTGGGCCAGGCACAGTGGCTCATGCCTGTAATCCTAGCACTTTCCAAGGCCGAGGAGGGAGGATCACTTGAGCCTAGGAGTTCAATATCAGTTTGGGCAACATAGTGAGACCTCACCTCTACAAAAATAAAAATAAATAAATACATAGGCTGGGCGTGGCACCTCACAGCTGTAATCGCAGCCCTTTGGAAGGCTGAGATGGGTGTATAACTTGAGGTCAGGAGTTCAACACCAGCCTAGCCAACATGGCAAAACCCTGTCTCTACTAAAAATACAACAATTAGCCAGGCGTGGTGGTGCATGCCTGTAGTCTCAGCTCCTTGGGAGGCTGAGACAGGAGAATCACTTGAACCCGGGAGGCAGAGGTTGCAGTGAGCCAAGATTGCACCACTGCACTCCAGCCTGGGTGACAGAGCAAGACTCCATCTCAAAATAAGTAAGTAAGTAAGTAAATAAATAAAAATGAAATAAATAAATAGATAAAAAAGATAATGCAGACTGGGCACGGTGGCTCACATCTGTAATCCCAGCAGGGGAGGCTGAGGCGGGTGGATCACCGGGTCAGGAGATTGAGACCTTCCTCGCAAACATGGTGAAACCCTGTCTCTACTAAAAATACAAAAATTAGCTGGGTGGGGTGGTGCGTGCCTGTAATCTCAGCTACTTGGGAGGCTGAGGCAGGAGAATCGCTTGAACCAGGGAGTCAAAGGTTGCGGGGAGCCAAGATCGCGCCACTGCACTCCAGCCTGGCGACAGAGCGAAACTCCATCTCTCAAAAAAAAAAAAAACCAAAAAAAACCAAAAGCTAATGCAGTGGAGGTGACCCTTTTAGTCCCTTCTGTACTTTTTGAAAATATTTTTAATTATGTTAACCACTCAAACACAAAAACACTTTTTATTTATTTATTTTGAGACAGAGTCTCGCTGTGTCGCCCAGGCTGGAGTGTAGTGGCATGATCTTGACTCACTGCAACCTCCGCCTCCTGGGTTCAAGTGATTGAATTGTGCCTGGCCCAAAAACACTTTTAAAATTGTTCACCTTCAAAAACAAAAACAGGTCCAGCATGGTGGTTCATATCTGTAATCCCAACACTTTGGGAGGCTGAGGCAGGAGGACAGCTTGAGCCTAGGAGTTCAAGACCAGCCTGGGCAACATGGCAAGACCCTGTCTCTACACAAAAAATTGAAAAAAAAAAATTAGCCTGGCATGGGGGTGCATACCTGTAGTCCTAGCTACTTAGGAGGCTGAGGTAGTAAGATTACTTGAGGCCAGGATTTCAAGGTTACAGTAAACTATGACCCTCCCACTGTACTCTAGCCTGGGCAATAGAGCGAGACCTTGTCTCCTAAAACAAACAAAACAAATCCCAACCCACCAACCTGCTTATCAACCCTCCAATTTCCTTTCCTGCTGCTCCAGCATAAATCCTTCCTTCTAGCTAAGCAGGTCTCCTCATGGCTTTTGTATGTGCGTGCAAACATACATCACTGCTTGCTTTTTTTTTTTTTTTTAGAGACAGGATCTTACTCTGTTGTTGCCCAGGCTAAAATGTAGTGTGCAGTGGTGCGATCATAGCTCACTGCAACCTCTGACTCCTGGGATCAAGCAATCCTCCTGCCGCAGCCTCCAGAGTAGCTGGTACTACAGGCACACACCACTATGCCTGGCTACTTTTTGTATTTTTTGTACAGATGAGGTTTTGGCATGTTGCCCAGGCTGGTCTAGAATGCCTGGCCTCAAGCCATCTGCCTGCCTCAGCCTACCAAAGTGCTGGAATTATACGTGTGAGCTGCCACAACCTGGCCCCTAATTTTAAATTTTGTTTTGTGGAGACGGGGATCTCATTTTGTTGCCCAGGATTATAGTCTGGGCTGGTCTCAAACTCTTCATTTCAAGCAATCTCCCTGTCTTAGCCTCCCAAAGTATTAGGATTACAAGTGTGAGCCACCGTGCCCAGCCCATCACTGTTTTCTAATAGAAGCACGTCATGTTTACGTCTGTACTGACTCACACCATTTTTACCTCCAGGTTATTAATCTTCTTGTGGCAGGCAGAATGGTCCCTTGAAGATGTCCTTGTCCTAATCCTAGACTCTGTGAATACGTTAGGTTACATGGCAAAGGAGAATTAAGGTTGCAGATAGAATTAAGGTGGCTATCAGCTGACTTCAAAATAGGGAAATTATCTGGGATTATCTGGGTGGGCCCAATATAATCACAAGGATCCTTAAAAGTGGAAGAGGGAGGCAGAAGAGGGAGTCAGAGACGTGATGACAGAAGCAAGGTCAGAGTGATGTGATGACTCAACCTGCTACTGCTGGCTTTGAAGATGGAGGAAGGGGGCCATGACCCAAGGTGTGTTGGGCAGCCTCTAGGAGGTGGAAAAGGAAAGGAAAAGGATTCTTTTTTTTTTTTTTTTTTTTTTTTTGAGATGGAGTCTCGCTCTGTTGCCGAGGCTGGAGTGCAATGGCACGATCTTGGCTCACTGCAACCTCCACCTCCCGGCTGCAATTCTGCTGCCTCAGCCTCCTGAGTAGCTGGGATTACGGGCATGTGCCACCTCGCCTAGCTAATTTTTGTATTTTTAGTAGAGACGGGGTTTCACCATGTTGGCCAGGATGGTCTTGAACTGCTGACCTCAAGTGATCTGCCCACCTTGGCCTCCCAAAGTGCTGGGATTACAGGCATCAGCCACTGCACCCGGCGGGAAATGGATTCTTACCCAGGGACTCCAGAAAGAAATACAGCCCTGCAGACATCTTGATTTAGCCTGCTAAGACCTGTGCCTGACTTCTAACCTAAATAACTCTAAGATAATAAATTTGTGTTGCTTTGCACCATTAAACTTGTGGTAATTCACTAGAGTGGCAAACAGAAAACCAATACACCTTCTGACAGCTCTCCATCTTTGGGGGCCCAGCTCAAGCCTCCCTTTCACTCTTACGTCTCTAGCTCGCAGTGATTTTTCTCTTCTGAGTTCCCGCAGCACCTATTTCCCTGAATCACATGGTTAGTACTTGATAACTCACTCATTCAATAATTATTTAATGCCTGCTATGGGCCACACCTTGTGCTAGCCACCTGAGATGGTCTTCCTGAAGGGTGTTTACGGGCAACTGTGGTTTTTTTTTTTTTTTTTTTTTTTTGTATTCCTCTCATTGCTTAGCAAGGTCCTACCCATAAAGGACAAGGTCCAAACACCTCACAATGGTCCCTAAAGACCCTTAGACTGCAAATGACTTCATCTCCTGCCAAACATGGTATCCCTCACTGTTACTCTAACATGCCAACCTTCTTTCATGTATCTTTGTCTTTGCTCCTGTAGGTCCTTCTGCACAGCAACTTCTGGTCAAATGCCTCCATGGTACTCAGTAATTAACCACAGATCTACTCTAGCACTCTACATTCATTCACAGCCCAGGGAAACCATCAATTCCAGTGTGAAGACTTCCCCCACCTCCCAGGCATTTGTCATTCATTTCTTTCTCCGTACATTTCTTTTTTTTTTTTTTTTTCCACATTCCTTTTAAAGCATTTATCACACACCAGTTTGCTTGAGTTCAAGTTTATCCTAGTTCTCTGGGGATAGTTTGAACACTTATTCATCTTTATGTCACCTATACCCAGCATAGCACTGGACTTCAGAACAGTGGAAAGAATATAGCCTGGCTGTCTAATTGAGGAGCTTTGGTTGAGCATCTCAATCCAAGTCTCAAACTCGGATATGCTTTAACTCTGAGTTGGCCCGCATGCTCTGAGTTAAAATTTGAACTGATTCAATTTTTTTAAATGGGAAAATCCACATAAAGTGTGGATTTCTGACAACTCTTGCCCAAAATTCTGGCAACACTAGATCTTTATTTTCATATGGCAGCCATCAGCTGGAGCTGATTAGATGGCATCTACTCTCCATTTGGCCCATTTCACACTTCTGTTGTCCCTAGCACAAAGACCTGGTGTTGGTTGCTATTTCATCATTCTTTTTCTTAAAGTAAAATTCAAAGTTAAAACTTTCTTACATTGGGTTGTTTCACCTAATCCCTGAAGGCATTTGAGTTTTCAACTCCTGTCTTAACCTCTAAGCCTGACTTCTCATCTGTCAAATCTTCTCATCTGTCAAATGCAAAAAAATAACATTTATCTATAATTCTGAAAAAAAAGCCCTGCAGGGTAAAGCATGCATAGAGAACACTGCCTGGCACATGGAAAGTGTTTGAAAACGGTTAATATAAGGAGCTCAAAAACCATTTACAAAATGAATGAATAGACCAGGCATAGTGGCTCATGCCTGTAATCCTAACACTTTGAGACGCCGAAAGATCGCTTAGTCCAGGAGTCTGGGAACAGCCTAGCCAACATAACAAGACCCAGTCTGTACAAAATCAAATAATTAGCCAGGCATGGTGGCGTGCACCTCCAGTTCCAACTACTTGAGAGGCTGAGGTGGGAGGATCGCTTGAGCCCAGCAGTTGAAGGCTCAGTGAGCTGATTGTGCCACTGCACTCCAGCCTGGGGGACAGAGTGAGACCCTGTTTCAACAAATATATAAGAACTAAAAACTGAATGAATGAATGAACGAACATTCCAACGACCATGTGACTGTTTTGTAAAGAGGAGACTGATGAAGGAAATTATCGCCAAGGTGTTTTTATCCGTTTATGAAAGCCATACTTTGTATTTGGGTTGCTGCAGCTGCTCAAAACAATGGGAGAAACTGCAGTTATAAATTCCAGAAAAGCCTGTGAATGGAGTGAAAGTGGAGTGGGTGGTCAAAAACCAATGGCCGTGGAGGCTTAGCTCTCTTCACAAGGCACACAGCAGGTGCTCAATGAGTGCCTGTTGAATGAATGGCCACGCAGCCCAATGCGTGCCTATGCACCCCTCCTCCTCCAGGCAGCCCTCCGGAGGTCCAGCCTCCTCCCCACCCTCTTGGCCCGCCCCGCCCCGCCCGCCCTTACAGGATGTCTTCGCGGATGGAGGTGCCATGGTTGAGGTTGTGGAAGCGGACGGAGACGCAGTCCCTGAGAATGAAGGAGCACCTGTTCTCCCTTTTGTAGGCGCTGAAGCACTCCTTGAAGTCCTCATAGGTCTTGAAGCAGCTGCCCAGCTCCATGGCCGCCCCCACAACCCACACTAGGGGCTGGTCCCAGCCCGGGCCCAAGATCACACCAGGGGTCAAAGGTCACACTATGAGGGTTTATAGGCAGGCGTGGGCCCAGAATGCCTTAAGGGTCCGCCCCAACTGGGTGGCCTATTCTGGAACTCAGGGAGGAACCCTAGGCCTGACCGGGTTACAAGAGGAAGGGGGTGTATTTGCTATCTGACAGGGGAAATGACACTCAGTCCATATTATCCAGTCCCGAGGTTCCGCCTCCTCAGCGACATATCCAGTCACACACAGGATTCGCAGATTGGCATTCATTTTCTCCAATTGCTAGAGAAAGAGGGCCACAGCCACCAGCGGACTGACAGGAGTCCTGACCAATCATAACCTAGATTCCTCCTTCCCGGGGTCTGCAGGAGACTTCCGGTTACTAGGGCAATCTGCCGGAAGAGTCAGGTTCTGTGTATGTCTCCGCGTCTTCCGCGGAGCGGGTGTGCAGGGCCTGCAGCATTGAACTAGATGTCGTCCCCGCAGGCCCCAGAAGATGGGCAGGGCTGTGGCGACCGCGGCGATCCCCCTGGGGACCTCCGTAGCGTCTTGGTCACGACCGTGCTCAACCTCGAGCCGCTGGACGAGGATCTCTTCAGGTAGCCGGCAGCTCCTGCCCAGCATCCCCTCCTTTAGGGCAGAAACTTGATCTTGACTGCCGCCGCCCGGGGCCCCTGGCTCCGGGACTAGTATGGCTCTGCGTGGGATGCACCCTCTGCCACGATTAGGAGAGAACTCGCCCCCAACAGAGCTGTCCTCTCTGCTCTGGCTTCCTCCCTTCCTCTCCGCGCTGCGAGGTCTGCACAGCTGAGCAAATATAGTGGTGACCTGAGAGACCCTGCTCGGCAGCCTGCCCTAAGCCTTCACGGGGGAGCTAGCCCAGAGAGGGCAGTGATTTGCCCAAGGGCACACAGCTGATGGATCAGCCTTAAAACCGACGCCGCAGCTCCTTGTGTCTTCAGTATCCTTTTCTTCTCACAATATCCCGCCCCCAGTACCATTTGGTGGGTCTGGTTTCTCATTACTTATTCTGAGGCCTAAGCATGTTTTTTTCTTTCCCAGCATCGCTGAAGTTCTTGACTGCAGCAAGGGTTTCTTTCTTTCTTTGAGGCGGAGTCTTGCTCTGTTGCCCAGGCTGGAGTGCAGTGGTGCGATCTCGGCTCAGTGCAACCTCCGCCTCCCGGGTTCAAGCATTTCTCCTGCCTCAGCCTCCTGATTAGCTGGGACATACAGGCGCGCCACAGCCCAGCTAATTTTTTAACTTCTTTTAGTAGAGACGGGGTTTCACCGTGTTGGCCAGGCTGGTCTCGAACTCCTGACCTTGTAATCTGCCCACCTCTGCCAAAGTGCTAGGATTACAGGCATGAGCCACCGCGCCCAGCCCCCTGCAGCAAGGCTTCTAACAGCTTTGACCTCCAAGGCTTCTCCTGGCTTTACTGGAAGTTATCTTACTTTGAGCTCCCTTCCTTCCACTTAAGGAATTGTAAATAACTTCTTGGAGGGCTATTTGATTTTTGTTTTTGAAGACAAGATCTGGCCCTGTTGTCCAGGCTGGAGTGCAGTGGCACGAACATGGCTCACTGCAACCTCGACCTCCTGGGCCCAAGTGACCCTTCTGCCTCAGTCTCCCGTTTAGCTGGGACCATAAGCGCTTGCCACCACATCCAGCTAACTTTTTTATTTTTAGTAGACATGAGGCCCCACTTTGGAGCCCAGGCTGGTTTTGAACTCATGGGCTCAGGCGATCCTCCCACCTCGGCTTCCCAAAGTGCTGGGATTGATTACAGGCGAGAGCCACCTGCCAGGTCATGGAGGGCTGTTCATAACTCATTGTTACAGAAAATGCCAAACAGCTGGGACGTGGGAGGCTAGAGACATAATTATTCAGCTTCCAATGGGCCTACATTCTGGGCAAGCATTTTCATCTCTGGGGCCAAGCTGCAGTTTTCTCATCTGTACACTGAAGGAGTTAGACTTGATGTCTGAGGGCTCTTGTTATTTATTCATTTATACATTTATTTAATTTTATTTTTTGAGATGGAGTCTTGCTCTGTCACCCAGGCTGGAGTGCAGTGGTGCGATCTTGGCTCACCTCAACCTCTGCCTCCTGGGTTCAAGTGATTCTCCTGCCTCAGCCTCCTGAGTAGCTGGGATTACAGGTGCATGCCACCACGTCCAGCTAATTTTTGTATTTTTAGTAGAGATGGAGTTTCACCATGTTGGCCAGGCTGCTCTTGAACTCCTGATCTCAAATGATCCACCTGCCTCGGCCTCCCAAAGTGCTGGGATTACAGATGTAAGCCACTGCGCCCGGCCCAGAGGATTTTTATGCATAAGGATATTTGCCTGGGGAAAGGACCTATGGCTTTTACCATATTCTCAAAAGGATCTTAAACCCCAATATGGTGAAGAGATCATGCATTAGAGTCTTAGTGAGGGTAGTAGAATTTGGCCCAGTTCCCAAGTCTTTCCCTCTTTCCCCCTCTCCCTACAGAGGAAGGCATTACTGGGTACCGGCCAAGAGGCTGTTTGGTGGTCAGATCGTGGGCCAGGCCCTGGTGGCTGCAGCCAAGTCTGTGAGTGAAGACGTCCACGTGCACTCCCTGCACTGCTACTTTGTTCGGGCAGGTAAACCCCCCACTTCCTGCCCCAACCCAACCCTGGTGGCCCAGCAGCCATTTCTGGCCTTGGGGGCTGAGGTCAAAAGGGAAGAGAGGGAGACTGGAAGACAAGGGGAGGGGTGGCGGACACTACCACCCTAAGAGGTGTCTAGGGTGGAACGAGGTCTGGGGCTAACAATGAGCCTTGGACCTCACACCTGCTGGGACTCACTGGGTACCTGATGTCTGGCTGATAATGACACAAGACTTTGTTGCTTAACTGCTCCTTGTGGGCTTTTGTTCTTCCATTCTTAACATAGCTCCTGGTGCGGAGCGCTGTGCTAGGTTCTCAGTGTGCTGTGACCTCTGTGCTAGAGGTGTGGAGGTAGGGCAGCTTGGGTTGGAGAAGAGAGCACCAGCCTGAGAGTCAAGGGATCTAAGGCTTCTTTTGTCAACTGAGCATAGGGTCAATAAAAACAAACCAAAGATGTAGGGCCTAGCTTCAGTTTTGTCCATAATTTACCATGCAGCCTTGTGAGGTTACCTCCCCGCCCTACAGTTTGGTTTACTTCAGCTGTAAAATGGAGAAGGGTGGGACCAAGGGTATTTTAGTGGGATGATCTCTACAGCTTCTTACAGCTCTGGGGTCAGATAATGTAACTTAAAACCTATGTGTGAGGCCGGGCGCGGTGGCTCACGCCTGTAATCCCAGCACTTTGGAGGCCAAGGCGGGCGGATCACGAGGTCAGGAGATCGGGACCATCCTAGCTAACACGGTGAAACCCCGTCTCTACTAAAAATATAAAAAAATTAGCCAGGTGTGGTGGTGGGTGCCTGTAGTCCCAGCTACTCGGGAGGCTGAGGCAGGAGAATGGTGTGAACCCGGAAGGCGGAGCTTGCAGTGAGCCAAGATCGTGCCACTGCACTCCAGCCTGGGCGAGCACTCCAGCCTGGGCAACAGAGCGAGACTCTGTCTCAAAAACAAAAAACCTATGTGTGGTGGCTCATGCCTATAATCCCCGCACATTGGGAGGCCAATGCGGAGAATTGTTGGAACCCAGGAATTCAAGACCAGCCAGGGCAATAAATCGAGACCTTGTCTCTACAAAAAAATAAATAAAAGGAAAATAAAAGCAAAACCTATGCTAAAAAACAAACAAAAAAAACCCTCACTGTTTTCTTTCCTTCCCTGTTACCCCCAGAGCAGATGCCCTCATGTGTTCTGCGTAGATCCCCAGCTGAGAAGAGTTTGTGGACCTTTACAGTATGTGATTTGTATTAAGAAAACCATGGGGTTTCCCCCTTCATTTTGTAAATATGAAAGTTATCCCTGTAATGGTAAATACACTTTTTCATACTGTCCCGTGTCTCTTACTCCTCATCCCTGAGGAGTATTGATTGGCCCCCCTCTTCTCGGCCCCCAGTCACTGCTATAAAGTATTTGAATACTTACCTTGGGCTCAGCCAGGTTCTTATCTTTATGCTAGTTGGGAGTAAATATGTGCTTTGTTTCTTTAATTTGTTTGTAAGTACCAGCCTTTTGATATTGTAATCCTTCCAGCCTAGTGAAATACCTGGCTGTTTTCTTTTGTGTGGGTGGGGGCATTACTTGAACTCTGAATCTCTTCATCCTGTGATGGAAGAATTCAATGAGTCTTTGCCAGTAAAGTATCTAGTGCAGGGCTTGGCATAATCTAGTTTTCCATAAATATTATTAGTTTTTGATGATTAACTTATGGGAATAATTAAAATTTGCATGATACAGAGCATAGTTGTGTGCATTATCTTGTTTAGTCTTCATAAGTAAACATGGGTGGCAGGCATTCCTGCCATCATTCTTACCTAAGGAAACTGGGACCTGAAGAGGTTTGGAACCAGCTCCCACAGTGCCCAAGGAGGCAGAGCCAGGATTTGAACCTGGTTTATGTGTCTTTGAGTGCCAAACTCTTTCCTGCTTCTTTGCTTCGCTCTTGGGCAATAATTCTAAACAATGAGAGAGCTGCCAGGGTACCCATCCCAGGTTCTGGGGAAAAGATCCTCTTTCTTGGAAAGTCTTCATCCAGGAGCAGCGTGAAATGAGCTGTGTCCAAGCCACCATTTCAAAATAAATAATTATTTGGCCGGGCGTGGTGGCTCATGCCTGTAATCCTAGCACTTTGGGAAGCCGAGGCGGGCGGATCACCTGAGCTCAGGAGTTCGAGACCAGCCTGGGCAACATGGTGAAACCCAGTCTCTACTAAAATACTAAAAATTAGCCAGGCATGGCGGCATGTGCCTGTAGTCCCAGCTACTCAGGAGGCTGAGGTAGGAGAATTGCTTGAACTCAGGAGGCGGAGGTTGCAGTGAGCTGAGATCATGCTACTGTACTCCAGCCTGGGCGACAGAGCGAGACTCTTGTCTCCATCAAAAATAAATAAATAAATAAAAATAATTATTTGTGCCCTTGCTTGTGTCTTGAAAGGCTGCAAGATAGCTAAAATAATTGGTAGTTATTATGGGAATATTAAAAGTCAAAGGACATTAGGCCAGTAGTAATGGGATTTGGGAGAAGCGATCATGTCAAAAAATTTGGCTAAGCCATATTGTTGCAGTTTCATACAAGGTTTAGTTCTGAGCTTCCTGGCTGCAAGGCAAAAAGGGGAGAGCTCTTATCTGTTTGTGGTGTGACTCTGCCAGCTATATCAGATATTAAAACCAATGCTGTTTTTTGGCTGGGCATGTGGCTTATGCCTGTAATCCCAGGACTTTGGGAGGCCGAGGCGGGCAGATCGGCTGAGGTCAAGAGTTCGAGACCAGCCTGGACAATGTGGCGAAACTCCATCTCTACTAAAAAAAAAAAACACACACAAAAATTAGCCAGGTGTGGTGGTGCACACCTGTAGTCCTAGCTACTCAGGAGGCTGAGTCAGGAGAATCGCTTGAACCCTGGAGGTGGAGGTTGCAGTGAGCTGAGATCGTGCTACTGTACTCCAGCCTGGGTGACAGAGCAAGACTCCATCTAAAAAAAAAAAGGAAAATTAGCTGGGCGTGGTGACCTTAGCCCGTGATCCCAGCTACTCGGGAGGCTGAGGCTGAGGCTGAGGCAAGGAGAATTGCTTGAACCCGGCGGCTGGAGGTCGCAGTGAGCTAAAACTGCGCCACTGCACTCCCACCTGGGCGACAGATCGAGACTCCATCTCAAAAAAACAAAACAAAAAAGAGATGTTTCAATTACATTTTAAAAATAAAAGATGTTATGGGGGAGGGGGAGGGTTGGTCCTTGGCCATTTATCAAATCAGTTCTTTTTCTAAAAGCCCAGGAAAGAATGTGAATTAGTTGGGTTTTTGTTTTGTTTTTAGTTTTTCTCTACAGAGGTAAATTTAGAGCTTGAAGAATTCAGAACAAGGTCAGCAAACATTCTAGAAAGGGCCAGATAGTAAACATTTTAGGTTTTGCCAGTGAAAGCAACTATAGACAATATGTAAACAAATTAGCATGACTTTATTACAAAAAAATTGTATTTTAAGGCAACAGTTTCCTCATCTGTACAATGGGGGTAAGAGTGGCTCTACATAGTTATTGTGAGACCAACATGAGAAAACATACCCTCCTGTCCAATGCTGTCAGGCACCCTGCATCACTCCATAATCATTAACTCCCTTCAATATGCCTCAGGGCCTACCTGCTCTGTTCCAATAACAATTTTCAAGAATAGGGCTGGAACTCATTCACACTGAAAGGTAGACCAGAGTACTGAAGTTTCTGTGATCCTCCTCAGGAATCTGCACTTTAGCTTACCTGCAGACCAAGGATTGGATTAGAGGTTTTTTTTTGTTTTTTCCCCCCAAGTTTGGTGGTAGGGAGGAAGACTTCATTCCCAGTGTCTGAAAGCAGACTGCACAAGTAACTTTGTCTAGTGTCTGGACTCTTGGTAAGCCCTTCTCAAATGCCTTTAACCTTGAGGAGCTCGCACTCTGATAGAAGTGCTGCTGGTGGCAGTGCCTGATAACAGAGAGCTGAGCAAGCCAGTTGACCTCAGACAGTGATGTTTATTGCTGTTGATTGAGCCCTGGTGCCTGGTTGACTCCCCATTTGGATCAGAGTGAAGGAAGCAACACTTCTCTAGACCTGCTTCTTTCATCTGAAGGTTGAAAGTCATCCCCAAGATGTCTCATGGCCCAGATGTCAGGGTTCCTCAAGGTCAGCCTGACTCAGACAAAGTGAGAACTTCAGGGAAACCAGGGAAGTTCTCTTCCTCTCCAAATCTTCCCTCACCTGCTTGTTGTTGGCTGCCTTATCCCTGGCCAGTGCCTTCTACTCTGGTGGTGGTGGTCTTGTTGTTTTTGAGACAAGGTCTTGCTCTGTCACCTAGGCTGGAGCACAGTGACGCAGTCATGGCTCACTGCAGCCTTGATCTCCTGGCCTCAAGTGATCCTTCCGCCTCAGCCTCTTGATTAGCTGGGACTATAGGCACATGCCACCATGTCCAGCTAATTTTTATTTTTTATTTTTTGTAGAAACAGGGTCTCCCTGTGTTGCCTAGGCTCTTCCACTCTGCTTTGGAGCAGAGACACCTGACAGTGAAGGACCAAATGGCTTCCATATACATCAGGGGTGAAGTGACTGACAGTGGCCCTTGCCTGGGAGAGGCTGAATATACAAACAGACAATGGCTAGACCATGTAGAAAAACAGAACTCTGACGCACAATAGCAGCAACCAGCACAGGAAGCCAGCCTACTATCCACAAGTCAGACTTGTAGGAAGTCAGACCACTATCTTTACCAACCAGTCCAGCAAGCCAAATAATGACCACTGTAACAATTGGCCTCCAAAGCCAGGACTTGATTAATAACTGATAGCTGCCCTAATTTTTGCCCCTGCTTCCAACTTAGGACCAACCGGAGAAAGCCAAATATGTACTCCTAACCAATCACATAGGATGTCCCACTCTTTTTTGAGACAGAGTTTCACTCTTGTTCCCCAGGCTGGAGTGCAGTGGTGCAATTTCGGCTCACTGCAGCCTCCACCTCCCAGGTTCAAGCAGTTCTCCTGCCATAGCCTCCACCTCCCAGCTTCAAGCAATTCTCCTGCTGCAGCCTCCCGAGTAGCTAGGATTACAGGTGTGTGCCACCAGGCCTGGCTAATTTTTTGTATTTTTAGTAGAGACAGGGTTTTGCCATGTTGGCCAGGCTGGTCTTGAACTCCTGGTCTCAGAAGATCTGCCCGCCTCAGCCTCCCAAAGTGTTGGGATTACAGGTGTGAGCCACCGTGCCCAGCCAGGTGTCATGCTTCTAGTTAGCCCACCAACAGCTTCCCCATGCCAACAGCCTGCAATGGGAGCATCCCTGAAGCCTTTTTTTCCACTACAGAGCATTCCCATTCCTTTGCCTGCCTCTAAGTCTCTGCCAAAAGCAAGTGATGGTGGTTGACTTCCTGCTACAACAAGCTCTGATTGGCTGGGCGCAGTGGCTCATGCCTGTAATCTCAACACTTTGGGAGGCCAAGGTGGGTGGATCAGTTGAGGTCAGGAGTTTGAGACCAGCCTGGGCAACACAGTGAAACCCCATCTCTACAAAAAATACAAAAATTTGTTGGGTGTAGCGGCGCACGCCTGTAGTCCCAGCTACTTAGGAGGCTGAGGCATGAGCATGGCTTGAACCTGGGAGGCAGAGGTTGCAGTGAGCCCAGATAGCGCCACTGCACTTCAGCCTCGGTGACCCAGCGAAACTGTCTCTCAAAAAAAAAAAAAAAATTAGCTGGGTATGGTCATGCACCCCTGTAGTCCCCCCCCACTCAGGAGGCTGAGTCACAGGAATCGCTTGAACCTGAGAGGTGGAGGTTGCAGTGAGCCGAGATTACACCACTGTACTCCAGCCTGGGTGACAGAGCAAGACTCCATCTCAAACAAACAAAAAAAAGAACAAGCGCTGAATAAATAGCCTTTGTTTGTTCTCAAAAAAGAAAACAACAACAGAATAAACAGTAAACAGGCTGCAGGCTAGATTTACTGCTCCCTGATCTAGAATAATGGTTTTGGACTGATGACAAGATCCCAGGCATAGATGGAGCAAGATAGAAGCAAGGAGTATTAATTTTATTTAACAAACACATATAGAGCCCTCACTATGTGCCAGATATTATTCTAAACACTTTACAACTACGGATTCATTTCATTATCATTAAAATCCTGTAAGCGATGAGCACCATGATGATCCCCAGTTTGCAAATAAGCACACTGCTCAGAGAAGTGAAGGGTCACACGGCTGGTGAGTGGTGGAGCCAGGATTTGAATGCAAGGAATCTGTCAATGTCTCTGCTGTTTGTGCTGTTAGAGAAAAGCTCCACCTGCACAGGGAGAAGCCTGATGACAGGGCCTGGTGGTCTCTGTATCCCTGGGCCTGGACCTTAGCAGACCTCAGTTAGTAGTCACTGAGATGAAATGGAATGGAAGATGAGTAGTAGAGTGCCTGTCAGGCGTTGTGATGATGACAGGGCCTGTGGACCCACTGTGTCCTTGTGCCCACTGCAGGGGACCCGAAGCTGCCAGTACTGTACCAAGTGGAGCGGACACGAACAGGGTCGAGCTTCTCGGTGCGCTCTGTGAAGGCCGTGCAACATGGGAAGCCCATCTTCATCTGCCAGGCCTCCTTCCAGCAGGCCCAGCCCAGCCCCATGCAGCACCAGTTCTCCATGCCCACTGTGCCACCACCAGAAGAGCTGCTTGACTGTGAGACCCTCATTGACCAGTATTTAAGGTGAGAGACCTGGAGGCTCCATGGCAGACTTTTCAAAATGCAGCTGCTATCTGTTTGTGGGTCATAGAATCCTTTAGTGGGTCTTGACCAGCATTTTTAAAATACAGATTAGAAAAGAAGATACTGGAGTGAATAATATGTATGTATTAAGGGCAAGAATCCTTTTGTGAAACTTGAGGTTTAGTCATGTGTGTTTCTGGTGTGTGTCTGTACTGGGTCATGGTATAAAATGAAGGGCTTGGCCGGGTGCAGTGGCGCATACCTATAATCCCAGCACTTTGGGAAGCCAAGGCAGGAGGATTGCTTGAGACCAGGAGTTGGATACTAGCCTCGCCAACATAGCAAGACTCCATCTCTAATTTAAAAATAAGGCTGGGGCTGGGTGTGGGGGCTCATACCTATAATAACACTTTGGGAAGCCCAAGTGGGAGGATCACCTGAGCCCAGGAGTTCAAGACCAGCCTGGGCAACATGGTGAAACCCTGTCTCTATAAAAAATACAAAAATTAGCCGGGTGTCGGGGCATGTGTCTGTAGTCCCAGCTACTTGGGAGGCTGAGGCGGGGGGATCACTTGAGCCTGGGAGGTGGAGGCTGCAGTGAGCCGAGATCGTGTTACTGTGCTCCAGCCTGGGCAACAAGAGCAAGACTCTGTCTGAAAAAAGAAAAAAAGAATATATATTTTGTTGTTGTTTATATATATACATGTTTGTTTGTTTTTGAGATGGAGTCTTGCTCTTGTTGCCCAGGCTGGAGTGCAGTGACACCATCTCGGCTCACTGCAGCCTCTGACTCCCAGACTCAAGTGATCCTCCCGCCTCAGCCTCCCAAGTAGCTGGGATTACAGGCACCTGCTACCATGCCCAGCTAATTTTGTATTTTTAGTAGAGATGGCGTTTCACCATGCTATCCAGGCTGGTCTCAAACTCTTGATCTCAGGTGATCCACCCACCTTGACCTCCTAAAGTGCTGGGATTATAGGCATGAGCCACCATACCTGGGAAAAAAAACCATATATATATTTTATATATATATGTATATAGAAATACTTCCGTAACCACTTGTTAAGTACCACCTCCCCAGCCCCCTAAGTGATTCCCTCTCTCCCCCAGGCCCCTGGTCCAGCAACTTAGGACTTAATGCACACCAGGAGTGAGTGTCCTCTGGAGAGCTGCAGCGCTATGGCCTATGTTTGGTCACTGCCTTTGCATTAGTGCATGTTTTTGTTTGTTTGTTTGTTTTGAGACAGAGTCTCGCCCTGTTGCCTAGGCTGGAGTGCAGTGGCATGATCTCGGCTCACTGCAACCTCTGCCTCCCAGGTTCAAGCAATTCCCGTGCCTCAGCCTCCCAAGCAGCTGTGATTACAGGCACATGCCACCATGCCTGGCTAATTTTTGTATTTTTTTAGTAGAGACCAGGTTTCGCTATGTTGACCAGGCTGGTCTTGAACTCCTGACCTCAAGTGATCGACCTGCCTTGGTCTCTCAAAGTGCTGGGATTACAGGCGTGAGCCACCGTGCCCGGCCACATGTTTTATGTATATAAAACATATGTACAAAAATACAAATATGTATTTTCCCCTAACCATTAGACCACCAGGGAGCATGTTAGATATTTTGAATACCTGGTAAAATATATTTATTTGGATCACACCTAATCAAGTTTGAAAAATGCTGGTACAGGGGAAAGAGCTCTGGGTCCAGACAAAGGATAGACACATGGATTCTGTCCAGGGCTGTGCCTCTGTGAATGCTCACCTGCTGTGGGACAGTGCCCAACTCCCCAGGGCCCTAGTTTCTTCTTCTAAAAAATGGGAATGCTCATTTCTGCCCTGCCTACTTCTTAGCTGTATCATAAGGAGAGAATGTCTCTATCTCGTGTTAGATACTGGGGAGGCAGCAGAGTATGACGGGATGGATGTGGGTTTGGGAACCTGAAAGGCCTGGATTCAATTCTAGATTTTGTCCCTACTAGCTGTGTGAGTTTGGGCAAGTTGCTTTCCCACTCTGAGCCAGTACTCACCATTATAAAATGGTGCTAATCATATTCCTACCTCATAAGGCTGCTGTGAGGATTAAATAAGAGAGAAAAGGCACTTAGCGTGCTAGTACTAACTAGCACAATGGCAGTGAATTGTAGTTATATCACTATTAACAGAAAAAACACAGGGCCTGGTGTGTGGTTGCAGTTCGACAAATGTTTGCTGAAATGAAAGGAAGACATTGTTAAAGGACCTTGAATTTAGATCTGTGCTGTTAATAAGGTAGTCTCTAGCCACTCGTGGCTATATTACATTAATTAAAATTAAATAGGTCCGGGCGCAGTGGTTCATGCCTGTAATCCCAGTACTTTGGGAGGCCAAGGCGGGTGGCTCACCCAAGGTCAGGAGTTTGAGACCAGCCTGGCCAACATGGTGAAACCTCATCTCTATTAAAAATACACACACAAAAAAATTAGCCAGGCGTGGTGGCCCGTGCCTGTAATCCCAGCTACTCAGGAGGCTGAGGCAGGAGAGTCGCTTGGACCCAGGGGGCAGAGGTTGCAGTAAGCAAGATTGAGTCACTGCACTCCTGACTGGGCAACAGAGCGAGATTCCGTCTTAAAAAAAAAAAAACAAAAAAAAACCAAAGTCAGTAGAATGAACAATTCTGTTCCTCAGTTGCATTAGCCACATTTCAGGTGCTCCATAGTCACATGTGGCTAGTGGCTACCATAGTGTGCTGTGCAGATAGGCATTCCATCATCATAGGAGGTTCTGTCCAACAGCACTCCAGAGGATAGGGGTGAAAATGGCAGGACCTGTGCAGAGCACTATGGGTGGTTGTCACTGTATTGAAGGGAGTTCCTTGGAATGGGCTCCTCCCCCTGGGGGGATGCAATGTTCCCTACTGTGTAGGGTTTGGTAACTCAGGCCAAGTCAGGCAGCCTGTTTCTTGAGTGTTTAAAATAATGAAGTGGCTGGGCACAGCAGCTCACTCCTGTAATCCCAGCACTTTGGGAGGCTGAAGTAGGAGGATCACTTAAGGCCAGGATTTTGAGACCAGCCTGGGCAACATAAAGAGACCCCATCTCTACAAAAAAAAGTAAAAATAATCCCAGCATTTTGGGAGGCTGAGGCGGGCGGATCATGAGGTCAGGAATTCGAGACCACCCTGGCCAACACAGTGAAACCCCATCTCTACTAAACATACAAAAATTAGCTGGGCATGGTGGCAGGCGCCTGTAATCCCAGCTACTCGGGAGGCTGAGGCAGGAGAATCACTTGAACCTGGGAGGCGGAGGTTGCAGTCAGCTGAGATTGCACCACCGCACTCAAGCCTGGGTGACAGAGCTAGACTCCGTCTCAAAATAAAGAAATAATAAAAATGTTAGCCAGGCACAGTGGCGTACACCTCTAGTCCCAGCTACTCGGGAGGCCAAGGCAAGAGGATGGCTTGAGCCTGGGAGTTGGAGACTGCAGTGAGCTGATTGCGCCACTGTACTCCAGCCTGGGTGAGAAGACGACCTTGTCTCTAAAAAAATAGAAAATAATCATACTGTGGACCCAGATTGCCTGAGTCCAAATCCTGTCTCTCCAATTTTTAAGCAAGCTACCTGGACTCTGTGCTTATTTCACTGATGAAATGGGGGTGATAATAGTACCTATCTCACAGGGTTGTTGTGAGGAATACTATTGTATGTACAATGCTTAGAACAGTGCATATTACAGGGTATGCCTTATTACTATGATGTGTTGGTTAGATATTCATGATCTTGTCTTCACAGTGTTGGTTATGAGGTAGGTTACTATCATTATCCACATTTTGCAGATGGGAAAATAGACTCAGATTACTAATTAGCACGAGACCACATGGCTCGTAAGTGGCCAAGAAGGGATTCAAACGCTGCACTATCCTGCCTGCCACAGGGGAGGGGAGCTTTGGGGATATCAGGGGTCCCTGTGGAAGAATGAGGGGAGTCAGAAGAGGCAATGCAGATGTGACTCCCTCTCTTCCTGGGTCTCACCCCGACCCTCTTCCCTTTACTTTCAGGGACCCTAACCTCCAAAAGAGGTACCCATTGGCGCTCAACCGAATTGCTGCTCAGGAGGTCCCCATTGAGATCAAGCCAGTAAACCCATCCCCCCTGAGCCAGCTGCAGAGAATGGAGCCCAAACAGATGTTCTGGGTGCGAGCCCGGGGCTATATTGGTAAGAGTACCCCATGGATGGGAGGAAACCACTCTCCAAGGGGTCTACCACTCATTTGCTGTGTGGCCTTGGGCACATGAGTTCCCTTCTCTGGGCCTGTTTCCTTATCTGCATGATGGGGAAGTTGGCTTAGCTTCTCACCTGGGCCCTCTCAGCCCTTTGCATGGGGAGAAGGTGGAGATGACTATAATCCCGACACAAGGCCTTTCTGAGGAAGGCAAAAGGCACCTCGCTGGGGTTGTTGTCCAGCTTTGCTGCTAACTATAAAGTATCTTTGTGCAAATTGGAAGAAGACACCCCTTTTGGGGCCTAGAGTGGGAGACTTGGGTGGTGAAGACTGAATTTCAGTCCCTGCTCACCCCTGCCCTCCCCAAGTCGCCATCTCACTTCTCCCCTATCACACACACACACTGTAGGCCAAGCGCTCTTGTGCAGCAACCAGTCTGCACACCCATGCACGGGAGTCCCTTTTCCCCCTACCTCCGTGCAGGTCCTGAGCTGGAAAGCCCAGGAGCCCAGGGCTGATGGGGACCTGTTGCAGGCGAGGGCGACATGAAGATGCACTGCTGCGTGGCCGCCTATATCTCCGACTATGCCTTCTTGGGCACTGCACTGCTGCCTCACCAGTGGCAGCACAAGGTGCACTTCATGGTCTCACTGGACCATTCCATGTGGTTCCACGCCCCCTTCCGAGCTGACCACTGGATGCTCTATGAATGCGAGAGCCCCTGGGCCGGTGAGTGTGGGGCCGTGTGGGACAAGGGCACTGACCTTGAGTGGCAGGAGCCTGCTTTCTTGGGTGATGCTGATTTCCCGACTTCCTGTGTGGCGCTGCACAGGTCACTTCCTTTCCTTCCCTCCCAGGCTTTGGCATCTTCATCTTCAAAATGAGAGGGTGAGGCCGGGACACCTGCTCTGCTCTAAATTTCTAGAATGTGCTGGAAATGTGATTCACCTTCTCCCAGGGACCCAGTTCTAGTCCCAAAACCAGTTCAGATTCTTTGTATTACAATAGGCAAATCATATCTTCCATCTGAACCTCAGTTTCCTCATCTAAACAAAGAGGGTTACATTACAGCAGTGGTATCCAAACCCGCAGTCCATCAGACTGCCATTTGGGGATGCCTTTTCAAAATAGATTCTGATTCCACCCTCAAGATTCTCACTCAGTAGGTCTTGGATAAGGTCCAGGAAACTGTATTTTTAAGTTCTCTAAGTGATTCTGATTAACCTGATTGGGATCGGGGCATTCAGTGGTCCCTAAGGGCCTGCTTGGACCTTCCTTGCAGGGGAGAGAAACAAGACTCGTTCATCAATGTCTAGCTTCAGAACCCTGACCTCCTTTCCAAGGGAGTACATTTCAAATGAAGAAAAGCTTTGCTTGATAAACCAAGGACAAAACTCAAGGATTCTTTATACTCAGATAAGGGGTATTCTCAAGTACCAATAGCATCACAATCCAAGATTGATAACCTTGAAGTGAGGACATGGGTTCAGATTTGGCTTCATCATGGGGCCAAATTCCTGACCCTCTCTGGATTTCAGTCCTGGTCTGGAAAACTGGACAACACATAACTGCTTCATTTGGCTACTGTGAGAACTGAGTGAGCTCTGCTATGTGTAAGGGAAACCAGCAATCATCCTCATAAACATCAAACTTGGGCCCAAAGCCAGCAAGGGAGAAAGAGTCTCCAGATGGGGAGGGAAGAGGCCAGACCTCATGGCCTCAAGTCCTCTCTTCTGAGTCCTTTCTTCCCCTTGGTGGTGGTAGTGGGGATATTTTTCATGAATTACCACTTGGAGGACCTGGCTTGATTTATTATACAGGGAGCCGATAGTTTTCCTAACACAAGTGGTCAGAGGTACAGCAGTTCTGCTTGGCCGAGCTGTTGAAGGAGACTGTTCTCAGAGCTCCTCCCTCTGTGATCTTTTTGAGGAAGCGAGGAGAGGTGTGAAAGTGCTTTTAAACTGTCAACTGGGGTTCCTGTGGGAGGAGTTACCCCTCAATGACGGTCCATAATAAGCTCATGAAGGGGCATTTGGAGCAGCCACGACACTCAGTGCACCCTTGTGTGGGGCAGCCCTGCCCTGGGCCAGACCCTTTGCAAGAAGTCCACTTGGAGGTTGGGCATGGTGATGTGCGCCTGTAATCCCAGCTGCTCAGGAGGCTGAGGCGGGAGGATCCCTTGAACCCAGGCGCTTGAGACCAGCCTGGCAACTTAGTGAGACTCTGTTTCAGGAAAAAAAAAAAAAGTGTATTTGGCTGTTCTGAAGCAGGCCATCATCACCCTTCACCTCACCCACAGGTGGCTCTCGGGGGCTGGTCCATGGGCGGCTGTGGCGTCAGGATGGAGTCCTAGCTGTGACCTGTGCCCAGGAGGGCGTGATCCGAGTGAAGCCCCAGGTCTCAGAGAGCAAGCTGTAGCCAGAGGTACCAGCTTCGCCTGGGGCTTCAAGAACCTCCCATCTATCCCCATTCCTGAGACAGGAGTTACAGTCCCTTTTGGCCCTCACATCCAATAAAGAGACTGATACCACTGGAGTGGCTGGCTTTTAATTCCCCTGGGCCAGACCTGCAGCCTTGCCTTCATCCCTTAACTCCAGGACTCCAGGGGCAGAGTCCCTGGCCTTCAGCCAAGAGGCCTTGCCAGCTTGGGGGCCCACCAACAAGGGAACATTGCCCCAACCTGTGCCACAGCCCCCCGGCTGTTTATAGGCTGGAGAGGCTGTGTCAGACTTCCCTGTACTACACAAGGGCAACCCCAGCCAAAGCTCACCCTGAGCCTAGCTCAACAGAAGTTTCCTTGATCTGCTTCACATTCTCTTTTGGAACTTCTAGGGGCTCCCAGCACCCTCTGCAGCCTCCCAGCTATTCTGTTCTCATCAGGTCCTTCCCCTGCCTTCTGGGGCAACCCCTCTCCTCACAGTGGCCTTAAATCTAGGCAAGGGTTAGTCCAGCACCTCCTTGATGAGCAATTCTTTGAGACTGGGGGGTGGTGTGGGGGTAAGGCCTGCCTCCTGCAGGGCTTGGAGCCGAGCCTCTGATTGACGTTTGTCCAGGCCCAGGCGCCAGGAGAGCCGGACATGGGCCTCCAGAAAGGGTGCCAGCAAAGGGTGGAGGCTCTTGTCCCCAAGCAGCTGCAGGGCCTTCTCACAGCATGCCCGGGCCTCTCCAGGGTCTTCCAGCTCCTGGTGGCACACGGCCAGCCCAGCCAGGGTCAGCAGGGGGCGGTCTGGGCCAGAGGGGGTGCCCAGCTGGGCTTGCAGCTGCCAGGCATTGGCCCAGAGTGCCAGAGCCTCACGATAGAGGCCAGTACAGGTGAGGCTCTGTGCCCGCCGCAGCTCCGGCAGCACGAAGAAGTCCTGCAGGTCCGGGGCATGGCGCAGCTCAGGCACTGCCTGCAGGTGACCCAAAAACTGCTCAAAGGCCCGGCTACGGCGGGCAATGGTCTCTGCAGTAAAATTCCGGCGCAGCCGCTTACGGGGGAAGGAGATGGCAGCCATTGGGCCCCGGAATTGCCGCTGCAGGTTTCGGTGCAGCCGCTCAAAGTCCGAGTAACGGCGAGAGATCTGGGCTGGCTGGCAATCTGGCGGTCCTGGGCCGATCACGGCGAGGGTGTAGAGCTGCAGGGAGGGTGGGTGTCAGGGCAAATGCAAGTTGTCCACGGGCCCGTTCCCTCCCCATCCTTCCCCATCCCCCACACTCCCAGCTGTACCTCCCCACCTCTTCCTTTCACCCCTGGGACAGCACCCAGGAGGGCGGGAGCTGCTGCGCAGTGGCGGGGAAGCCCAGTCCCATCTTACCTGAGGTTTGTCTGAAATGACCCAGGCCCAAGGCAGCAAGAAGAGAGAAAGACAGAGATGAGCTTCAGTGCCCGGGGCTGCTGCCCCTTTTTTTGTACTCCCTTCCCATAGAGCATTAGTTCTTCTGACAGCCCCCTCTGGAAAACCAGACATAAGCTGAAACCCCAGCCAATCTCTTGGGGCTCCTTTAGGACCAGCTTGGAGCTTGTTCCACTTTGGACACCTGGCCTCCACATCCCTGGTCAGGCTTTTCCAAACTAGACCCAGAGGACAGGTCTGTAGATAGCCACAACTGCCATAACTGTGAAAAGTATACTGGCCTAGGACTCAAGTTCTAACCCCAGGTCAGCTACTCCTTCTCTGTGTGACCCAGGCAAGGGAGTCCCCCTCTGGGTCCACTTCTGTTTCTAGTGAAGGAAGTGCTCGGTCAAGTCAGTGTTTGTCCAAAAATGAGACATGTACAAGTATTGGTACCTGAGGTTTTTAGGTGGTGTGCACTAGAGTAAATATCACTGTATCAGGAGGTTGGTCCCCTTTTAATTATTATTTTTTGAGACAGGGTCTCACTGTTGGCCAGGTTGGAGTACACTGGTACAATCATAGCTTACTGCAGCTTCAACCTCCTGGGCTGAAGCATTCCTCCTGCCTCAGCCTCCCAAGTAGCTAGGACTATAGGCATGCACCACCACACTCAGCTATTTAAAAAAATTTTTTTTTTTTTTTTTGTATGGAGATGAGGGGGGGTCTCACTATGTTGCTAGGGCTGGCCTTGAACTCCTGGCCTTGAACAATCTTCCTAGCTAGGCTTCCCAAAGTGCTAAGATTACAGGCATGAGCACCACACCCAGCCTAATTGTTTTTTAATCTTTCTGACTACAAATTGAGAAGCTCTCAGTTTGGTTTTGTTGGGGTTTTTTTATTTTTTTATTTTTTTTGAGACGGAGTCTCGCTCTGTTGCCCAGGCTGGAGTGCTGGAGTACAGTGGCACGATCTCGGCTCACTGCAAGCTCCGCCTCCTGGGTTCACTCCATTCTCCTGCCTCAGCCTCCCGAGTAGCTGGGACTACAGGCGCCTGCCACTACGCCCGGCTAATTTTTTGTATTTTTTAGTAGAGACGGGGTTTCACTGTGTTAGCCAGGATGGTCTCGATCTCCTGACCTTGTGATCCGCCCGCCTTTGCCTCCCAGAGTGCTGGGATTATAGGTGTGAGCCACCGCGCCTGGCCAGCTCTCAGTTTGGTTTTAAAAAAAGGACTTCTTGGGCAGGTTGCAGTGGCTCACACACACACCTGTAATCTCAGCACTTTGGGAGGCTGAGGCAGGTGGATCACCTGAGGTTGAGAGTTCGAGACCAGGCTGACCAACATGGAGAAACCCTGTCTCTACTAAAAATGCAAAATTAGCCAGGCGTGGTGGCACATGCCTGTAATCCCAGCTACTTGGGAGGCTGAGGCAGGAGAATTGCTTGAACCTGGGAGGTGGAGGTTGTGGTGAGCCGAGATTGCTCATGGCACTCGAGCCTGGGCACCAAGAGTGAAACTCTCTCTCAAAAAAAAAAAAAAAAAGTACTTCTCTAACACTTCTCATCTCCATTTTTAGAAAAGAGTCAGAAAGTGGATCTCAGGTCAGGGCCTCCTTCAGGCAACAACATCTAGGCAAGATTTAATGACGTTTCATTTTCACTACTTACTTATTTACTTTATTTATTTATTTAGTCTCGCCCTGTCGCCCAGGCTGGCATGCAGTGGCACAATCTCCGCTCACTGCAACCTCTGCCTCCTGGGTTCAAGCAATTCTCCTGCCTCAATCTCCCGAGTAGCTGGGATTACAGGCGCCTACCACCACATCCGGCTAATTTTTGTATTTTTAGTAGTGTCGGGGTTTCACCGTGTTGGCCAGGCTGGTCTTGAACTCCTGACCTCAGGTGATCTGCCCACCTCAGCCTCCCAAAGTGCGGGGATTACAGGTGTGAGCCACCGTGCCTCACCTTTTATTTTTATGGCTAGCTTCTCTCGGTGGCAAGTGAGACTTTCCACGTACGGTAGTGCTATGAAGTTGTCTTTTAAAATTACTTAAAGGATGGGCACAGTGGCTCATACCTGTAATCCCAGTACTTTGGGAGGCTGAGGCAGGAGAACAGCTTAAGGCCAGGAGTTCGAGACCAGCCTGGGCAACATGGCAAGACCCTGTCTCTAAAAAAAAGAAAAAGAAAAAGAAAAAGAATTAGTTGGGCACTTGTGGTCCCAGCTACTCAGGAGGCTGAGGCAGAGAATCATGTGAGCCCACGAGTTCAAGGCTGCAGTGAGCTATGATCACGCCACTGCACTCCAGCCTAGGCGACAGAGCAAGACTCCGTCTCGATAAACTTATTTAAGAAAAAAAATAGGTTCGGCTGGGCGTAGTGGCTCACACCTGTAATCCCAACACTTTGGGAGGCTGAGGCGGCAGATCACTTGAGGTCAGGAGTTCAAGACCAGCCTGGCCAACAGTGAAACCCCATCTCTACTGAAAATGCAAAAGTTAGCCAGGCATGGTGGTGGGCACCTGTAATCCTAGCTACTCAGGAGGCTGAGGCGGGAGGATTGCTTGAACCTAGGAGGTGGAGGTTGCAGTGAGCTGAGATTGCACCACTGCACTCCAGCCTGGGCAACAGAGCAAGACTCTGTCTCAAAAAAGAAAAAAAAAAAGATAAAGAAAAAAAAATAGGTTCATTTAAAGAAAAATGTTAAGAAGAAAAGGACACAAGTGGCATTTTTAGATAGGACAAGAATCAGGGAGGTATTGGAATGACTGAGGTTTGGAAAACACTGAACAAGATGATCACGAAGTTCCCCGCCTCCCAGGTCTGAGAACCTGAATATGGATTAACCTATAATGCCAAGCCAACAGGTTTAAAAGGAGAGTTAACCAGTGTTAGATGTTAAAGGCACCCTAACACCAAATCCAGATCTTTCTCTCACATTTGTTCTGTGGAACTGACAATACTCTAGCCACTCCTGGTCAGTTAGGTTTGCTTACTCTGTCCTCTTGAAGATTCACAGTGTATATCACTATTAGGGATTAAATACTTTAACAATAAAGAAACTTATTGTATTCTCATTTAACTCTGCATTCTCAAAACATATTGCCTGCAAAACCTTTATTTAGAAACAGCTATTAACATTCCAGGGAACTAGTTTTCTGCAGGACACACTTTAGGACACCAGTTTTCTTCAGGACACACTGGTCTATATAATAAGCCTTTATGTTCATCTAGTTTACATTTTGTATCCATTATCTCATTGACCTTGTAACATGCAGCCAGATGGGTGATAATGACAGTAGTTCCATTACCCAAGCATTTACCCTGTGCCTCCTGTTGTACCAAGCACTCTTTACATCTGTGATTTCATTTAATCATCACAACAGCACTGCAAGGAAGGTCCTTATCTCTGACAGCTGAGGAAGCAGGCTCAAAGAGGGGGAAAAGGGCTCAAAGACTTGCCGTAAGTCACACAGCTGGAAAACAGCCCAGCTGGGATTTAAACTCAGGTTGATCTGATTCCAAAGCCTGTGCTCTTCACCCCCACAAGTTGAGTGGGGAATTAGGGTCCCCATTGTACACAGGAGGTGCCTTGCTTCTCCAGACACAGGCCGGGGCATACTTGGCCATCCTGCTCTATCTTGTCATCCCTTCCCATCCAGGTACCCACAGTCACCCCCATTCCTCTCAGCCTCTGAACTATTCCTTGGTGTCCCCTTCCAGTGTATGAACCCAGAGTTCTGAGACCTTTGCCACTTCAGACTTCATCATTGGCCACACGTGGTGGTGCACAGCTGTAGTCCTAGCTACTTGGGAGGCTGAGGTGGGAGGATAGCTTGAGCCCAGTTGGAGGTTGTAGTGAGTTATGACTGCACCACTGCACTCCAGCCTGAGTGACAGAACGAGACCCTGTCTCAAAATTTTTTTTTTTTTTTTTTTTTTTTTTTGAGACGGAGTCTCGCTCTGTTGCCCAGGCCGGACTGCAGTGGCTCGATCTCGGCTCACTGCAAACTCTGCCTCCTGGGTTCACGCCATTCTCCTGCCTCAGCCTCCCAAGTAACTGGGACTACAGGCGCCTGCCACCATGCCCGGCTATTTTTTTGTATTTTTAGTAGAGACGGGGTTTCACCGTGTTATCCAGGATGGTCTCGTGACCTCGTGATCCGCCCGCCTCGGCTTCCCAAAGTGCTGGGATTACAGGCGTGAGCCACCACGCCCGGCCTCAAAAATTTTTTTAAAAGACTCAATAATCGGAGTCGGTCCCTGCTGAAATTGGAGTAGTCACCCCATGGGTGTGGCCCTTGCTTACTAACAGCAACAGAAAAGGGTGGAGAGGCCCAGATGTGGGACTGGGCTCCAGGCCCCCTCCTGCTGAGTCAGAGGTGGAGAAGGGTGGTGAAGAGGAGGGGAGTGAGAGATGGAGAGCTGCCACTGACAGGAGTGGCCAGCTCAGCTGGCTTTCAGGCCTGGCCTGAAAAGGGACTGGAGCAGGAGTCGCTGTGGGCATTAAAGGAGCAGACCTCATTCTCCAAGTCAGTCTCTCAACAGCAAGGAAAACAGCAAGGGACTCCAAGGTCCTCCCCAACATTGCTCTTCATCCTAACCTCCACCAACCCTCTAAGTCTAGCCCTTAGGGACAAGGTCGGGTGCTTGAGAACTGATTGACCTGTGCGTTATAAGGACACAGCAGGCCCTAGATGACAAACATTTTCAACCCAAAGTTAAATAATGATGACATAGCTACCATTTCATTGACCACGTCATAATGCCAGGCACACTGCTAAGGGCTTTTTGTCCATTGTCTCATTTAACTCCTGCTGTAATCTTCTGCATTTTCCCCATTGCTATAATGAGGAAACGGAAGATGACCAAGGTTAAACAACTCACCCAGAGTCAAACAACTGGAAATAAGTGGGAGTCAAGATTGGTCTGGATCGAAAGCCTATTTCCTTAACTACCAGCCCATGCAACTTGGATCTCAAGTTTGACCCAGATAACATCTGTCTCTCTGTATCTCACATCTTGCTACAATTTGCAAAAACCTTGTGGGCTGGGTGGGGAAGTGCACACACCAGTTCTCTTAGTCTCAAAACCAGGTTAAGAGGAAGGTCCTTAATCCCCACTTCAGTCAGTCTCAAGGAAACTAAGTCTTGTGTGAGGATTTGCTCAAGTTACATCCCCTTTCTGACCTCAGTTTCCCCATTTGTAAACAAGGTAACCATTTATAACTACATAGACCCCTCAGGAAGTTGGGGTCTTCCCTACTTGCTCCTAGCCATACTTCTGGACTCACAGCCCAGGGGTTCTAGACCCTCACTCACCACGTACTTGGAGGGCGGGTCCTTGACAACGTTAGCGCTGGTCACTTCGAAGAGCAGCCGCTGGGGTGCCAAGGTGTTCCGGGACTTCTTCCAGAAATCCTGCAGCTGCCGCGCCAGGAGCTGACTGCCCCACTGCCCATCAGGTGGGGGGCTCCGTTCTGCAGACACATGACCAGTCATATCAATGGGCCTAGGGCCAGGGTCGACATCAACCACTGACGTGGCCTCACTCATCCTCCCAGTGTGAGGCAGGACTTACCCCCTTTTTACAGAAATGGAAACTGAGGGACAGAGAGGCACCGAGGAGCCAAACACCGTGCCTGGCAGACAGTAGGGGCTAAATTAATAGCTCCACCCTCAAAATATCGTTAATACATCATTTCCATTCGGATCCCAAGCCCTGTACATTTAATGCCTGCAGCAATTCTGAGATGAGAGTGAGTTCTCCCACTTGACACAAGGGAAAACTTGGCTCAGAGGGGGGTTAAGACTCTCTCAAGGTCACACAGCCAAGAGGTGGCCCAGGCGCTTTAAGAAGTGTGGGAGTTTCAGCTGGATCAACTTAGCGCCCTGGATGCTCTGGGAACGCGGCTGGGATGGAGGCCTAATCGAGCCCCAGGGTTCCCGCCTCCGTCCTCCTGCACTCGCCTGCGTCTTCTCCTGACGTCCCATCCCCGAGGGGCAGCTGGTCAGGGCCAGCCTCCTCGTCGTCCTCGTCCTCGTCGTCCTCGTCGTCCTCGGCGCTGGTGAAGCTGAGGGTGCCGCTGAGTCGGGAGGACAGGCCCTCGGCGTCGTCGTCCTCCAGCTCTGAGCTCTCCGGAAACTGCTCGGCCTCTGGACTGGCCGCCGCCTCCCCGGGGCCGTCGCCGGCCAAGGCGTGCCGCAGCCGGTGCAGGAGCCGGGAGGCCATGGCACCCTGGGGGGAGCGCGCGACGCTGTGTACCGGATCCCGGAGGAGGGGTACCCCAGCCCGGCGCAGGAGGAGGAGGGGCGGGGCCCGAACCGGAGAGGGAGGGGCGCGGTGAGGCCCCACCCCCTGGCAGTCCGAGGTCTTGCGAACCAGGGGACCCAGCCAGCATCGCTTTCCCCCCAACCCACTCAGCCTAGGACCGCGTTCCTCCCCGGAGGGGCTCAGGACCCTCCCGATGTCTCTTGCGCCGCCTCGTGCGCCTCTACCTCCTGCGTCCCACGGTGCATTCAGGGGCGCGCCGCGCCCCAGGGGTCCGGGTGCAGCCCCCCGCAGCCCATGGAGGTCGGCCGGGTTCTGCAGGGCTCCGCCGGGCTCAGGCCGCTCAGAGCGCCGCTCGGGCAGCTTCCTGCCGCCGCCCCGCCTCCTGCCCCGCCCGCTCGCCCGAGCCGCCCGAGAATCCCGGGCCCTTGGCTCCAGGAGGGACTTGGGAAGCCTGGGTCGGCCTGAGGGAGTCCCAGGCCTGCCGCAGAGTCATCCCAGTCCGGCCAGGCGCGTACCCTCCTTGAATCCTCCCACCCCACCCACGTCATCTCCAATCTGTCCCACTCATTTCCACCCAACGCTCTTTAACTTCACAAAGTAATTATGCAATAGTAGGGAGGCCATGTCTCCCGAGAGAAAACGAAGGGCCAGGAGAAGATGCGTGATTTGGGTTGGTTGGAATCTGACCTCGCTGAGCCTAGGTTTTCTCATATGTAAAACAGGAACAATACTGCTAAAACTAATTTTGCAGCTCTTGTAAGAACGCTCGTCCCGTGCCTGGCATAGAGCAAAGGCTGACGAAATGATCACTT
Source organism: Homo sapiens (assembly GCF_000001405.40). Lineage (NCBI taxonomy): Eukaryota > Metazoa > Chordata > Mammalia > Primates > Hominidae > Homo > Homo sapiens. The sequence goes on along the minus strand of NC_000020.11, from coordinate 45,833,352 downwards.
ACATAATGATTATTGTTTCTACAGTGTTCACAGGCTTGCACAATCTGATTTGAACCTCACACATGGGAAGTAGGCAAACAGGGAAACTGAGGACCAGAGAGGGTGAGTTACTTGGCTTAACCACACAGCTTGCCAGAGGTTTCTTTCTTTCTTTCTCTCTCTCTCTTTCTTTCTTTCTCTCTCTCTCTTTCTTTCTTTCTTTCTCTTTTGAGATGGAGTCTCACTCTGTCACCTAGGCTGGAGTGCAGTGGCACCATCTCTGCTTACTGCAACCTCCGCCTCCCTGGGCTCAGGTCATCCCTCCCACCTCAGCCTCCCCAGTAGCTAGGAATAGAGGCGTTCGCCACCACACCCAGCTAATTTTTGTATTTTTTGTAGAGATGGGATTTGGCCATGTTGCCCAGGCTGGTCTCGAATTCCTGGGCTCAAGTGATCCACCTGCCTCTGCCTCCCTCAGAGGTTTCTGAGTATGGGGCCTGGAGCCCAGGTCCCCTGCTGCATACTGCCCTTTTCCTGTGCAGCAGGCCTGATAATCTCAGTGGCTCCCCAGCTTTGTTTTATCTTTTATCCGCAGGGCAGCTGCAGGTCAAGAAAAAGTTATTGTGGCTTCCTGTCACAAAGCCTAGGTATCAGTTGTTAGGGCAGATTTTGATAGTTATACAATACAATAAATAAAATCAAAATCTCTCCAAAGTAGCTCCTACCCTTTCTGAGTGGCACAGGAGAGAAGGGTGGGGGAAAATGCCTTGGGATAAGCAGAAGGTATTTCAGCTCCCTGCCCTCCCATGTGAGCAGAAAGGCTGGGGTTCTTATTTTCTGAGGGTCCACTTTCTACATCCTGCTCTAGGCACTTTACTGTCACATCTCTCCCTCACAGCGTCCTGGGGAAGAGGCTGTAACTGGACATTAATGGTCCATTTTCAAGATGAAGAAACTGAGGCAAAGTGACTTCCCCAAGATCCACATCTGGGAAATAGAGGGGCTGGGATTTTAAGCCTAAGTTTGTGCAATTTTATTTATTTATTTATTTATTTTTAGAGAGGGAGACAGAGTCTTGCTCTGTCGCCCAGGCTGGAGTACAGTGATGCAATCTTGGCTCACTGTAACCTCTGCCTCCCAGGTTCAAGCAATTCTCCTGCCTCAGCCTCCTGAGTGGCTGGGACTACAGGCATGTGCCACCATGCGGCTAATTTTTGTATTTTTAGTAGAGGTGGGGTTTCACCATATTGGCCAGGCTGATCTGGAACACCTGGCCTCAAGTGATCCACCTGCCTCTACCTCCCAAAGTGCTGGGATTACAGGCGTGAGCCACTGTGCCTGGCCAGTTTGCACAATTTCAAACCTCGAATTACTCTTCATTTGGCTTATGGGCAAGATATTGGGACAAAAAAGGCATACTTCATTCATTAATTCAACACTCACTCATTCACCAACCATTGGTTAAAAAATAACTTGTCCTTCGGTATATGCCTTACATGTCTGGGCACAAAGCTGGTCTTCATGAAACCATGGGTTGTTAGAGCAGGAGGGCCCCTCAGAAATCTGGCCTATCACCTCCATTTTACAGATAGGTAGTCTGAGGCTTAGTGAGGGGAAGGGCTTATGCTGGGTCATATAAACAGTCAGAACTAGGAGATCTGAAGGTTGCGCATTCTCCACTATTATTATTTCTTCTTCTTTTTGCTTCCTTCTTCCTCCTCCTGCTTCTTCTTCCTTTTTTATTTATTTTTATTTATTTTATTTTTTTTGAGACAGAGTCTTACTCCATCACCCAGGCTGGAGTCCAATGGCACACTCTTGGCTCACTACAACCTCCATCTCCTGGGTTCAAGCGATTTTCCTGCCTCAAGTAATCCCAAGTAGCTGGAATTACAAGTAATCCCAAGTAGCTGGAATTACAGGCATGTGCCACCACACCCGGCTAATTTTTGTATTTTTAGTAGAGATGGGGTTTCACCATGTTGGCCAGGCTGGTCTCGAACTGCTGACCTCAAATGATCCACCTGCCTCAGCCTCCCAAAGTGCTGGGATTAGAGACATGAGCCACCGTGCCCGGCCTCTTCTTTCAGAGACAGAGTCTCACTCTGTTGTGAGGCTGGAGTGCAGGGGTGCGATCATAGCTCACTGCAGCCTCAAACTCCTGGGCTCAAGTGATTCTCCCACCTCAGCCTCCCAAGTATCTGGGACTACAGATATGTGCCCACCATGCCTGGCTAGTATTTTATTTTTTGTAAAGGTGGGGTTGCATGTTGCCCAGGCTGATCTTGAACTCTTGGCCTGAAGAGATCCTCCTACCTCTGCCTCCCAATGTGCTGGGATTACAAGTATGAGCTACCACCCACCATTCTTTGTTTTATTTTAATTTTTTAATTGGAGACAGCGTCTCGCCATGTTGCCCAGGCTGGTATTGAACTCCTGGGCTCAAGAGATCCACCTGCCTCAGCTTCCCAATGTGCTAGGATTAAAAGTGTGAGCCACTGCCCCCATTCTTAAATTCTGTATGGATATCTCCCTACAGCCTCCCTGAGAAATGGTCATCTAGCTCCTGTTTGGGTATACTCAGTGATACGGAGCTCATTACCTCCTGAGGCCACCTGTTCCCATTATTGTTCAACTATGACTATTAGGAAGTTCCCCCTTATATTGAACTAAATACCATCCAGTTCAGTTATTCTTATGTAGAATATAATATCTGTTGAACACCTGCTACATAGCAAGTGCTGAGCACTGGGAAATGTGATGATCTGTAGAACATAGAATGGGTTGTGAGCATAAGGTATGCTCAGTGCTATGATTGAGGAAACTACTAGAGACCACCTTGGACTCCCTGGTCTGGACACAGTGGGGGAAGGATCCCCGAGGAAGTGATGTTAGAGCTTAGAAAGATGATAGGGAAGTAGACAGATGAAGAGAGGAAAGATGGGAGTTTCTGGCAGAAAAAAACAGCATGTGCAAAGGCTTGAAGGTTCATAGAAGGTGGTGTTTAGAGTAGTCTTTTTTTTTTTTTTTTTTTTTTTGAGATGCAGTCTCCTTTTGTCGCCCAGGCTGGAGAGCAGTGGCATGATCTTGGCTCAGTGCAACCTTCGCCTGCCAGGTTCAAGTGATTCTTCTGCCTCAGCTTCCCAAGTAGCTGGGACTACAGGCGCCCACCACCACACCCAGCAGCAATTTTTTGTATTTTTAGTAGAGACAGGGTTTCACCATGCTGGCCAGGATGGTCTCGAACTCCTGACCTCGTGATCTGCCAGCCTGCACCTCCCAAAATGCTGGGATTACAGGCATGAGCCACCGTGCCCAGCCTAGAGCAGTATTTTAAAGTCTGATCAGAGCAGACAGCAACATGATGTGGAGGGAAGGAGTGAGATTAGAAGGGCCAATGGGACCTTGCTTGGCTACATTAAGCAATTTGGGCCTTACCTAATCCCTTGAATAAACAAAAGAACAAAGGCTGGGCTCAGGGGCTCATGCCTGTAATCCTAGCACTTTAGGAGGCTGAGGCAGGCGGATCACTTGAGGTCAGGAGTTTGAGACCAGCCTGGCCAACATGATGAAACTTTTTTTTTTTTTGAGACGGGGTCTTGCTCTGTTGCCCAGGCTGGAGTGCAGTGGTGTGATCTCGGCTCACTGCAAGCTCTGCCTCCCAGGTTCACACCATTCTCCTGCCTCAGCCTCAGCCTCCCAAGTAGCTGGGACTACAGGCGCCCACCACCATGCCCGGCTAATTTTTTTGTATTTTTAGTAGAGATGGGGTTTCACTGTGTTAGCCAGGATGGTCTCGATCTCCTGACCTCGTGATCCGCCCATCTCAGCCTCCCAAAGTGGTGGGATTACAGGCCTGAGCCACCGTGCCCGGTCGATGAAACCTTGTCTCTACAAAAAGTAAAAAATTTGCCGGGTGTGGTAGCTCACACCTGTAATCCCAGTGCTTTGGGAGGCTGAGGTGGGCGGATCACCTGAGGTTGGGAGTTTGAGACCAGCTTGACCAACATGGAGAAACCCTGTCTCTACTAAAAATACAAAATTAGCCGGGCATGGTGGCTCATGCCTGTAATTCCGGCTACTCGGGAGGCTGAGGCAGGAGAATTGCTTGAACCCAAGAGGCGGAGGTTGTGGTGAGCCGAGATTGCACCATTGTACTCCAGCCTGGGCAACAAGAGCAAAACTCTGTCTCAAAAAAAAAAAAAAAAAAAAACCAAAAACAAAAATTAGCTGGGCGTAGTGGTATGTGCCTGTAATCCTAGCTACTCAGAAGGCTGAGGCATGAGAATCACTTGAACCTAGGAGGCGGAGGGTGCAGTGAGCCGAGATTGTGCCACTGCATTCCAGCCTGGGTGACAGAGTGAGAGTCTGTCTCAAAAACAAAACCCCAAAAAACCAAAAAACAATAAAAACTAAATTGGAATCCCATGGGTCTCCCTCACCCTTTGGCACCCTGCCTGCCTGGGGGAGGCCTTATTTAGCTTGGCCCAGCCCTGCTGAGCTTTCCTTGGGAATGTCTATATATAGGGGAAGGGGGCAGCCCAGTTGCCACTGTCCATCTGCATTCCTTGGTGTCCAGCCCCCCTTTCCTGGCCCCAGAGCCTGCTATCGGTTGTCTTGGTGCTCTTTCTGTCCACGTAGCCACTGTCTACAAGCCTTGCCTACTCCCCAGTGCCCAGCCTGCACCTTGTGGATTCTCAGGTTGGGCTCCCTCTGGACTTGGTCTGCCCACCCCTTTACTCCCCAGATGACCAGATTTCTTCACTGAGCTCTAGGAAGGGGCCAGCTGTCCTTTTACCACTTAAAGAACCTTCCCCTGCCTACTCCTTACTTCAAAAAAAGTGAATCCAAACACCCTTTCCCTGGAGAAGGTAACTTTCAGAGAAGGATCTTTGCTTTCAATGATTATTTCTCCTCCAAATGCACATCCTCCTCTCCTCCATCCCTCCATACATTTTTCCATCTGGACAGGTGCCCCAAGGACTGTCTGTCCCAACTTCCCTCCAGTCAGGATTAATAATAAGAATCATCAACATGGGTGGGCATGGTGCCTCATGACTGTAATTCTAGCACTTTGGGAAACCAAGGTGGAAGGATCCCCTGAGCCTAGGAGTTCGAGACCAGCCTGGGCAACATGGTGAAACCCCATCTCTATAAAAATACAAAAAAAAAAAAAGCCAGGGGTGGTGGTGCACCTCTAGTCCCAGCTACTCGGGAGGCTGAAGTGGGAGGATCACTTGAGCCCAGGAGATAGAGGCTGCAGTGAGCTATAATAGCACCACTGCACATCAGCCTTGGTGACAGAGTGAGTATAGACCTTTATAATTTACAAAGCTCTGCAGTCAAGTGGGGATAATCGTTGCTACCTCATAGGAGGAGCACTAGATGAGATCATGTTAAAATGCTTAGCACAGTGTGTGGCACGTCATGGGGTTCAGTAAACAGTGGCCTACCTGTCACTTTCTCCTCCTATCCCCTGCCCCTTACCATGGTTCAAAGACGGGACATTCCTCTTGCCAAGCACCAACGCTGTGTACCCAGCACAAGCTAGGTGACTTATACCCGGGTTCCCATTTACCATGGTCTCTCTGTGAGGGAGACCCCACAGACAGGTCCAATCCCACAGATGAAGAAATGGCTCAGAGAGGCACTGCTACCGGCCCAAGGTCACACAACTCGCAGAGGCTGGCCTTGGATCTTGGGTTTTGGACTTCAAGGCTTGTACTCTCCCCATTTTACCATGCTGCCTCACCCTTTACTACTCTGATCATCCTTACCATCTTGGAGCCAGTGTGCTTCCTCGGTCGGGGGGACTCCAAGGCAGTGGAACAGGGCAGGCCTTCCTCACAAGAATCTAGGACGTCAAGGCCTGCCACCTGCTTGGAGGCTTAAATTTCTCTGCAAGGGCCCTTGGCTAAATTAGGTAATGGGTTCAGACTGTGGGAGGGGTGGGACTCGCTGACCCCAGGATCTGATTGGGCAGGGTCTCCAGTGCTGGGGAGCAGGGAGGTGGGAGGGGAGGGTGCCCCTACAAATCCCGGGGGCTAGAGCAGGCCAGGTCATCTTTGGGTGGTGGAGTGCAAAGGAGGCGACCTGCAACAGAGGAGTCCCGGTCACCAGCAACCATGGTAAGGACAAGAGGGGACTTTGTGCCTTTACTCACGGGAGCACTCTGGACCCCTTTCAGGCCAGGCCTGGGTGCTCTGTGGGGCAGTAACTTGGATGTTTGAGGTTGGAGCATGGAGGTTCCTGGAACCCAGGTGTCTTGGAGGAAGGCCTTTGACTTTTCTTGAAAGGGGAGGGCTGGGATATTCCAGAGATTGATCCTTAAGGCTTGCTGACTGCCTACTCACTTCTGGAAACTTCCAGCAGTGTCATTCATAGACCTGTGAAGAGCTCTTAGCTTGTTTCCTTCACACAGTGGGGACTCTGAGGGGTCAGAGTGAGTCACCCAGCAGGCCAGTGGCAGGGGTGAGCCAGAAGCCTGGCCAAACCCTCCTATCATCATGGAGAGAAGAAAGCCTCCTCCAGAAGACGGGAGGCCGGCAGGGCGTGGGGCCTGCTCAGATGCAGGGCTCTGGGAGCCCTGAGGATGATGGGAAGGGGCAGAAGATGACAGACCAGAGTTAGAGAGACTCCGCTCTCCTAGAGAGGGCTTCTGATTTGGAGCTGTTGTTTTGGTCTGAGATCCCCCTCCCCACTTCACTTCAAGGAGTAACTAGATCCCAGAGGCCAGCTGCTGTTGCCCATGCCTGACTAAAAATAGCCTGCCCTCCTGGCATAGGGAAAGAGGAGGAGAGGAAGGAGGGGGAGAAGGAGGAGCACTGGTGGCCAGCTGGCTGAAGAGCTCCTTGGAAGCCTCACCCTGTCCTCACTGCCAGCCTCAATCCAAAGCCTCTGACCCAGATGGCCTGGCTTGGATATGACGTGGAAACCCCTGCAGAAATCTCACTTTCATGTCAAGGCCTCCATCACATTCGGCCCCCCATGAGGGGCCTTTTCTCCAATGACTGAATCCTAAGAAGGAAGCTGACAGCCTCCGACTCTGCCAGTTCTCTGAGGGGCGGGATGATGTGTCTTTTATCTCTTCTTTGTGGTTCCAGTGCCTGATCTGTGGCCTGACATGCAGCAAGTACTCAATAACTTTGTGTTGCATTATTATTTATTTGAGAACAAACATTTTATTGAGCAACTATTAAAGTACCGGGCACCATTAGGAGCTGCAGAAAACTGGAAAATAGTGCTGGAATGGTGCTAGCCCTTTACAAAGCCCTTTCACACCCCTGATATCTCATCCCTGAAAAGCTACAGAGAAAAGATGAAGGCACGCTAATTGACGTGCCTAAGGTCACTGGGGGGTGGGGGGGGTTCCCGACTTGGCCTTCAATTGACAAGTGAGAAGGCCTTGGGCTTAACTTGTTGTCTCCTCTCTTTTGCTCAAAACTGGGGTCACAGGCTGCGCGCGGTGGCTCACGCCTGTAATCCCATCACTTTGGGAAGCTGAGGCAGGCAGATCGCCTAAGGTAGGGGGTTCGAGACCAGCCTGACCAACATGGAGAAACCTCATCTCTACTAAAAATACAAAATTAGCCGGGCGTTGTGGTGCATGCCTGTAATCCCAGCTACTCGGGAGGCTGAGGGAGAAGAATCGCTTGAACCCCGGAGGTGGGGGTTGCGGTTGTGGCGAGCTGAGATCGTGCCATTACACTGCAGCCTAGGCAACAAGAGCAAAACTCCGTCTCAAAACAAAACAAAACAAACAAACAAAAAAAACTGGGGTCAGGCCGGGCATGGTGGCTCACGCCTGTAATCCCAGCACTTTGGGAAGCCGAGGTGGGCGGATCACCTGATGTGAGGAGTTCAAGACCAGCCTGGCCAACATGGTAAAACCTCGTCTCTACTAAAAATACAAAAATTAGCTGGGCGTGTTGGCGCATGCCTGTAATCCCAGCTACTCGAGAGGCTGAGGGAGGAGAATCGCTTGAACCCAGGAGGTGGAGGTTGCAGTGAGCCGAGATCACGCCATTGCACTCCAGCCTGGGCGACAGGGCGAGACTGTCACAAAAACAAAAAGCAAAAACAAAAACTGGGGTCAGAAGCTGGGCACAGTGGCTCAAGCCTGTAATCCTAGCACTTTGGGAGGCCGAGGTGGCAGGATCACTTGAACCCAGGAGTTCAAAACCAGCCTGGGTAATATAGTGGGACCCCATCTCTACAAAAAATTTTAAAAATTAGGCGTGGTGTATGCTATAGTCCCAGCTACTCAGGAGGCTGAAGTGGGACGATTGCTTGAGCCCAGGAGGTTGAGGCTGCAGTGAGCTATGATCACACTACTGCACTCCAGCATGTGTGACAGAACGAGACAAAACAAAACTGTGATTGGGTGCTGTGCGGGCACACAATTATGTGACAAGTTTGAAGTTGTTCTTCTGGAGAACCAAGGGCGCTGACAGAGTGGGGGTTGGGAAGAATGGCTTTGAGGTGAGGAACTGCTCTGGGGCTGCCTCTTCAGCTCAGACTTTCTCTGTGTCTCCTGCAGACGGACCAGCAGGCTGAGGCCAGGTCCTACCTCAGCGAAGAGATGATCGCTGGTGAGTGAGGCGCGGCAGGCTGGGGGCTGGGTGGATGTATGCTGGGGACATGTTGGCCTCTAGGCAGGGTGGGGGTTGGGGGGGGGTAGGTGTGAGGCTGACAGTCCAGCAGGCCTCACCTCTGCCCTCTGCCCTCCCTCGCAGAGTTCAAGGCTGCCTTTGACATGTTTGATGCTGATGGTGGTGGGGACATCAGCGTCAAGGAGTTGGGCACGGTGATGAGGATGCTGGGCCAGACACCCACCAAGGAGGAGCTGGACGCCATCATCGAGGAGGTGGATGAGGACGGTGAGCGGGTGTCCCTCGGAGGCAGGGGATGGTGGGGAGAGGCGGCAGCGGCTGGGCTCAGGCTCAGTCTGCCACCTGCTGCCCGCAGGCAGCGGCACCATCGACTTCGAGGAGTTCTTGGTCATGATGGTGCGCCAGATGAAAGAGGACGCGAAAGGGAAGAGCGAGGAGGAGCTGGCCGAGTGCTTCCGCATCTTCGACAGGTGCGCTGGGGGCCCGGGAGCCGAGGGAGGGGCTTAGCAGTCAGAACCCGGCCGGCAGCGCTGGAAGCTTCCCCGTGTTGGGAGTGCGGAAGCGGGGCGTCGAGTGTGGTGGCCAGGGCAGCTCGCCCCGGCCCTGAGCCCTGCCCTGTCCCTCGGACCTGAAGGAATGCAGACGGCTACATCGACCCGGAGGAGCTGGCTGAGATTTTCAGGGCCTCCGGGGAGCACGTGACGGACGAGGAGATCGAATCTCTGATGAAAGACGGCGACAAGAACAACGACGGCCGCATTGACTTCGACGGTGAGGGCCAACGGGAGCTTGGGAAGAGCGGGTGGGAGCCCCAGAGGACGGCGGGCACTGGTGCCTGGCTCCGGTGCAGTGTCCTTGGCCTTGTGGGCTGGGCTGGGCGTAACTTCACCAAGTTCCCCATAGTCTCCTGGGGGCAGGTATAGAAGCGCTCCACGACTCTGTGCAGTTTATCAATTAATGACCAGGCAGGGGGGCGTGGTGGCTCAGGACTGTAAAATCCTAGAACTTTGGGAGGATGAGGTGGGAGGATTGCTTGAGGCCAAGAGTTCGAGACCAGCCTGGGCAACATAGTGAGACCCTGTCTTTACAAAAAATAAAATAAAATAAAAAGGCAGGTGTGGTGGCACACCTGTGGTCCCAGTTGCTCCGGGGGCTGAGGTAAGAGGATCGCTTGAGCCTAGGAGATCAAGGCTGCAATGAGTTATGATTGTGCCACTGCACTCTAGCCTGGGTGACAGACCTTGGCGACCTTGGCAACAGAGTGAGACTCTGTCTCAACAAAAACAAAAACAAAAAGTCATCCCCTCTGTGTGGCTGGAGCCCTGGCCTGGCCTCTGCGTCCCCAGTGGGACCCCTGACCCTCTCCCTCTCCTTTCCCTCAGAGTTCCTGAAGATGATGGAGGGCGTGCAGTAAGGAGTGGACAGTCGCCTCTACCAAGATCGCGTGTCCCTAGGGTGTGGGAGACTCCGCCCTGCCGGGTCCCCACCAGGGAGGCGCGACCCCTTGTGGGTCTTTGTCTGGAAGGAATAAAAGCAAATGTTCCAAAACTCGTGGCCTGAATGAGGGGAGAGCCGAGGACAGCAGGTCGCAAGGGCTGTGGTCCAGGGCGCCATCCCGGCTGGCACCACCCGGAGCACCCTTGGGGATCCCCGGGAGAGGCTGTCTGAGCGGCGGGATGTGGAAGGGAGCTGGGCCCTGGAGCCCGAGGCGGCGGCTGCGAGTGCTCGATGGCGCTGACTCGCTCTGCAGGTTTGCAGCCGGCTCCTGACAGCTGGCGCTGGGCGTGCACAGCTTGGCGGACAGGCAGTGGTGGCTCCAGGAGGCTGCAGGGGCTTGGAGTTGAGTCAGGGTGAGCCGGCGGACTGCGGAGGGGTCCTGAGACGGCAGGTAGGGTGAGGGGGTGGGAGAGGCTAGAACCCTGGGGAGCCGGGAAGCTCCCTCACTTCCCCACCATCCTTTTCTGGAACGTTTGCGTCTTAGATGTTGTCGTAGCTGCCACCTTCTGCAGGCTCCCTAGCTGGGGAGAGGGGAAGTAGGTGCCCATCCATGCCAGGCAGCATTGTTTCTGCTCGACCTTTTACTTCTTCTGTTCTTCCAAGTGCTTACTCCTCAAATTGTACTGGTGGTTGTAGGGGAGGGTGGAGGCACCCACTAAGGAGATTCTGATCTCATCATTTGACCCCAGATCCCTGCCTCCACCTGGTCTCTGCCAGTGCGCTCTACAGAGGGCCATCAGCAGCAGCGAGCTAAAATATCTGACTTGGCCACTGCCCTGTTGAAAGTAGTTCAAGGCTCCTCACTGCTTCTACAATGAGATCCAAATTCCTTCCCTCCCTCCCTCCCTCCCTCTCTTTCTTCCCATAGTCCTCACAGGGCTGCAGCCACACTGGGCAATGTATTCCTGATATGGACCTGGGGTGCATTTTCAAGCCCTTGGTACTTTGCACATGCTGTTTGCCCTCCCTGGAATGCCCTTGTCCTTCTTATAAGCTGGCAGATTCTTCAACCTACAAGACCCAGCTCAACTACCATCTCCTCCCTTGAACCTTGCCCTCACTGGCTATTTGCTGCCATAGCAATTCGTATACAACAGGTATCAGATGGCAGCTAATTAAGTGTAGGGGTAGTTTAGCTTTAGAGACAGAATGCCTGTGTGTGAGTGCTCACTGCCTGTGACAAGCTAAACCACTCTGTGCCACAGTTTCCTCATCTGTAAAATGGGGATAGTGATAGTAAACACGGGGTTGTGAGAAGAAGTTAGTGTGTGCAAAGTGCTTACAGCAGTGCCTGGCACATAGCAAGCATTTTTTTTTTTAACAGAGTTTCGCTCTTGTCATCCAGGCTGGAGTGCAGTGGCGCGATCTCAGCTCACTGCAACCTCCGCCTCCTGGGTTCGAGCAATTCTTCTGCCTCAGCCTCCTGAGTAGCTGGGATTACCGGTGTCCACCACCATGCCTGGCTAATTTTTGTATTTTTAGTAGAGACCAGGTTTCGCCATGTTGGCCAGGCTGGTCTTGAACTCCTGATCTCAGGTGATCCGCCTGCCTCAGCCTCCCAAAGTGCTGGGATTACAGGCATGAGCCACCACATCTGGCCTTCTGTTTTGTTTTTTAAATGAGACAGGGTCTCGCTCTGTTGCCCAGGCTGGAGTGCAGTAGGTGATCACAGCTCACTGTAGCCTTGACCTCCCGGGCTCAAGCAATCCTCCTGTCTCAGCCTCCCGAGTAGCTGGGACTATAAATGGGTGACCCCTCCCCACTAGTTTTTGTTATTTTTAGCAGAGATGGGGTCTCACTATGTTGCCCAGGCTGGTCTCAAACTCTTGAGCTCAAAGAATCCTCTCACCTTGGCCTCCCAAAGTGTTGGGATTATAGGCATGAGCCATCGTGCCCAGCCTCTATTGTCACCTTACTCATTGCTTTAGTTCTTCCTCTCCATCTGTCTTTTTCTCTTCCTCTTTTGTCCTATTCATGTTTTTCTGTTTTTATTTCCAGCCAGGATCAGTGCTGGGGTTTGGTAATCATTACTATTTACTGAGTGCCTACTGTATACTATGTCTTACAGACATTGTCTCATTCACTCACATAACATCCCTAGAGGCAGATGTTGTTATCTCCATTTTACAGTTGGAAAACTAAGGCCTAGGGAGGTGAAGTACACAGGCACCCAGATAATAACCTAGGTAGTATCGCCATGTGCTATGTGGTGTGCACGGGAACAAGGCTCTTAATTCTGATGCCATCTACCTGTTATTGGTTCTACCTGGATGTCTTTTTTTTTTTTTTTTTGAAATATATACATATTTTAAAATAGAGATGGAGGCTGGGTGCTGTGGCTCATGCCTGTAATCCCAGCACTTTGGAAGCCGAGGCAGGCGGATCACTTGAGGCCAGGAGTTTGAGACCAGCCTGGCCAACATGGAAAAACCTCCTCTGTACTAAGAATGTAAAAATTAGCCAGACACATGCCTGTAATCTTAGCTACTTGGGAGGCTGAGGCAGGAGAATCGCTGGAACCCAAGAGGTGGAAGTTGCAGTGAGCCAAGATTGCGCCACTGCACTCCAGCTTGGGTGACAGAGTGAGACTCTGTCTTAAAAAATAACATAAGCCAGGCGTGGTGGCTCATGCCTGTAAACTTAGCACTTTGGGAGGCCAAAGCGGGTGGATCACCTGAGGTCGGGAGTTTGAGACCAGCCTGACCAACATGGAGAAACCCCGTCTCTACCAAAAATACAAAATTAGCCAGGTGTGGTGGCACATGTCTGTAATTCCAGCTACTTGGGAGGCTGAGGCAGGAGAATCGCTTGAATGCGGGAGCCAGAGGTTGCAGTGAGCAGAGATCGTAGCATTGCACTCTAGCCTGGGCAACAAGAGTGAAACTCCGTCTCAAAAAATAAATTTAAAAAAAAAAAATCTGATCACGTCACTGCCCTGCTCAAGGCTTCATTAGCTGGCTGTTGCCTCAAGATAAAGTCCAAGTTTTTTTTTTTTTTTTTTTTAAGGACTGAATCTCCCTATCACACAGGCTGAAGTGCAGTGGCACAATTATAGCTCACTGCAGCCTCGAACTCCTAGGTGCAAGTGATCCTCCCTTCTCAGCCCCTAGTTATTTTATTTTTTGTAGAGATGGAGTCTCACTTTGTTACCAAGGCTAGCCCAAGTACCTTAATATGGCCTTCCAGCCTATCATGACCTGACATCTATGCGACTTCCCCATCCTGTATTATTTTTTTTTTTTGAGACAGAGTTTTGTGCTTGTCAGCCAGGCTGGAGAGCAGTGGCGTGATCTCGGCTCACTGCAACCCCCGCCTCCCGAGTTCAAGCGATTCTCCTACCTCAGCCTCCTGAGTAGTTGAGACTACAGGTGCCTGCCACCATGCCCGGCTAATTTTTATATTTTTAGTAGAGATGGGGTTTCATCATGTTGGTCAGGGTGGTCTTGAATTCCTGAGCTCAGGTGATCTGCCCGCCTTAGCCTTGCAAAGTGCTGGGATTATAAGCGTGAGCCACCACGCCTAGCTCTGTATTCCTCTCCTTACATACTCCTGAACTTCTTGCTATCCAAGGAATGTGCATCTCCCTCAGGGCTCAATTTCCTTCTCCAAAAACCTTTCCCTGACCCTCCTATTCTATTGGGTGCTCCACCTGTGAACTTACATAGCAATATGTGAGTTCAGCACCAACATTTATTCAGTGCTTACTATGTGCCAGGCATTGTTCTAAGGTCCTTCCACTGTCTTATGAGGTAGGTACCAGTATTTTCATTTTACGGAGAGGTTAAATGTAACTGCCTACATGTTTACGGGCAACATGGAGGTGGAGCCAGGATCCTGAAACAGTTCTGCTTACCTGGTCTGAGCTTTTCTTTTTCTTTTTTTTTTTTTTTGAGATGGAGTCTTGCTCTTGTTGCCTAGACTGGAGTGCAATGGACGATCTCGGCTCACTGCAATCTCCGCCTCCCAGGTTCAAGCGATTCTTCTGCCGTAGCCTCCCGAGTAGCTGGGATTACAGGCACTCGCCACCATGCCTGGCCAATTTTTTGTATTTTTAGTAGAAACGGGGTTTCACTATGTTGGTCAGGCTGGTCTCAAACTCCTGACCTCAGGTGATCCACCCGCTTTGGCTTCCCAAAGTGCTGGGATTACAGGCATGAGCCACCGTGCCCAGACTGGTCTGAGCTTAATAACTGGGCTGTATGGCACTTATTCCGCAGTCCCCGCTGTTGATGGGCCTGTCTGTCCCCCAAATTCCAGCCTCTTTAAGGGCAGAGCTGTATTTTCCCTGTTTTGTCCCCAGCCCCAAGCAGAGGGCCTTTGTCTTGTAGGAATTCAATAAAATGGGAATCATAATAACCAGAAATTCAAATACTTCCTGACCAGGCTTCTTTCTGTTGCAAGTGCCAGAAATCTAAATCAAACGGACTTAAACCAAAAAGGGATTTGTTAGTTTATCGAACTGGGATGGCAAAGCATGAACTGGAGGCCAGAGTCTCAGTTAATGTCATCTCTCCGACTCCCAGCTGTTTGTCTCTACTTGGCTTTCTTCCGTCTGCAGCGGGCTCCCCCAGCAGCTGAGACTGACTCCCTTCTCTTTTAGCAACCCCATTAGTAAAATAACTTTACTCTCTCCCAGTGATTAATTCCAGACAACACCAGTTGAATCTGAACTACAGTTTAGACCTGTGACTGGCCCAAGGCAGGCCATGTGGCCATCTAAGGTACCAAACACCGTGACCAAGGACCACATGGCAGATGAAAACACATCCACCACAGTTAGTATTCGAAACATTTCTTTTAGAGATAAGGTCTTACTCTGCTGCCTAGGCTGGAGTGATAAGCTTACTATAACCTTGAATTTCTGGCCCCAAGTGATCCTCCCACCTTGGCCTCCCAAGATGTTGAGATTGCTGATGTGAACCACCAGGCCCGGCCAAGATTTATTTATTTTTCTTTTAAAATTTATTATTTGAGATGGGGGTCTCACTGTGTTGCCCAGACTGGTCTTGAATTCTTAAGTTCAAGCAATCAATCCTCCTGCCTCCGCCTCCCAGAGTGCTAGGATTACAGGGAGTGAGCCACCACACCCGGCCCTGGCCAGCATATATTGACTAATTTAGTGCCAGGTTCTGAGCTCTGGTTTTCTCCAGTATCCGCTAACCTAGTGATTTTCAACCGTGGGAGACCTTCAGAACCTGGAGGGCAGTTTGGGGTCAAGAATTTGCCTAACAAGTTCCGGGTGATGCTGCTGCTGCTGGAAGGACCACATTCTAAGAACATTGCTCTAAATTTTGTTCTTAAGCAGACCGCAGCAATGACATCACTTGGAAACTATTTAGAAACCAAAATAAATAAACAGACTGGATCTTAGGCTCCACTTCACACCTACAGAAAAGAATTTAACAAGATCCCAAGTGTATTTGTATGAATGTTAGATTAAGAAAAAACCCAAGAGGAGAGACCTAAGAGCACAATTATAGACATGAAGGGACCCAACTTCCAATCCCAAACCCCTCCCGCTTCAGGCTTGCACAACCAACCAGCTGCTAACAGACCTGAAGGAGTTGGGTGCAAGGTTGGAGCACATCTGGATGCTGCTTATCTACCTTGGAGATCTTCCTGAAGGGCTTTGTGGGGGCCCTATCACTTCAACCTACTCTTCCACCTGCCGACCCTTGTGGGGACCCAGCTGGTCAGCAGGGGTGTTTCCTCCTAGGGGCTCAAAGACTGGAGCCTTCATCAGGCCAGGGGAAAGAGGCAGCCCAAGGGGCTGGGGGCTCCCTGGGGGATATGCAGCAGGAGGCGACTGTGCCCCCTTGGAGGTGGAGCTCCACCGGGGACCTGGGCTAGAGCCTGGAGACCAGAGCTCAGACCTGAGTCCTGCCAGGGAAGGGGCTTTTTTCCTGGCTGTCTCCCCAGGCCCTGGACCTGCTTAGGGTGACCTAAGCATTCTTCTTCAGGACAGAACATGGGTGGCTGTGTGTTGGGATCCCCCCCCCAACACACACGCTTGTTCCTTCTACAGCTATAGGAGTAGGTTTCAGCCTAAGGTCTGGCTCAGCCTCATCTGCAACACAGCTGAGGGAGCTCCAACATTCACTAACATTGCTGGTACACATCACCGACTCCATAGACAGGAGGCATTATTGTGACACTCATTTTATAGATGAAGAAACAGATGCAGAGTCATAAAATAAGGTACAAGGGAATAAATCTTTGTCACCCCATTGCTTGGCCCCACATCCTTAAGTTCCACCTCTGCCTACCCTGAGTACCTCCAACCCTAGTGAAATTACAACGCAACAACTTGTCTAAAAAAGGACAAAAATGCATTTATTTAATATACAAGGGCTCAACCGAGGCTTAATTTAAAAGACAAAAACAAAACAAAAATACCACAGCTCAAGATAAAGAGTCCTATACAGAAATCACAAAAAGGACAGACCATCTAAGGAAAAATTAAAAAGACGACACAAGGACAGGCTGGGCAGCCTGGGTCAGGGCTCCTGGCTGGTGACCTGCTTTGAGTAGGTTTCTTGCAGGTACTTCTTAAAAGCTGGAAGAGAACAGGCAGGTCTCAGTGAGTGATGGAGACAGGATGAGTTAATCTTTACTATTTATTATTTTTGAGATGGAGTCTCACTCTGTTGACCAAGCTGGAGTGCAATAGCATGATGTCTGCTCACTGCAACCTCTGCTTCCTAGATTCAAGTGATTCTCTTGCCTCAGCCTCCTGAGTAGCTGGGACTACAGGTGCCTACCACCATACCCGGTTAATTTTTTTTGTATTTAGTAGAGACGGGGTTTCACCATGTTGGCCAGGCTGGTCTCAAACTCCTGACCTCATGTGATCCACCCACCTCGGCCTCCCCAAGTGCTAGGATTACAGGCATGAGCCACTGTGCCTGGCCCAGGATGAATTAAGGTGGGCAAGAGGCAGCTGGACCAGGGATGCAAAGGTCGGAGGAGGTGGAGGAGGGGCTGGTTTCCCAGCCCGGCATTCTCCCTGCACTGCCCATCTAGGCAGCTCTCCTGGAAGGGCTTGCTTCCAGTGAGACTGGAGGGCACAGGCAAGGCACTCTACTGAATTCCTGGCCTCAAGCTATCCTCCTGCCTTGGTCTCACCAATAATTTCCCAAAATTATTTATCGCCAAACATTTTTATTCTGCTATAAAACAATTGCTATTTTATAGCAAATAGGAGCACTGGGGCAGAAACAGAAGTGGGTTGCTGCCGACACTCCACCCTGCCCCAACCAACCCGGTCCCAAGTCACTGGGCTCCTTTTGTTTGAGGGAGCCTTTGAAGGTTGGGGGAGGGATCACCCTGGGCTCAAGGACTGAGGACTCACCTGTGGGGTTTTTCCAGAGCTCGGCAGCATGTGTGTTCAAGGGACTATCAATGTTGGGTTCTGTGGGTGGAGAGAAAGAGAAGGTCAAGGCGGTAGAAGAGGCTGACCCCAGGGAGTCCTGACAGGTTCCCAAGTTGCATGGAGGGGAGGGGTGGTCTCTAAAGTCACCTCCTAGAAGGCTCTGGATGGAGAGCAGAATGGTCCTGACATCATACAGGGCAGACCACTTTTCCTTCAGGATGTCCAGGCATATGTTACCCTGGGTGTCCACGTTGGGGTGATAGCAGGGCGTGAGGAACTTCACTGTGGGCGCATTGTAAGGGTAGCCACTGGGGAACTCTAGCGAGAGCTTATACCTCAGGTCTTCATATACCTGGCATTTGGAGAAACAGTTGCAGAGTAAGCTCCAGCAGCAGCCTCATGTCCCAACCCAAGCCCCACACAAGGGGCTTGCTAGAATCTTGAGTTTCTCTGGGACCGGACAGTAGACAAACTGTTGAGCTGGTTCTGATGCTCCCCACTGCCTTTTTAAAAAGTTTTTTTAGTTTAGTTTTTATTTTAGAGACAGGGTTTCACCATGTTGCCCAGGCCAGTCTCAAACTCCTGGGCTCATGTGATCTGCCTGCCTCAGCCTCCCAAAGTGCTGAGATTACAGGTGTGAGCCACTATGCCTAGCCTGATGCTTTCCTCTTATCTGGTGGAGACATCAGTGACTCTTTGGTCTAAGGATTGTAAATTGGCATCCTGTGCTTTAGTTCAATTAGAATATTAGTTGCTGGCCGGGCGTGGTGGCTCACGCCTGTAATCCCAGCACTTTGGGAGGCCGAGGCGGGTGGATCTTGAGGTCAGGAGATCGAGACCATCCTGGCTAACAAGGTGAAACCCCGTCTCTACTAAAAATACAAAAAATTAGCCGGGCGTGGTGGCGGGCGCCTGTAGTCCCAGCTACTCGGAGGCTGAGGCAGGAGAATGGCGTGAACCCGGGAAGCGGAGCTTGCAGTGAGCCGAGATTGCGCCACTGCAGTCCGCAGTCTGGCCTGGGCGACAGAGCGAGACTCCGTCTCAAAAAAAAAAAAAAAAGAATATTAGTTGCTAATACGTAAAAATTAGATTTGGCACAGATTTGGACTTCTGACTCATCTTAAACCTGATCTGCAGCAATGGGAAGCTGCCTTCTTGAGATCTGGCCCTATTGGCCAAAGTCCTCACTTCATCCATTTCCTTGCTGTCTGTCCCCCCATGTAAACATCTAAGATAGGCAGCCCTGCTTTAAACCCACCCTTTATTGCACAGAGGGAAAGAACAAGGCCACATGGCTCAGAGAATGTAAACAGTCACAGGAGGAGTGTCTTGCTCCGCCAAAGGCTTGAAGCAGAGCTCGCACTTGGATCTCACTTCCCACCTTTCCCCAGACTCACTCACCCATCCCAGCCCTACACTTACTGTTCCAGCTGCTCCATGGATGGTCCCTACCCATTTGAAAAGGTTGTCTGATTCAGGGAAGGCAGAAATCCCTTTATCGCCAGACATCTGGGGAGAAAACACATTTGTTGGAATGTGGAGTACACTTTTGGGCATAGCAAAGGTCAGTGGGTGAGCTTTCCCCTTAATTTTATATATATATATATATATATATATATATGCTCACATACACACACACACATATATATGTATACACACACACATATATATGTGTATATATATGAGATATAGATGGGGTTATGCCATCTCTACTAAAAAATATATATTTACATATATATATATATAGAGAGAGAGAGAGAGAGATTGAGAGAGAGAGATAGACAGAGACAGACACACACACACACTCTGTCGCCCAGGCTAGAGTGCAGTGGTGCGCTCGGCTCACCGCAACCTCTGTCTCCACGGTTCAAATGATTCTTGTGCCTCAGCCTCCCGAGTAGCTGAAATTACAGGCATGCACCACCATGCCTGGATAATTTTTGTATTTTTAGTAGAGACAGGGTTTTGCAATGTTGGCCAGGCTGGTCTCGAACTCCTGACCTCAAGTGATCCGCCCACCTTAGCCCCCCAAAGTGTTGGGATTATAAGGTGTGAGCTACCGCGCCCAGCCTCCCCTTAATCTCATCACTCTGATCCAAAATAAAGCAACCAAATTCATAGGCTAGAAATACCAAGAAGGGCGGGGAGTTGGGTGTGGGTAAAGCTTGGTTGGGGCTAGGAAGTAGGGACACACTGGATAGGGAGGGTCTTGTATGACTTCAGGGAAGTGTTCGAGATAACTTCGTGTGGGGGGATGGAATTGGGAGGAGGGACTGCTGGAAGAAATGGTGTAGGTGGGGTGTATGAACTTCTTTCCCAGGAGGGAGCAAATTACATTACCCCTATGTCTAGCAAAAAAGCTGACGGAAAAAAGGAGGCTACTGAAAATTGGATGGAAGGCTGGGGTTCTGGGCACTTAATCACTCACCATGAGGGTCATCAGCTCCTGCTGTAGCCTGAAAAAAGAGTATTCGGGGTTACCTGGGAGTCTGGATGGGCCAGGCCTCCAGACGGTGCATCTTCTCCCACCTGAATCTCAGGGGGAGCCGTCATGGAGGCTCCCCACATCACCAAGGTCAGGCTCAGCTCAGGGTATACTCACCAGATCCACAGGACGATCCTAGCGAGTCCTCACCCTCCCTAATTCCAGACTCCCTCGGGATGATTCTGGCATGTTCTTAATTCCCCAGGCTTTAGCATCTCTTCCTTGCCCGACTCAACTTCTCCCTTCCCCTGTCTCGGCCAAGTCACGAGGGTCCTTGAGCGTCTTCATCTAGGCCCACCAGGGAAGGAGTCTGGCAGCGCCCCTACCCTCCCATTCTCCTTCGGGAGAGTCTCAAAGAGCGGTCTGAGCTCCTGGCCTGTCCCCCATCTCTCGAATCTCACCCGCGCAAGGAGGTGGGAGTCCCGGAAGTCTCCGCCCTCGACACCCATGCCCAGGGGAATGCCAGGCCCCGAGCTCCTGGTGTGTTCTCCTGCACCCGCAGATCTCCCGCTCCAGGAGGTGGCGGCGGGGGGTGGTCCTAGAAATCTTTGCTCTGGGTACCAATGCCTAGGGCATGGCAGGCCCGGCGAGTGGTAGGCCGCATCACTCACCTTTTGCCCACCGGACCCCGGGCGGCGCCCCCGCTCGGCTCAGCTCCTTTACGGGCGGCGGCGACGCTAGTGGCGGCTGGGTCGCGGTTTTGGGAAGCCATCCGGGCGGCGTTGGCAGAGAGACAGGAACTCGGAGAACACGACTGCAACTGCAGGACTGCGGGCCCGCCCGCCCGCGTTTGAATTGTAACCCTCTGGGGGCGTCGACCAATCAATGGCTCGCTTGGGTTTGATCCAGCCAATGAGACGCTCCGGAGCGCTCTATTGCTGCGCCACTGCTAGACCTACCCACTGGCGCACCGCTATTGGGCGGCAGAATCCCGCTTCTGACAACCGATTGGTAGATGATGCTGCCATTAACTAACGAATCCGTAGCGAATTGGTGGCCGTTGGAAAACGCTAACCATTAAAGGGCCAAGAAAACGTCCACGTGGGATGAACCCCTCCTTCTGGCTACACGTCTTACTCCGCGTGGGAACACTCGGCACGCCCAGCCTTGATCCAATTTCCCTCGGGCAGGGAGTGCCTCCAATCCTGCAGCACTGGTACCCTCCCACCATTATAATCGCCTGGGCACCTTTGCTGCGTCCTAAGTATCTGAAAATCCCAGCGAGGGGAAAAACTAAAGGCTGATGGCCAGAGCAGCAGGCTCCCTATTAGAAAACATAGGTCCATACATCTCCGCAGAGATGACAGAAATAAAAAAAGGCAACATTGGTTCAGGCTGGTCGCAGTGGCTCACGTCCGTAATCCCGAACACTTTGGAAGGCCCAGGCAGGAGGATCACTTGAACCCAGGAGTTCGAGACCAGCCTGAGCAACAGGATAGGGAGACCTGTCTCTACTTAAAAGAAAAAAAAAAAAAAAGAAAAGAAAAAAAAAAAAGGCTGGTGAGGTGGCACGAGCCTGTAGTCCCAGCTACTGGCGAGGCTGAGGCGGGAGAATCGCTTGAGCCAGAGGCTGCACTCTAGCCTGGGCAACAGAGCAAGACTGTCTTCAAACAAACAAAAACCCCAACAACACAGGTTCATATCCTGTATATCCTACCTCCCCAGTGGGTAGTGTGTAACCTTGGGGCGGGTCCTTTAGTATCTTAACCTGTAAAATGGGAGCAATAAAAGCCAACTCTATTTTTCATATGATCTGTCATCAAACTCCATCGCATTCTGCCATGTCCTTACATTAGCTGGGTAAGGAAACTACAAATGGGCAAAGGGAAGACGGGCAGGGTACATGGTGCTCCCAGGTTGGTCTTATCAAGCCTGGCTCTATACTGTTATGGGTGAGGGTTATCTCGTCCTTTTTTCCTACACCCACTTCTAGAGCCCTTGATGTTCTGTCAATTCCCACAAGGTAGAGGGCACAGCAGGTTCACCATCTGTGTTTACTACAAACTGTTTAATTGTTTCTTATCCCAATAACTTTACAAATATAGAACCACATGCTAGTCTGGGGGTGCTGTGCAGTGAGTCACTACAAACTCGCTCAGGCACAGCTTAATGCCGCTGAGATCCATCTAGGAGCAGTCCCAGCGGTGGCCTCAGCCACGTGAGGAAGAGGGCTTTGGAGGAGGGCTGCCAAGTGTGGCCAGGGGACCCGGCCTCAGGTCTGTGGAGGTGCTTCAACAGCACGATGCTCATTCTCTGTCCGTAGTGTCTCCATATACTTTCTCATCTTCTCCACCATCCAGGAGGGTAGGACAAAGGATTTCAATTCCTCTAGCTTCAGATCCAGGCATCCTCTGGAACAGACATTGAAGAGAGAAGTTGGGGGAAGTGAGGATGTAGGCCCTGCCTCATTCTAGGGGCTATTTGGAGGCAGGGAGAGGAGAAGGGGCAGGAGACCCACTGGTTTTACCTGTAATCATCACTGGCCGCAAGGTCCCGGATGTCCTCCTCGATGAGGAGGTAGGCCTGAGGCAGGAGCAAGGGAGAGTGGTCATTGCCTGATTCATTTCACTCCAACTCAGTAACACTTCATTAAACATCTGTTTAATGTAAGGCCTGCTACTAGGTGGAAGCGGGGGATGCGGTTTACAATTTAGTACGGAAGAGTAAGTGGGGAGGGATGGGAATGGTTCCTTGAGACAATCTTTTACTACAGTAGATGCTTCATGGATGGGAGAGTAGGGACTGGTGACTTATTTATAGCCTTCTCTTTTAAAAAAGGACCCATTTCTCTCTTGAATGGTGTGGTGAAAATTAAGAAAAAAAAAAAAAAAAGAAAAAAAGAAAAAAAAAGGGATCCACCATTGCTCCTACACCTTTTGGTTAAGATCAAGTATACGAAAGGACCCAAGGTGGGTTATAACAAAATGGCAAGAAAGCCAGCAAAATATATATGGAAACAGGAAATCAGGAAGAGGAAACCATGTGCTCCCTCTGAGGACAAAGATAACTTGGTTTTGAACTTTGTGGCAAAATGGAAAACATGATAAACTGCTCTGCTGTCTAGTAATTGGCCTGTATTGTACTGGGGCCTGTAGAAATGCTTTGTCACAATGCCTCGGTCTACAGTGGGTGAGGGCCCTTTTGTGAACTTAACATATAGGAAGAGATATTCATCATATTAGAAAGTCTTCTGTGGGAGACTTTCTAATGTTAGGGTCAGGAATAATTGTGTATTCCTTGAGTAATTTGTCTACATCTTATGGGCACTATGAACCATAACAGATCAGGTGTCCATGAGTGGGGCCTACAGCTGAATTTGCCAACATCTGTAGAAGTGCACAGGTCTCCCAGGTCAGCAATATAAAAAACACTTTTTTTTTTTAAAGAACTACTTTTACTGGTGGCTTAATTTTAGGTCCTGCCCCCACCCCCTACCATCTATTTCTTATTTATGTAATGTTGCATTTTATGTGCATGAAGCTTACCTGAAATCTTTTTTGAAGTAAAGCATAGGCATAAATAGAGTAGTAAAATAAAATAAAAGGTAGCTCTCACTGCCAGAAAGGAGATGGCATATCAGTTTGTAAGGCACTTAGATTCTAAAAGGAGCAGTACCTGTGGTGGGAGTGAGTGAGTCCTCAGGTGGGGGACATTGTGTGTGATGGACAAAGCCCTCAACAATAGTTTTTGAACACATGCAATGATGATTTTCCTAAGGTTGCTGTTTCATATGATCTGAGAACTCTTCAAGTAGAGGTAAATCTGGAAGGGGCTGCCAAGTGTGCAAACACATTTCATTGCTAACTCCTACTGACAAGGGTTGCTGCCTCAAGTACTGTGTTGAGAAAAGATTCTATAGCTGTGTCTGGTGGAAGAGTGATCAATGAGTGAAATCTGTCAGTGGGTGCAGTAGTGGGAAAAAGTAGTACTGTGTGTCTTATACCTGCTATTCCTATGGACAGCTAATAGTATCCAAATATGTGATCTTGGAGGCATGAGGTAAAAGTGTGAGGGGGCGGAAGGGAGACCTAGGGATAGGGAAGGGAACCTGAAGATTACAATTTGCTCTTCAGCATGAAGAAATAGGCCTTATAAGTCTCTCTTCTCACACATTGGTGAGGCTTTGGAAGTCAGATTTGGAGGTAGGCTGTCACCCACAGCCAAAATCCTGGTTCCCAGGTGGGGTGGGTCACTGGCAGTGGCACAAATGAATAATGCTTACCATCTTGCCCCCTGTTGCCCGCATGTGATGCTGCTCAGCCAGCCAGTGCTTATCCTGGGGGTCAGCTGCATACTGTAAGGAATGAAGTTGTAAGAAAATTAGCCTCGGGTAAGGGGCTTTTCTCATTTGGTCCCAGAGCATACTCTTGGCCCTTGAGCAGTTCTTACCAAAAGTCCTTGTCTCCAAGCGTGGTGGACTTAGAGGGCTCACTAATCTCTTCAGAGAAAGCTAAGCCAACCCCGAGGGCAGACCATGGGACCCAATTCCCAGAGACTTAGTATACTCCCAATCCCCACCCCCTTCTCACAACAAAGCACCCCGGGCAACTGGTGGGACTGATAACTATTATTTTAGAGCTTCCTCTTTTTAAAAAATGATCGGAGGTGGCTTATAACGTCTGTAATTATTATGGTGACCATAATAAAACAAAAATCGGGACACCTCATGTACTCTCGGACGCATAATAGCATCATGGTTAAGAATTCGGTTTTGGAGTTACAAATAAGGTTGGTTGGTTTATTGATTGATTGATTGATTGATCGATTGAGACGGAGTTTCACTCTTGTTGCCCAGGCTGGAGTGCAATGGCATGATCTTGCTTCATCACAACCTCCGCCTCCTGGGTTCAAGCGATTCTCCTGCCTCAGCCTCCCAAGTAGCTGGCACTACAGGCATGCGCCACCACGCCCGGCTAATTTTGTATTTTTAGTAGAGATGGGATTTCTCCATGTTGGTCAGGCTGGTCTTGAACTCCCGACCTCAGGTGATCTGCCCACCTCGGGCTCCCAAAGTGCTGGGATTACAGGTGTGAGCCACCGTGCCTGGCTGTTTATTTATTTATTGAGATGACGTCTCGCTCTGTTGTTCAGACTAGAGTGCAGTGGCATGATCTTGGCTCACCGCAACCTCCACCTCCTGGGTTCAAGCTATTCTTCTGCTTCAGCCTTGAATAGCTGGGATTACAGGCACGTGCCAACACACCCAGCTGATTTTTGTATTTTTAGTAGAGATGGGGTTTTGCCATGTTGGCCAGGCTGGTTTTGAACTCCTGGCCTCAACTGATCCACCCACTCAGTCTCCCAAAGTGTTGGGATTACAGGTATGAGCTACTGTGCTCAACCCAAATAAGGCTTAAATTCTGGTTTCTATTCTAGGTTGGGCACCTAGAAACCAGAATTTAAGCACCTTAAAAAAAAAATCGAGGAGTGAAGAGAAACTGATATATATATTTTTTGAGACAGAGTATTGCTCTGTCGCCCAGGTTGGAGTGCAGTGGCGTGATCTCGGCTCACTGAAACCTCTGCCTCCTGGGTTTAGGCAATTCTCCTGCCTCAGCCTCCCGAGTAGAGTAGCTAGGACTACAGGAGTGCACCACCATGCCCGGCTAATTTTTGTACTTTTAGTAGAGATGGGGTTTCACCATGTTGGCCAGGCTGGCCTTGAACTCCTGACCTCAGGTGACCCGCCTGCCTCGGGCTCCCAAAGTGCTGGGATTACAGGCGTGAGTCACTGCACCTGGCTGAGAAACTGTGTTTTGCTCTCTACTACCTCCTGTGTATCGTCTGAATCTTTTTACCACGGGAATGGGTTTATATATTATTTCTATAATCAAAACATTTAAAAAAGGAAAAGAATTTGAATAATGCCTTCTGAAGGAGAGAAAAATGGGCAAAAGATATAACAGGCAGCTTACAGAAGAAATACAAATAGATTCTAAATGACTGAAAAGATACTTATAATCACTAATAGAGAATTTGTAAAGTTGGGCCAGGTGCAGTGGCTCAAGTCTATAATTCCAGCACTTTGGGAGGCTGAGGCTGTGGATCATCTGAGCTCAGGAGTTTGAGAGCAGCCTGGCCAAGATGGTGAAACCCCATCTCTACTAAAAATACAAAAATTAGCCGGGCATGGTGGTGGGCACCTGTAATCCCAGCTACTCGGGAGGCTGAGGCAGACAATTGCTTGAACCCAGGAGGTGGAGGATGCGGTGAGCTGAGATCGCGCCACTGCACTCCAGCCTGGGTGACAGAGCAAGACTCCGTCTCAGAAAAAAAAAAATGGTTGGTCTATCACTATTCTCATTTTATACAGGACAAAAACAGACTCAGAAATGTGGATCAATTCCCAGACTTGAGCTAGTTAAAAAAAAAGAAAAAAGAAAAACAAATGTGGAGCCATTTGTTCAAGTTCATGCAGCTAGTAAAATAATGGAACCAGGCCTGAAGCCATACTTTAAACCACGCTGAAGTGGGAATTCAAAGTAGGTCCAAAAGCATATTGATTTTGGGGATGATACAAACAAAGCTCTTGGAGGAGGTGGATCTTAAAGAATAGTCAGGCAGATAAGGGTGGGAGAGAAAGGCCACCCAGGCAATGGGAATAGCAAGAGTGACGACATTAAGAGAGGAAAACAAAGGAGCCACTGGGCAAACTGTTTAAGTGTTGGGACTCGAGGATATCAGACTGGAGAAGAAGCGTGAGCAGGTATGCCTTTCAAAGAACTTGAAAACTTGCACAGAATGTGGTAGAGAAAGCCCGTGATTCTGGGATCCCACAGGGCTGTGCAGTTCTGGCAAGAGGTGCCAAGCCTTACGTATAAGTGCAAAAAACCATGTGTGGAACACACATGCACTGCTATTCTTCTAATCTACTTCGATGCTCTCGTGACTGATAAAATACAAAATCATCTAAGAGGGTGAGTGAGTTTATGATTTCCTCCATTATTCCCTCAAACAGTGGGGACCAAAACATAGCTGCTCTCAGAAGAGGAGTACCCTCTTTGAAAAGGCACAGGACCCTGCCTTGCTCCAAACTCTATTTTTTTTTTTTTGAGATGGAGTTTTGCTCTGTTGCCCAGGCTGGAGTGCAATGGTGAGATCTTGGCTCACTGCAACCTCTGCCTCCTGGGTTTAAGCGATTCTCCTGCCTCAGCCTCCTGAATAGCTGGGATAACAGGCATGCGCCATCATGCCCAGCTAATTTTTGTATTTTTAGTAGAGACGGGGTTTCTCCATGTTGGTCAGGCTGGTCTCGAACTCCCGACTTCAGGTGATCCGCCAGCCTCAGCCTCCCAAAGTGCTGGGATTACAGGCGTGAGCCACTGTGCCAGACCCCAGAGTTATTTTAAAATGCAAATATGAGGGCAGTGTGATCTCGGCTCACCACAACCTCCGCCTCCTGGGTTCAAGCGATTCTCCTGCCTCAGCCTCCTGAGTAGCTGGAATTATAGGCATGAGCCACCATGCCAGCTAATTTTGTATTTTTAGTAGAGACAGGGTTTCTCCATGTTGGTCAGGCTGGTCTCGAACTCCCAACTTCAGGTGATCCACCCGCCTTGGCCTCCCAAAGTGCTGGGATTACAGGTGTGAGCTCACGCACCTGGCCCAAACTCTAATTTACAGACAACCAAATATGGTAGTGGTTAAGAGCTCAGGCTTTGGTGAGGACAGACCTGGATTTGAATCCTGACTCACCATTTCTAGCTGAATAACTGTGGGCAAGTCACTCAGCCTTTCTCAACCTCTGATTGTTTCAAATTTGTGAAATAAGGATGGCAATACTTATTTTTTAAGATAATATAAGTGTGGGATTTAAAACTGTGTTTGGCACCCAGTAAGCATGCAAGCAAAGTAGCTGTTATTACTGAGGCACAGAGGTGTTGAGTAAATCATGAAAGGGAAAGGTGAATGGCAGAGGCACAACTAGAACCCAGATGTCCTGACTCCAAGATCAGTGTTTGTTCTAAGCTTCTCTGTGCTGAGTGGAGTTCCCAGTCTACTCCCAATGCAATGGCCTGCTTTCCTCCCAGCAGTCACCTACCTTAAAGAGGTGTGGGTGCTTGATGTAGATTCTTCCTCTGGTGCCCCCCATCCCCAGGGCTCTGAAAAGTAAAAGCCAAGTGGTCAAGATTCCAGAAAGTGTAGTCCTACTAGTGAACTCCTGAGCTGTTTCCTCAATCAGTGCCAAAGCTCTTAAACTTACTTGTTGGCTCGAGATCCCAACACAAAGGTGGTAGATTCATTCAGGCGAGCTGGGTCCCACTGTGCAAAAAATAGAGAAGCTCGTGAGGGTGAAGTTTAATCTGATGGGTAGGACAGAAACACTCCTCCCCCTACCCTTTTCTAACCCTTCCCCTTGTCTATTATTTAATCAACAGTTGACCCAAGACACTGAGTACTCACAATATGCTAGGCCCTGTCTGTGCTAGATACTGGGGATAAAGAGATGAATAAGATACAGTCTCTGTTTTCTAGGATGCCACCAACATATGTACAGATAATTACACCATTGTGCGATGAGGCAAGGACACAAGTGAGTGCAGGGTCTGAGGGCTGCCGAGGGGAGGGTCCAGCCAGGAAGGCTTCCTTAGAGAGGCATTTCCCAAGTTAATTCTGAAAGGGTGAGCACAAGTTGGGGTAAAGGGGGTCAGGAACAAGGGCATTCCAGACAGGGGGCAGCATGAGCAAAGACAGGTGAGAGGCAGCTTGGCCTGCTGGAGAAACTACTAGTAATTCTGTGCTGCTAACAGAGAGAGTACAAATTAGGGAGTGGCAGCTGATGGGGCTGGAGAGAGAAACACAGAGGAGTTGGAGGTCTTAGGAGGTTATGTTCAGGGGACTGCATTTTATTTCTTCTGTAGGCAATGGGGAATCGCTGAAGGCCTCTAAACAGGGAGTGAGAGTCAGATTTCCTTTAAAGATAGCTTAGTCTTCTAGCAATGTGGATAATGGATTTGAAGGGGCAAGACTACAGGCAGGGAGAGCAGTTTAGAGGCCGCTGTGATAAAGCAGTTGGAAAGCTGCTAAGGGCCTGAGCTAGGGCAGCAGTAAGGATGAACAGAAGGAAATAGGAACTGCAATATATTTAAGAGGAAGAATTGTCCAGGACTCGACTGGGTGTAGGGAGGTAAGGAAGAGGAGGAGGAGGCAAAGATGATTAAGATAACGAATGTAAAGAAGGGCTGTGAGGAAAGATTCTAATTTCATGTTTGGATATGCTGAGTCTGAAATGCCTATGAAACTTCCAGCAGAGTGGTCAAGCAGATAGTAGGATAAACAAGTTTTAAAGTAGAAAGAGGCATGGGATGGACAAAGAGGTATGGGAGTTTTAGAACATGGTGGTCCCTGAAACCATAAGAGTATATGTTTTAGATTATCCAGAGAGTTACTTTAGATGGAGAAGTGGGCCAAGGAGAGAATTCTGGGGAACAACCATTTATATAAGTCACTGCTGAGGAAGAACTCAGGAGAGAGAGGGAGGCAACAGAGGCTAATGGTTGAGAGCACAGACTCTGGTGTCAGCGGGTCTTGGGTTTGAGACTCAGCTCGATCACTTACGAGTTATGTGACTTTGGGCAAGTCTTAAGTGCATTAAGTGTATAAGACAACTGAATAAAATAATTTATGCCCACAGGGAAGCTGGCAGAAAAGGAAACGCCTCATTTATAGAATGGTTCACAGAATTGATCTCATAAGTTTGTTATAAAGATTAAATGAGATGGTCTACACAAAAGATTTAGGACACTGCCCGTTACATACTAAGTATTGAATCAGTATTAGTGACCACTAACTCCTATAAGGAGAAGGCTTCAGCAAAGACTCAAGCCCTCTCTTTGTTTTGCCTCTAACTCCAATTCCTACACAGGATCCTCTCTGAGGCCAGTGTGGCTGGAGGTGGAGAGGGGCAGATGGCTCTGGAATGGTGTGCATGCACCCTTCGCCCCCTGCCCCTTTCCCTCATGGTGGGTCCTAGAGATAGTGGGACTATCTCCTGGGATCGTGATCTCTGCCATGCTCACATAATCATACCTTGGGGCCTTCCCGGCGAATTGGTTCACAGGATTTTGGTTTCCATCTGCTTGGAAGGAAAGAATAAAGGTGAATTCTCCAAGGTGAGACCTAGGACTAAATGCCAGCTTGCTGGTGGTGGTAGGAGTTCCTCACACACTCTCACTTTAGCCCTGGACATCCTCCTTCGTGGTGACACATAAGAGGAGGAACAAAGGGAAAAAAAGCACTGGACTAGAAGCCATTCTAGCACTAGCTCTGCTCTTACATAGTGGCATGAGCAACTCCAAGAACCTCTGAGTGGCAGTTTTCTCATCTGTCAAAAGAGACAAAAACAGCAACTGCCCTACCTATCTTGTGTTTGTGAGGAATAAAACTGCTTCGTGTAGGAGACACATCTAAGGTATGACAGTTAATACTAGCCCATCTACTAAGCCAGCTGTTCCAAACTAACCCCACGCCCCTGAACCAGACCAGTGTGGCTTTATTTGATTTAAATACTGGGCTCCCATGTAAAGTTTTGTTTGAAAAAGATTCTGCTGCTTCAGAATTTTTTTTAAAAAGTGGGGTTGGGGGTTGGTTGAGGGGGAAGGAAGGATGAACAGGCAGAACACAGAGGATTTTTAGGGCACTGAAAGCACTCAGTGTGATACTAGAATGGTGGATGCCTGTCACTATGCATTTGTCTAAGTTCATGTACAATACCAAGAGTGAACCCTCATGGAAACTATGCACTCTGAGGATCAAGACGAGTCAAAGTAGGCTCATCAAATGTAACAAATGTACCACTCTGGTGCCTGATGTCGATAATGGGGGAGGCTGTGCATGTGTAGGGTCAGGGAGTATACGGGATATGTCTGTACCTTCCTCTCAATTTTGCTGTGAACCTAAAACTGCTCTAAAAAAATTAAGTCTTAAAAAAATATATATTTGAAAATGACCGTCTTGGAGGCAATGTTAACGATATGACATTAGGCAAGTAATTCTCTGAGTCTGTTATCTGAAAAATTAATGATATCTTCTTTACAGGGTGGCTATAAAGATTAAAAGGTAAAGTATGTAACGTATTTAGACCAGTCATAAGCATCCAATATATACTAACAATGACAAACCTCTGGAGTTTAATCTTTCATCAAGCTGGGCCAAACCGTTCAGGGGGTAAAACAATTTCCTCCTCACTACCCTCCTTCCTCACCCCTCCAACCAGGATAACCCCCCTCCACGATGACTTAAGCTGATGGATCTGATTTTGACAGGCACAGAACCCTGGACTCTTTTCCTTCAGGGCCCCTCTCTCCGTCTGCTCCCCTATGCTCTCACCACACTGTTGGTCCCTACTCACACCATGCCGGCGGCTGCCCGGTCGCTTGACAGGATGTGTCCAGGAGGCCGTCCTTTCCTCTGCCACAAAAAACAGCTGTCAGAGGTCTGACCCTGTGGTTACTCCCCATACCCCATTGGCAGGTCCAGGGTCACTTGGCAGAGATGGTTTTCCAAAGAGATCAAATGATGTTTGACAGGGACAGGGAGAAAAACTGCCTCTCATGTCTAGGAAGGCTCAAAAGGGCTTTGAGGAAGCCCAGTACCTTGCGGAGTGAAGAGCCTTTTTTGAGAGACAGGGTCTTACTCTGTTACTCAGCCTGGAGTGCAGTGGCATGATCATAGCTCACTACAGCCTTGAACTCCTGGGCTCAGGTGATCCTCCCACTGCAGCCTCTCATGTAGCTAGGACGACAGAAATGTGCCAGCATGCCTGGCTAATTTTTTTTTTATTTTAGAGACAGGGTCTCACTATGTTACCCAGACTGGTCTCAAAACTCCTGAGCTCAAGTGATCCTCCCCGCTTGGCCTCCCAAAGTGTTGGGATTACAGGTGTGAGCCACCACACCCGGCCTGACAAGCCTTTTTTCAGCCAGAAAACAAAACAAGGAAATGGTTTACCTTTTTAGGAAGGGGGCTTCCTCGATGGGCACATTCTTCTTCTGCCTGACGGCCACGCTAAAAGAAAAGGGAAGGGAGTCAGTGGAAGGCCAGTGCCTGGGAGCTGCAGGTCTTCTGGAGTTGCAGAAGACAGCCCTGGACTACAGCTCTCCAGCCCCGCTCTGACCCAGGCCAAAGAAGCCCATCCAGCATGATGCTGTGTGGGCCTGGTCCTACAAATGGAAGTACATGGAACCTCCCTGGGCCCACATATTTCACTTGCCTCCCAGCCTGAAGGACCTCCCGCTCCAATACCCGAGAACACAGTGACTCTGACCTTTATTCCTGGAAGCTCATGGGTCAATCTGGGTATTACTTTTTCTCCATCTGAAAAGAGCAGTTTAGCCTGAAGGGAAAAAGACCAAGTGTTACCAGTCACTATTTTGGTGGGTAAGCACACCCTACCTACTTCCTTTTTTTTTTTTGGAGACAGAGTCTTGCTCTGTTGCTCAGGCTGGAGTGCAGCAGCACCATCTTGGCTCTCTGCAACCTCCATCTCCTGGGTTCAAGTGATTCTCATGCCTCAGCCTCCAAAGTAGCTGGGACTACAGGGGTGCGCCACCATACCCAGCTAATTTTTGTATTTTTGGAAGAGACGGGATTTCACCATGTTGGACAGGCTGGTCTTGAACTCCTGACCTCAAGTGATCGGCCCACTTCCAAATATATATATATATATATATATATATATATATATATATATATATATATATATATATATATATTTTTTTTTTTTTTTTAAATTGAGATGGAGTTTCACTCTTGTCGCCCAGGCTGGAGTGCAGTGGTGCTATCTCAGCTCACTGCAACCTCCGCCTCCTGGGTTCAAGCGATTCTCCTGCCTCAGCCTCCCAGGCAGCTGAGATTACAGGTGCCCACCACCATGCCCAGCTAATTTTTGTATTTTTATTAGAAACGGGGTTTCACCATGTTGGCCAGGCTGGTCTCGAACTCTTAACCTCAGGTGATCCACCTGCCTTGGCCTCCCAAAGTGCTGCGATTACAGGCATGAGCCACCACGCCCAGCCACACACATATATATATTTATATGCATAGAAATAGATATCTATTTTTAAAAAAACTTGAATTAATGATCATGGCTGGAAAAATTAAAAAATGTAAAAAAGCAAAATAAGAAAAACCTGGAATCTCATTACATAAACTACTATTAATGTTTCAATGTAAATTCTTCCTTGCTTTTCCCATGTAAATACATACTGTATGTTTTTTCAAACTAAATACATTAGTATAACACATACTCCTCAGTAAGCTGCTGTTTTTCTTTTTTCTTTTTTTTTTTGACATGGAATCTTGCTCTGTTGCCCAGACTGGAGTACAGTGGTGCGATCTCGGCTGTCTGCAATCTCCGCCTCCCAGGTTCAAGCAATTCTCCTGCCTCTGCCTCCTGAGTAGCTGGGATTACAGGCGTGCAACCACACCCAGCTAATTTTTTTTTTTTTTTTTTTTGGTATTTTTAGTAGAGATGGGGTTTTATCACGTTGGCTAGGCTAGTCTCACACTTCTGACCTCGTGATCTGCCCGCCTCAGCCTCCCAAAGTGTTGGGATTACAGGCGTGAGCCAGTGCGCCTGGCCTGCTGTTTTTCTTTTAATAAATACTGAGTACCTGGGACCTAAGTGCTGTGGACACAGCAGTAACTAGGACAAGCTCTTGTGGAGCTTATAGTTTGTGGGTGATCTGGATAATAAGCACAGAAACAAACAAGGTAACTGTGGATCATGATAGATGCTGTGAGAAAAAAAGAAAAAAACCCAGGCAGATGTGACAGAGAACCACCAGAGGGGAAGGGCTACTTTGCGGGAATGGCCAGGGAAGGCCTTGCTCAGA
This sequence comes from Homo sapiens, assembly GCF_000001405.40. Classification (NCBI taxonomy): domain Eukaryota; kingdom Metazoa; phylum Chordata; class Mammalia; order Primates; family Hominidae; genus Homo; species Homo sapiens. Next base: position 45,799,572 of record NC_000020.11, on the reverse strand, counting down.
AGGTGGCCTCTGAGTTGAGATGTGAAGGAGGCTGTAAAAAAAGCTGGGCAGAAGTGTTTCAGCAGCAGGGAGGAGTGCAGAAGCTCAAAGGTGGGAACACCTGGCTCATTTGACAAAGAAAAGGATGGAATGGGCAGAGGGGAGATGGTGCAGCAGGTGGAGAATTGGGTTCACCCGACCTCTGCCAGTGGCATTTGACAGTGCTGAGGGCTCCCCCTTCTGGAAACACTCTTTTCTACAGGCTCCTGTGGCCACACTTCCTGTGTTCCTTCTACTTCTCTGGCCGTTCTTTCTTAGCCTTCTTTGCTGGCTTTTCCTTCTCAATCTGGTTCTTTTCCCTATCCTCTCTCATTACATATTCTATCTGCTCTCACCTATTCTCACAGCTTCAATTAACATCTATAAACCACGATTCCATAATTCAACTGTAGACAAAAGGTTATCCTCTGAGCTCTAGACTTATATACCAAATAGTCTGCCCCATGTCTATGCTTGGATGGCTCAAAGCTGCTAATCCATAATTGGATTCATGCTCTTCTCCTCCAAACTTTGTCCCTTTCCAGTGAAGGGTGATCAAGTCTCAATGTGTAATTATGCACACATTTGTTGGTAATCTAATTCACACCTGTCTGCTTAAGTAGGCTGTTAAGTTCTATTAGAGCAGGAAGCTTGTTTGTTCATTTATCATTTGTTTGTTCCTTCATTTACTCAATAATTCAGCAAACTCTGTACACATACTAAGAGTCATATTCCAGGGCTGGGAATACAGTGGTGAACAAGATTAGGCCTCAACTCTTGTAAAGCTCAAGATTTTAGCAGAGGTAGGAGTGCGAGGGGAAGACCTCTCTGATATTTAAACTAAGATCTGAAGAAAAGAAGGAGCCGGCTTTATAGAGTTAAGGGTAGAGTACCCCAGGTACTAAGAACAGCAAGTGAAATGGCCTAAGCTTGTGCTGGAGGAGCAGAAAGGAGTTCAGAACAGCCAGAGTATAGTCAATAAAAAAGAGGTGAGATGAAATGAAGTTAAAGAAGCAGGCAGAAGCCAGTCGAGGGTAGGCTCTGTGGGTCATGGTAAGGCATTTTTTTTTAAATTATACTTTAAGTTTTAGGGTACATGTGCACAACATGCAGGTTTGTTACATATGTATACATGTGCCTTGTTGGTGTGCTGCACCCAGTAACTCGTCATTTAACATTAGGTATATCTCCTAATGCTATCCCTCCCCCCTCCCCCAACCCCACGACAGGCCCCGGTGTCTGATGTTCCCTTTCCTGTGTCCATGTGTTCTCATTGTTCAATTCCCACCCATGAGTGAGAACATGCGGTGTTTGGTTTTTTGTCCTTGTGATAGTTTGCTGAGAATGATGGTTTCCAGCTTCATCCATGTCCCTAAAAAGGACATGAACTCATCACTTTTTATGGCTGCATAGTATTCCATGGTATATATGTGCCACATTTTCTTAATCCAGTCTATCATTGTTGGACATTTGGGTTGGTTCCAAGTCTTTGCTATTGTGAATAGTGCCACAATAAACATATGTGTGCATGTGTCTTTATAGCAGCATGATTTATATTCCTTTGGGTATATACCCAGTAATGGGATGGCTGGGTCAAATGGTATTTCTAGTTCTAGATCCCTGAGGAATCGCCACACTGACTTCCACAATGGTTGAACTAGTTTACGGTCCCACCAACAGTGTAAAAGTGTTCCTATTTCTCCACATCCTCTCCAGCACCTGTTGTTTCCTGACTTTTTAATGATCACCATTCTAACTGGTGTAAGATGGTATCTCATTGTGGTTTTGATTTGCATTTCTCTGATGGCCAGTGATGATGAGCATTTTTTCATGTGTCTTTTGGCTGCATAAATGTCTTCTTTTGAGGAGTGTCTGTTCATGTCCTTTGGCCACTTGTTGATGGGGTTGCTTGTTTTTTTCTTGTAAATTTGTTAGAGTTCATTGTAGATTCTGGGTATTAGCCCTTTGTCAGATGAGTAGATTGCAAAAATTTTCTCCCATTCTGTAGGTTGCCTGTTCACTCTGATGGTCATTTCTTTTGCTGTGCAGAAGCTCTTTAGTTTAATTAGATCCCATTTGTCAATTTTGGCTTTTGTTGCCATTCCTTTTGGTGTTTTAGTCATGAAGTCCTTGCCCATGCCTATGTCCTGAATGGTATTGCCTAGGTTTTCTTCTAGGGTTTTTATGGTTTTAGGTCTAACATTTAAGTCTTTAATCCATCTTGAATTAATTTTTGTATAAGGTGTAAGGAAGGGATCCAGTTTCGGCTTTCTACATATGGCTAGCCAGTTTTCCCAGCAGGATCATGGTAAGGCATTAAGACTTTATTCTCCCTGCAACAGGAAAGTCACTGAAGGGTTTTTAAAATGGGGAGTGACATGATCTAATTCATCTTTACGGAGATCAGTCTGGCTGCTGTGAGAAGAGTGGATTGGAACTGGGTAACGGTGAATGTAACTCTGGACTGAGATATAAATGTGTGAATTATGAGCGGCTGAATTGGCTTCCAAGCCACAGGACTAGATGAAAACACCTATGAAAACAGTGAGCCATGAAAGAGAAGGGGTTTGAGGACTGAACTTGGGAAGGCACCAACAGTTAGAGGCGGGGGGTGAGAGAGAAGAGTAGGCAATGAGGTTGGAGCAAAGTCAAGGCACTCTAGCCAACAGAGGAGCATTCCAAGAAACGCGAAATGATCCATTGTGACAGATGTCACTGAGAAGCTGAGTAAGTTGAGGACAGTTAGGGACCAGAGGGTTTGACAACACGGAAGTTACTAGCGACCCCGACAAGAGGGGTTCCAGTGAAGTAGTGGGGACTGAAGCGAAAACAAAGTGAAGAGAATGAATAGGAGGTGAGAAAGTGAGCCAGCGACTATTGGCGACCTTTCCTGATGTCTCCCTATAAAATGGTGATGGCAACAATTCCTCCTAATAACAGCAGCTGACACATGTAAACAGGTTCTCTACTATCTTGGGAACAGTCATTTATAGACCTGATGTCATGCTTCCTGACCACACCAGAGAGGCAGGGAGGCAGCAGGGTGCTCATCCCCATGATACCAAATGGGGCCATGATAACTTGATCCACCACGCACCTGCAGGGGTGAGACAGATCTTAGCTATTCTAATTATTATGTGTCTTAAGCCATTTCTTTTTTTTTTTTTGCTTTGCTTTTAAAAATTTTTTTCTAGCTCTATTGATGTATAATTGATAAACAGAAATGGTATATATTCAAGGTGTACAATGTGATGAATTGACATAGATATACATAGTGAAATGATTACCACAATGAAATCAATCAACACATCCACCACTACCATTTTGTGTGTGGACACTTAAGATCTATGGTCTTAGCAAATTTCAAGTAAACAATAGAGATAAACTATAGTCATCATGCTGTACATCAGATTGCCCAGAACTTGTTCATCTTATAACTAAAAGTTTGTACCCTTTGATTAACATCCCCCCACTTCTCCCCTCCAGCTACTGCCATTCTACTCTCTGCTTCTATGAGTTTGCTAAGTCACAATTTCTTCATCTATAAAATAGTAATTAAAAGATATCTTCTGTACATAGTTTCTTCTGAGACATAAAAAAAAATAATGCATTTATCCTGGTACCTGACATATAGTAGCTACTTCCCTTCCTTTCCCTGTCAGCAACAGCCTCAAGCCTATCTCAATATGTGGCTTGCTGGGCATTCCCCAAAATACCACTGATGACAAGATCACATTTCTTTTTTTGTTTGTTTTTGAGACAGAATCTTGCTCTTTCACCCAGGCTGGAGTGTAGTGGTGCCATCTCGGCTCACCGCAACCTCTGTCTCCCAGGTTCAAGCGATTCTCGTGCCTATGGCTCCCAAGCAGCTAGGATTATAGGCGTGCACCACCATGCCCAGCTAATTTTCGTATTGTTTGTAGAGATGGGGTTTAGCCACGTTGCCCAAGCTGGTCTCAAACTCCTGGCCTTGAGTGATCTGCCCACCTTGGCCTCCCACAGTGCTGGGATTACATGTGTGAGCCACCACGTCCGGCTTAAGATCGCATTTCTTATCAGAGGCTCGAGAGCTAAACCTTGTGCCTGCATCTCTTGTCCCCTTTGGTCTCACCTGCTCCAGGCAGCTCCGACAGGCTTCCTGGATCAGCTGCTCTGCGTCCACCTCCTCCCCAACATTGTCTCGCACGTTCAGTGCTGCCTTCTGGAAGAACTAGGGGAGCACAACAGAGGACAAGGTCAGAGTCCTGTTAATGTGCATCAACCTGAAGGAAACTGAATATAAAATAAGTCTTTATCCTAGCTTCATACAGAAGGGAAAAGTGATTATGAGCAGGGCTTTGGGATCAGCCAGATTTAGATTCACATTTCAGGCTTGACCTCCTCCCTTTATTCCCCCTCTTACGGATATAATCGTGGGGGTGCCCAACAGATTGAGGTGTAAATAGTGCAAAAAATCAGGACGGGCGCGGTGGCTCACACCTGTAATCCCAGCACTTTGCGAGGCCGAGGTGGGCGGATCACGAGGTCAGGAGATCGAGACCATCCTGGCTAACACGGTGAAACCCCGTCTCTACTAAAAATACAAAAAATTAGCTGGGCGTGGTGGCGGATGCCTGTAATCCCAGCTACTTGGGAGGCTGGGGCAGAGAACTGCTTGAACCCAGGAGGCGGAGGTTGCAGTGAGCCAAGACCGTGCCACTGCACTCCAGCCTGGCGACAGAGTGAGACTCTGTCTCAAAAAAAAAAAAAAAAATTTTTTTTTTTTTTTAGTAGAGATGAGGTCCCACTGTGTTGCCCAGGCTGTTCTCAAACTCCTGGCCTCAAGTGATCCTGCCTCGGCCTCCCAAAGTGCTGGGGTTGCAGGTGTGAGCCACTGTGCATGGCCCCAATAATGGTTATATTATTAAACAACTAATAAGAATACTTATTGGACACTTGTTATGTCTGGAGCACAGTGCTCAGCACAGTACATTTAAGTCACTTCATCCTTATAAGAGGTCAGCAAAAAAAACCACGTGCGTGACAAGGGCAGATTTTAAAAAAAAAAGGTATCTGAATTACCCTCAAGGAGGGAATAAAATTCTTGGGGGATTAAAAATTTGAAAACTGACCAGGTGCCCTGGCTCACACCTATAATCCCAGCACTTTGGGAGGCCAAGGCAGGCAAATCATTTGAGGTCAGGAGTTCGAGACCAGCCTGGCCAACAGTGAAACCCCGTCTCTACTAAAAATACAAAAATTAGCCCTGCAAGGTGGTGGGCACCTGTAATCCCAGCCACTAGGGAGGCTGAGGCATGAGAATCGCTGGAACCTGGGAAGTGGAGGTTGCGGTGAATCGATATTGTGCCACTGCACTCCAGCCTGGGTGACAGAGTGAGAATCTGTCTCAAAAACACAAAACAAAACAAAACAAAAACAACAAGAAAGGAAAACTTTAGATATCTGTATGTAGGAAAGAGACAGACTGGTGATGCAGGCAAGGACTGGGCTCCTCATGAGTCTTTCTCCTGTTATTTTTTATCCTGTGTCCCTCTCACCTTCATGTACTTGTTGAAGACAGTCTGGATCTCCTCGTTGATGCTGGGCTGCAGGACAGCTCGGAGGAGATCCATGGAGATGGCAGGATCTGTGAAACTGCATTCAGGAGGGAGACAGGGTGAGGGGGCATGTCCCAAACATATTCTTTCCCAGCCTCCCCAGTTAATTATGGACATAGAATTCCTTAACAATACTAGACAGCTTTTATTGAAAACTAGCTACATGCTCAGATTTTGTGCAAATCACAGAGGCATGACTTTATTTCTTTCTCATAATAACTCTATGAAGTGCATATTATTTTCAAAGTTTTTTTTTTTGAGACGGAGTCTCACTCTGTTGCCCAGGCTGGAGTGCAGTGGCGTGGTTTTGGCTCACTGCAACCTCTGCCTCCTGGGTTCAAGCAATTCTCCTGCCTCAGCCTCCTTAGTAGCTGGGATTACAGGTGTGCACCACCACGCCCGGCTAATTTTTGTATTTTTAGTAGAGACCGGGTTTCTCCATTTTGGTCAGGCTGGTCTCGAACTCCCAACCTCAGGTGATCTGCCCGCCTCAGACTCCCAAAGTGCTGGGATTACAGGCGTGAGCCACCGCGCCCGGCCAATTTTTTGTTATTTTTAGTAGAGACGGGGTTTCTCCATGTTGGTCAGGCTGTTCTGGAAGTCCCGACCTCAGGTGATCCACCCACCTCAGCCTCCCAAAGTGCTGGGATTACAGGCGTGAGCCACCGCGCCCGGCCCAAAGTGTTTTTATGAAATATAATACTTATACAGAAAAGTCTATACACTTTAATGAGTAATTATAGTGAACATCCATTTCACCACTATCAGCATCCCAAAGGCCCACCTTGTGCTCTCTCCCTTCCCTGACATGCATACTATTAATCCCTCTTTATAGTTGAGAAAACGGGCTCATCAGAGTCTGTTGATGAGAACACAGTTGTCTGACTCCAGAGCCTGTTCTCTTAAACTCCATGCTAACTGACCTCTTTAGAGCCCTCAACCACAGAGCCAGTGAATGTGAGGGATCTTAGGTATTGTTTATTCCACAACCCATCTCCTGTGCCCTTCCCCATTTTGTACGTGAGTTCAGAGAAGGAAGTGACTTGACTAGTTCAAGATCACACAGAGTTACAGAATCGGAGTCTCCTCTTCCTCAGTCCTGTGCTCTTTCTACCGGCTGTAGATCTCCATAGCCTTGTGCACTGGGGATCCCAAATCTGCCATGCAAGCCAGTGGCTGGGATATAAGCCCCATGCAGGGCCAGCCTTACCTTGTTGTCATCTGTGAGCGGCGGCCCCTCCGCTGCACCTGCCGGTGCTTTATCATTATGTTCCAAGGGTTCTGTGGGGACCAACGGAACAAATGTCACTGCGGCCTGTGACACTGGGGTGGGGTGGAGGTGGAGGGTGGGTATGAAGTTAAACCTGGACATCCCTGCTTCTCAGATCCGTCACCATCTCTCCCGCCTTGGGGTGGGACGATAGTTGTAAGGCCTCCTCCACAAAAGAGGAACTGAGGAAGTTTCCTGCCTTAAAAGTCCCGACCCTGCCTTCTGGCACGGCAGGAGGAAGGGAAGCAGTATTTACCGAGGGTCAACTCTGTGTCAGGTGATGTCCGGGGCGTTGTACCCGCCTTTATCTTCCCATCCCACAACAAGTTTTATGAGACAGGTACTAATCATTTCCATTTTATAGAAGAGGATCCTGGGACTCAGGGGGTTGACAGAGATGGCCCACGTCACCTAGCTAGGAGGGCGGCACCAGAATTTAAATCCAGGTCGTCGGGCTGCGAAAACGCCAACCCCCTCTGCAGCTCCAGCCTCCGCGTTCTCTCGCCCGCGGGCCAGGGTCCCAGGAGCCCCGAGGCCGTGCCCGGCCTGAGCCCAGACCTCACCGGGGGCGCCCTCACCGTAAGAACCAGCTGCCCCGCTGCGCCCGCATCCCCCAGCTCCAAGCCGCCCCTCTCGGCCCCGCTAGGTCCCCGCGGCTGCTCGGCGTCGCCAGTGGCTCCCATGGCGCCCCCGGCCCCCACAACTCCGCTGGACTCTGTCACCGGCCGGAAAGTGGCGCCGTGACGTCACTGGAGCGCGCTGCTCGTCCGCCCGGAAGCGCGACGCTGGAGCTGCGGGGTTACCATGGGAACCGAACCGCCGCGCCTCGCCCAGGACAGTTACACTTAGAGGCCTTGTAGGTGGAGGTCGTTGGGGCTTCCTCTCGGGAGGGCTGCGCCTCGATTGTGCAGTGTGGGTGTTCAGTGGCGGTTCAGTCAAGGGATGTTTCCCGCTGGGCCAAGGCCTGGGGATGACTGCGGGGTAGGAGGAAGGGACCAGTTTTCTGTAGGCTGGGGTTGGGGAGCAGAGGGAAGCGTTTGGTACAGCGGCGCCTGCAGTTCAGTTTTTGAAAACTAGATTTTAATATGCTCGGCCAGGGGCGGTGGCTCACGCCTGTAATCCCAGCACTTTGGGAGGCCGAGGCGGGAGGATCACTTGCCATCAGGAGTTCGAGACCAGCCTGGCCAACATGGCGAAACCCCGTCTCTACTAAAAATATAAAAATTAGCCGGGCGTGGTGGTGGGCACCTGTAATCCCAGCTACTCGGGAGGCTGAGGCAGGAGAGTCTCTTGAACCCAGGAGGCGGAGGTTGCAGTGAGCCGAGATCACGCCACTGCACTCCAGCCTGGGCGACAGAGGGAGACTGTCTCAAAAAAAAAAAAAAAAAAAGCACATTAGGCACATGTTAGGTCATCATCAAATGTTAATTATGCCGAGATCGCGCCACTGCATTCCAGCCTGGGGGACAGAGGGAGACTCTGTCTCAAAAAAAAAAAAAAAAAAAAAAAAAAAAGCATATTAGGCACATATGAGGTCATCATCAAATGTTAATTATCTCCATGAGCCAACATCAGCCTTCTAACCATAAGGGCGACTTCCTGGCTCCAAACTTTTTGATCCTATTAAGGAGGTTTTACCTTGTACCTGCCCATAGGACTAAGCAGTGCCAGTGGACACCATTAGGTATCACAGCTAACCAAAGGCATGACCAGGACAGATAAAGAAAAAAAGAAATGGAGAAAAAAGAAATAAAGGAGGTATATGTGGGCAGACTATTTGAGTCATACATAGCAACTTCTCTTGGGTTCTGCCAGCTAGACTTCATACAGTCCAAGAATGGCCTGTGTGGGTTAGAGGGACAAAGATGTAGGTGTTTGGTGCTTTTCATTAGTTCTTAACAAACTCAACTACTGCTTTTCTGTAGGTTTTTGATAGTTTCTTTTCTCTCTTTTTTTTTTTTTTGAGACAGAGTCTCACTCTGTTACCCAAGCTGGAGTGCAGTGGCATGATCTCCACTCACTGCAACCTCTGCCTCCTGGGTTCAAGCTATTCTCCTGCCTCAGCCTCCCACGTAGCTGGGATTACAGGCATGCACCAGCATGCCCAGCTGATTTTTGTATTTTTAGTAGAGACAGGGTTTCGCCATGTTGGCCAGGCTGGTCTCAAACTCCTGACCTCAGGTGATCTGCCCGCCTTGGCCTATTTGATAGTTTCTGAGTGGTCTGTTCCATTCTGTATTTTCTTGGTTGCTAGGATGAACAGGAGCCACAATTTTATTATGCTTGGTTATGTTATTAGCTTTGGCCATTAAGTAGTGTCGTGAATCCCTCCCTCTGTTATTTGGGCTAAAGCCATGTCCTTCCAATGCCCTTTAGGGCTCTCTTTGATTCTTTTTCCAATGGCCACCCCTCCATTTTTCCAGCCACCCACTAGGTTTCTCATCATCCAGGAATATTGTGTATATTGCTTACAGAATTTGATCCTCCCATCACAGGTCCCCTTTGGTAGTGCCAGGAATTTTCCCACACTCCAGCAGCCAATCCCTCTTCTTCTTGTCAGGAGAAGATATTCTTGGGGAGTATTGTGAAAGGGAAGGTTTTGGGACTGGGTTTGGGGCCATCCCTAGTCCTGCTCATACCTCAGCTGATACTCTGGGCAAGGTGTACACCTCTAGCCTGAACTGAGCTCTTGTCCCAACTCTCAGCATCATCATGATGTTAAGCTGCCTCTTTCTTCTGAAGGCACTTCTTGCTCTTGGGTCTCTGGAATCCTGGATAACTGCAGGAGAACATGGTGAGCTATCATTTGGGATCCCTGGCCAACAGTAACAGAAAGTGACTAGAGGAGAGGAGAACTCATCCCCTGCCTTCTCCCAGAGCAAGGTTGCTTGTAAGTGGAGATGATCATCTCTATAGGACAGGACTGGATGAATAGATTCTCAGGATGGCCTGGGTCATTCTTCCTGGCTTTCTTTACCCTCTCTGGACAAGGAGATAGGACTTCCAGTTGGGCTTACTAGAGGTTCTAGCTTTTCCCTAGAACTCATTAAATGAGAACAGGATCATCCCACCCTTTCTCTCTCGTTATCTGCAGGATGGCTGCTCCTTTAGCAGTGGTGGATATATGTTAGTATTTGTGTATGAGGAGGGGAAGGTGGTTGCAGAATTTTTTTTTTTTTTTTGAGATGGAGTCTCACTCTGTCACCCAGGCTGGAGTGCAGTGGCGTGATCTCAGCTCACTGCAAACTCCACCTCCCAGGTTCACGCCATTCTCCTGCCTCAGCCTCCCGAGTAGCTGGGACTACAGGTGCCCGCCGCCACGCCCAGCTAATTTTTTGTATTTTTAGTAGAGATGGGGTTTCACTGTGTTAGCCAGGATGATCTCGATCTCCTGACCTCATGATCCGCCCGCCTCGGCCTCCCAAAGTGCTGGGATTACAGGCATGAGCTATCGTGCCCAGCCAGAATTTTTTTTTTTTTTTAAGAGACAGGGTCTCATTCTGTCACCCAGGCTAGAGTGCAGTGGTGCAGAAATATTTTGGATAGAGATGCCTGGAGGGGCTGAAGGTCCATTCCCCATTTCTGAGGCCTGGCTAGTTACCCCAAACTCAAATAGTATCTTTTGCAGCAAAAGAGGGAGAATGCCCTCCCCATAAGAACCCATGCAAAGAGCTGTGCCAGGGTGATGAATTGTGTCCGGCTGAACAGAAGTGCTGCACCACAGGCTGTGGTCGGATCTGCCGAGACATTCCTAAGGGTATGTTGGCATGAGGGGCAAAATCTGGGCATACTCTCTGACATTGCCTCTGGGATAGATGGAAGTAGAGAGCTTCCCACCTTCTAGGTTGCCTCTGGAAGTCTCCCTTGCCTAGAGTACTTCTTCTTTACTCTTTTAGGGTCCCTCCTCCTTTAATTATTCAGTGCCCCCAGTTGTTTGCCTTCCATCAGGAAAGAGCGCACCATTGATTATCTATGTCTTTTACTTTGGACTCAAAGTTCCTGTGAAGGCTGGAGGGAAGAGTTGTAAAGGGAAGGCTGTGTAAGATAATGATTAAGAGAGTAGACCCTAGAGCCAAGCAGACCTTTTTAAGCCTTAAGCCTTAGCTCTTTATAAATCTTAAGCTTTTAGCCTCAGTTTCCTCATCTATAAAATGGGGATAATTGTGAGGATCAAATAAGATGTTCATGGCACAAGGTAAACGTCAGTAAATGTTACAGTAAATATTTGCTATTACTATTGTTGTTATTATTGTCTCTTTGTCTTAGCACCAGGGTTGAGAGGCTTAAATAAATCTCAGGACTTCCTTTTTCTGTTTTTCCCTTCTGCTGTGCCCGTGGGTGTTGCCAGGCACTATTTTCTCTCTCTCTCTCTCTTTTTTTTTTGAGACGGAGTTTCGCTCTTGTTGCTCAGACTAGAATGCAGTGGCGTGATCTCGGCTCACCGCAACCTCTGCCTCCCGGGTTCAAGTGATTCTCCTGCCTCAGCCTCCCAAGTAGCTGGGATTTACAGGCATGTGCCACCACCCCCGACTAATTTTGTATTTTTAGTAGAGATGGGGTTTCTCCATGTTGGCCAGGCTGTTCTCGAACTCCCTACCTCAGGTGATCCACCCGCCTTGGCCTCCCAAAGTGCTGGGATTACAGGTGTGAGCCATGGCGCTCGGCCTATTTTCTCTTTTCTTTGCTGTCTCCCTTTTTGCTACAGGGAGGAAAAGAGATTGCCCTAGGGTTATTCGGAAACAATCCTGTTTGAAAAGGTGCATCACTGATGAGACATGTCCAGGTGTAAAGAAATGCTGCACGCTTGGCTGCAACAAGAGCTGTGTAGTCCCAATCTCTAAACAGAAGCTGGGTAAGAAACGCTGTCCCCACACCTCATGGTCTGTTTGGTCTGCTTGTTTATTTCTCAAATATGCACATATCAGCTTGTTGGTTTTACTTTGCTGCTATATTCTAAGACCTTAAAAAAAAAAGATATACAAAGGGTGCACAAGCCATAATCATTTGTGGTATGTAGCCTGGGCAGGCAGAGGGAGGGTGCCAGAAGGGCAGCCTCAACTTACCCTCATTTGCAGACTGCTTTGAAAACGGTTGAGTAGCCAGGTGTGGTGGCTCATGCCTGGAATCCCAGCACTTTGGGAGGCCAAGGCGGGCGGATCACGAGGTCAGGAGATCGAGACCATCCTGGCTAACACGGCGAAACTCCGTCTCTACTAAAAATACAAAAAAAGTAGCCGGGCGTGGTGGCGGGTGCCTGTAGTCCCAGCTACTTAGGAGGCTGAAGCAGGAGAATGGCGTGAACCCAGAAGGCGGAGCTTGCAGTGGGCCGAGATTATGCCACTGCACTCCAGCCTGGGTGACAGAGCGAGACTCTGTCTCAAAAAAAAAAAAAAAAAAAAAAAAAAGAAAAAAGAAAACCACTGGGTAATTCCCAGTTCCCATAATCAGTTGCAATATTCTCTGTTAAAAAATCTTATCCTGAGAATCTGCAGAGACAGAAAAAAAAAAAAGAATCTTGATGCCTATGGAAGGTGGCACACATTTCCCCACTCATTTGCTCCCGAGATTCTTTTTTTTTTTTTTTTTTTTTTTTTGAGAGAGAGTCTTGCTCTGTCTCCCAGGCTAGAGTGCAGTGGTGTGATCTTGGCTCACTGCAACCTCTGCCTCCCAGGTTCAAGCAATTCTCCTGCCTCAGCCTCCCTATTATCTGGGACTACAGGCATGTGCCACCACACCCGGCTAATTTTTTGTATTTTTAGTAGAGACGGGTTTTCGTCATGTTAGCCAGGATGGTCTCAATCTCCTGACCTCGTGATCCACCCACCTCAGCCTCCCAAAGTACTGGGATTACAGGCGTGAGCCACCATGCCTGGCCTGCTCCTGAGATTCTTATGTTCCCTATGTACACACACGGCGGGGCTGTCTCCTGTGGGAAACAGATTCTTTTTCATTCTGGTCCTGGTAGAGAGGTATTTGAAAGAGATTCATTCTCCCTTTTGCAGAGTCCCAGTGACCTAATTATCCATTTATGCATTCATTTCTTCAACAAGTATTTATTGAATGTGTACTGTTTGCGAGATCCAGTGACGGGCTCCTGGTATATTGTGGAAAATACGGTAGATCCCATGCCCGCTTTCATGGAGCTCATAGTCTCATGGCAGAGAAAGAGGTTTAACAAATAAGCATGTAAATAAATATATAATTTCAAACTCTGATAAGGACAGGGAAGGAAAATTAAAGGGTGCTGAGAGACAGAGTAAAGCGGAGAACTCACTTTTATTTTTGTTTTTATTTTTTTGACAGTCTTGCTCTGTTGCTCAGGCTGGAGTGCAGTGGCACGATCTTGTTTCACTACAACCTCCACCTACCTTCTGGGCTCAAGCAATTCTCCTGCCTCAGCCTCCCGAGTAGCTGGGATTACAGGCACATGCCACCCCACCTGGCTAATTTTTGTATTTTTAGGAGAGATGGGGTCTCACCATGTTGGCTGGGTTGGTCTCACACTCCTGGCCTCAAGTGATCCACCTGCCTTGGCCTCCCAAGGGCTGGCGTGAGCCACCGTGCCCGGCTGAGAACTCACATTGGTTTGGGTGGTTGAGGATGGCATGTGTGGAGTGACATTTAAGCTGCAACCTGGAGAGCGATTTGAAGTTAGCCAGGTGAAGGGTGCGATGGACATTCCAGGGAGAGAGAGAAGCACACACAGAGGCCTTAAGATGACTAGGAGCTTGCCACATTTGAGAAATGGAAAGAAAGCTAGTACGGTTAGAGTAGAAATGGGAGGGAGAGAATGAAGGCAGATGAGGATGTAGACCCGTGAGACTAGGGAGGTAGCAGCGGGGATGGAGAAAGGTGACATAGTTGAGAAAATTTGGAGGTAGAAGTGACAGGGCTCTCTGCTCTATTCCTTCTCCATTCCCTTGAGAGGCCCCTAAAACATATTAGAAATTGATGGCATGTCTTCTATGTCTAACCCCTTCCTATTTTCCTCTTGTTTCACGATTTTCATGGCTACTTTTGCTTATTTGTGCTTCCAAATATATTTTATTATAATATTATCTATTTTTCTTCCATCATTCCCAAATACCAAGACTACGTTCACTGGAGTGATGTTAGATATATAAATTAAATTAGCTTAAGGAGAACTGCTGTTATTATAATGTTGAATCTTTTTTTTTTCTTACCCTGTTTTATGGTACTGAAATGTTCTTTTTTTTTTTTTTTTTTGAGACAGGCTGTCGCCCAGGCAGGAGTACAGTGGCGTGATCTTGGCTCACTGCAACCTCTGCTCCCACATTCAAGTCATTCTTGTGCGTCAGCCTCCTGAGTAGCTGGGATTGCAGGCGTGTGCCACCATGCTCAGCTAATTTTTGTATTTTTAGAAGAGATGGGGTTTTGCCATGTTGGTCAGGCTGATCTCGAACTCCTGACCTCAGGTGATCTGCCCACCTTGGCTCCCAAAATGCTGGGATTACAGGCATGAGCCACTGTGCCTGGCCTATGTTGAATCCTATGCCTTCCCTGTTGATCAAGTGTATTTTGCATATTTCAGGGTGTTTTATAGTGTTAAAATATTTCTCCATAAATTTATGCCTAGGTATTTTATTTTCTTCTCTGCTGTTTTGAATATTTCTCATTATGTTTTCTAAAGGAACTGGAATCATTCTCTTATCTGAGTGCATGTGGTGGATGTTAGAGTGGAAAATCCTAGGTTTGGGTTGTCGGAGTCCTGGGTTCAAGCCTGAGGTTTGCCAGTTACTGGCCAGCAGGTCCCTGGGCAAGTAATTTTGAGCCTTAGTTCCCTTCTCTGTAAGGTGGGAAGAATAAACCTCGAAGGCTTGTTGTAATTATTCAAATTATGTAAAGTGTTTTGCCCTCAGTATATATTAACTTCCTTCCTCTTGCCTCCTAAGTGGCCTGGGTCAGAAGTACAATTTCTTTTTTTTGAGACTGAGTTTCGCTATTGTTGCCCAGGCTGGAGTGCAGTGGTGCAGTCTCGGCTCACTGCAATCTCCACCTCCCAGGTTCAAGCGATTCTCCTGCCTCAGCCTCCCAAGTAGCTGGGATTATAGGCATGTGCCACTATGCTCAGCTAATTTTTTGTATTTAGTAGAGACGGCTTTTCAGCATGTTGGTCAGGCTGGTCTCAAACTCCTGACTTCAGGTGATCCACCGGCCTTGGCCTCCCAAAGTGCTGGGATTACAGGTGTGAGCCACCATGCCCAGCAGGAGTACAATTTCTCACCAGCCCCTTTATTCAAAACCAGGATGGTTTTCTTCTTCCCTGATCACTTCCTCTCAGAACCTGAAGCCCTGTAACATGTGACAACCTTTTTCCTTCCAGTCAAACCTCTCCAGGTAGGAGGCCCCTTGCTGGTACCCATTGGGTCTGTCTGTGCCCGGCTTAGGCAGCTATCTTGGGCAGCCTGCCCATTAGAGAGAATGGAAGGTTGTTCTCCTTGCCAGGACTCTTGAGGCCCAGCTCTGGAACCAGCCTGGGAATCTGTCTCAGGCAGGTCACTGACTGCTGGCATGTAGGGCTTGGTACAATCTTCCCAGTGTTTGAAGCTGAGGGCTGAATTGTAGGGGCTAAGGGCGAGGCTGGCACCCAGGCACAGTACCTTTGTGAGCTGCTCTGGCCCCTGGCCAGCCCAGATAGGGCTTCCTTTTCCACTGGAGCTTGGCAGGCAGGCTAGAATAGTGATCTCCCGCAGATGTCCCAGAGCCTGCTGGGCTGAGCGGGGTTCCTAGCCTGGTGGGAGGTGATACTGGCTACTGCATTGGTAGTTAACTACTTTTGTATAGCTCCAGCCCTAGGGGAGGGCTAGGCTACTCACCCAACAGGACTGGTTGCTATACCCAACTCTACAGGAAGCTCTCCTTCCAGGGCTATGAAAAATTTCGCTTTCCTTAAGCTCTGACATTGCCAGAGGTTTACCATAGCCAGCGCTGGTCTGTTTGGCAAAGTGGAGGTTCAGTCAGGTTGCCTGAGGGCAAGGGCAGACATTGGGTCCTGCTCTCATGACACTGTTCTAGTCTGAACATGGGTCTGAATCCTGGCTCTTCTGCTTGCTTGCTGTGTGGCCTTGGGCAAGTCCCTTCATTTCTCTGAATCTCACTTTTATTATCTGTAAAATGGGGATAAGGATGTTTAGCTCCCAGAGTGATAATGCAGTTGAGAAGAAATGCATTTTATTTATTTATTTATCTGGGACAAGGTCTCACTCTATCACCCAGGCTGGAGTGCAGTGGTGTGATCTCAGCCCACTGCAGCCTCAACCTCCTGGGCTCAGGTGATCCTTCTGCCTTAGTTCCCTGAGAAACTGGGACTACAGGCACAAACCACTGTGTCCGGCCAGAAATGCATTTAAAAAAGTCTGCAGTAAACCTGCCAGATAATGCTCAAGAGAGCTCATATGGTCATGCCAAGTACCTCTGTGTTCTGGTCCGCCCCTTCTCTGCCTCCCCACCTATCTGATGCCTGACCTATCCGTTTACTCACCCACTTATTCATGTATTCACTGTATATTGAGTGTGGCTACCCTACCTGGCATGTGGGTCTGCAGTGGTGAGGAAGGCAGCCGTGGTCCTTGCCACCCTGGGGCTTGCTCATATAGTGTGACAGACAGGAAATAATCAAGAAAACAAATACATAATAACCCCAAGATGATGATGAGTCATGAGTGCTTTGAAGGTAAAGGAAGAAGAGAGAAGGAGGCTGCTTTCATTTGAGGTTGGAGAGGTAGGCAGGGCCCAGACTTTCGGGGGTCTTCAGGGCTTCTCTCTTAGGCTTTATTCTAAGTGCAATAGGAAGCCTTTGAGGGGGTTTAAAAGCAGGAGAGGCCTTGTCCAGTTTTCATTTTAAAAAGACCACTCTGCCAGTATATGAAGAATGGATGGGGGCAAGTGTAGAAGATGGAAGACCAGTTAGGAGGCTATTGTGGCAGGCTGGGAGAGATGATCGGGGCTTAGACTGGGTTGGAGATACTGCAGACATAGAAAAATGGAAGGCGGCCGAACGCAGTGGCTGATGCCTGTAATCCCAGCACTTTGGGAGGCCAATGCGGGCAGATCACGAGGTCAGGAGTTTGAGACCAGCCTGGCCAACATGGTGAAACCCCATCTCTACTAAAAATACAAAAATTAGCCGGGCATGATGGTGGGCGTCTGTAATCCCAGCTACTCGGGAGGCTGAGGCAGGAGAATCGCTTGAACCTAGGAGGTGGAGGTTGCAGAGAGCCGAGATCGCACCACTGCACTCCAGCCTGGGCAACAAGAGCGAAACTCCATCTCAAAAAAAAGAAAAAAAAAATCCAAAACAAAAAAGCCCCCAAAAAACCAATAACAATGAAAAAGAAAAATGGAAGGCTTACATGTTTGTGAAGGTAGAATTAATGGGACTGGGTGAACAAGTAAGTGGCTGCAGGCATTGAGGGAGACGGGGTATCAAGAAGGGTGGTAGATATTCAGCTTGAGCAGTTGGGTGATGGTGGTGTTCTTTACTGAGACAGGGACAACCTGGGGGAAGAGGTTTTGGAGTGAAGATTCTGATTCTGGCCTGACAGTTGTCTTCTTGGGCCTCCTCATGGCTCACCTCCCCACTGTATGAAACCTGACCACTCCAGATCCCCTGTGACCCTCTGTTTTGCTTATTAACATATATGTATTATCTTTTACGTGGGCTGATGGCATGGCCTCCCTGGGTGTCTGGCTGACCCTTTTCTAAAACCTCACTGCAGGTTGTACAGAAAAGAGTTAACATAACAAGCCTGAGACCGCTCTTCTTAAAAAGGCTTGCTGGCAAGGCTGGGCCTTGGCTGGCTTCTGGGAACTTGGATTTTGTGGGTATTTGTACTACTCTAACTGATAAGAGTGGTTCACTGTGCCTAAACTGTTTGTGTAAACATTGTGGTTTAGGCTGAACATCTGCTTTCCTTCTGAGAGTCTGGAATCTTGGTACGTGCTAGGCAGAGGGTGCCTAAGTGACCAGCCCCCAGTAGAGAACTTTCACAGTGAGTGTCTAATGAGTTTCCCTGGTAGAAAACACTTCACACATGTCATAATTCCATGCTGGAAGAATTAAGTGCATCCTGTGACTCTACCGGGAGGACTCTTGAAAATCAGCACCTGATTTCCTCTGGACTTTTCCCTTTGATGATTTTTCTTTGTATCCTTTTGCTGTAATAAATCATAGCCATGGGTATGACTATACGCTGAGTCCTGCTAATGAATCACTGAACCTGGAAGTAAGTGGTCTTGAGGACTGCCTACACACTGGTGGATAACTTTTCCTAACCTCTAAAACTATCTACCACTGGATCTTCTCTTTTGGTGGAACTGGGCAGAGTGAGTCCCAGTGCTTCTTGGTTTTTGTGTGATCCTTGCTGCAGTGTAGGGGATCATGATGATGTGTGTGTGTGTGTGTCTATGTGTGTGTTTGAGATGGAGTCTCGCTCTGTCACCCAGGATGGAGTGCAGTGGTGTGATCTCGGCTCACTGCAACCTCTGCCTCCCAGGTTCAAGCAATTCTCCTGCCTCAGCCTCCCCAGTAGCTGGGATTACAGGCACCCATCACCACACCCGGCTTTTTTTTTTTTTTTTTGTATTTTTAGTAGAGACAGGGTTTCAACATGTTGGCCAGATTGGTTTTGAACTCCTGACCTCAAGTGTTTCACCCACCTTGGCCTCCCAAAGTGCTGGGATTACAGGCATGAGCCACTGAGCCAGGCCCATGATGTGGTTTAAAGGGCATGAGACCTTATATCAGAGCTGGGGATTTGTGACTCAGTTCTGCTACCATTGACCTCAGGCCAATCCCTCTCTCTAGTTGTCTGTCTCTCTATTTACAAGAGAAGGGGAGTAAGTTTGTTAGCTCAGAGGGCCCTTCTTGGGTTAAGAAGTGCTGAAATTTTACTTTTCCAACAACAACTGGCATCTTTCTCTCAGACATAGTGGCAGGTTGGAGCTGAGGCAGCAGGACAGACTGTGAGTGAGTATTTCCTGGGCTTCAGCTTCACTCCTTTTTTGGTGATAGCTTAGAGTCTTGGGATGGGTGCTGATAGAGGGTGGGGAACCGTCATCCCCATTCTGGCTACTGTTCCTATTTCTCTTCCTGATTCCTGGTAAGCTAATTGTGAGGTGATTAGGGAGCATGTCTTATGAGGAACTGACCTTACCTAGCATGGCAAAGCCAGGATCGTGAAAGACAGAGGATCCTGCCTGAAAGAATGGCATCCGCCAGGTTTTTGTAAGGTCTCTGGGGATAGGAAAAGGCCCAGCCAGATTTCAGGTCAGTATAAAGAGGTACAAAGGGCCAGGCATGGTAACTCATGCCTGTGACGTCAGCACTTTGGGAGGCTGAGGCGGGAGGATTGCTTGAGGCCAGAAGGTCAAAACAAGCCTAGTCAACATAGTGAGACCCTGTCTCTATAAAAAATAAAAATAATTAGCTGGGCCTGGTAGTGTGTGCCTATAGTTCAGCTACTCAGGAGGCTGAGGTTGGAGGATTGCTTGAGCCCAGGAGTTCAAGAGTTTGAGGCTGCAGTAAGCCACCATTGCGGCACTGCACCCCAGCCTGGGTGACAAAGCGAGACCCTGTCTCAAAAAAAAAAAAAAAAAAAAAAAGGTATAAAGGCTGTCTAGCTTAAGTAGGATAGCATAATCTGGCTTGGAGGTAGTGAGGCCCCATTAATTCCAGGTGTTAGAGCTGAGAGAAAGGGATCACGTGGCAGGGATTCATATAAGGCAGGGTGTCAGACTGGGTGGCATTGCTGGGCACTGGTCAAAAGCGAGGTGCTGTGACCCTCTGGGCCTCCAGGAAGCCTGGCCTGGAAAAGGGTAGAGGTAAGTGCTCCATGCCTGGTCTTGAGGACGAGGGCAGAGAGTAGCAGAGAGCTCCTGGCATTGGTCATCTCAAGGTCAAGCTCAGCAAAATGGTGAAATCTGGGACGTATGGCACTCCCAGTTTCTAGGGCACATGGCATAATTTTATGAGATGTTTATGTCACCGGGTTTTTCCACCAGGGAGATTTTTACTCCCAGCCTTCTCAGCTGTGAGATAGAAGGCTTTTGTTCCTTGTTAAATGGATTTCAGTGTTTGTCAAGCAGGTGGGGAGGTGCAGGGAGATGCATTTGGTGGTTACAGTGACCACATTTTCTGAGTCAAAAATCAGGACACATAGTTTTGATGTGATCTCACAGTAGCACAGGATATTTGAAATAGGGGCTGTTCAGGAAAATCTCAGGATACAGGGTTACTACGCCTGGGTTGTTTAGCTGCATGTATTCTCCTTGGATTCCAATACTTGCTTTTTCCATCATGGCAGACTTCCCAGAGCCAGCTGTATGCAATCATACTTACCTGTTCCTACTCAGAGGCACTGGGCCAGTCTTGCTTTGGTTTTCTGCGAAATCTTTAATTGCCTGTCACCTTTCTCTTTACTTAAGAAGCTTGAAATAAACACTAAGATGAATGAGTCATGGTGAATTGGTTTGGTTTGGATGTGGCCTTCTTTGGGTGTGCCTGCGCCTGGGGCCCTGGCCAGTTGCCTGCATGTTTTAAGGATAGTGTAGTAGAAAAAGTACTTTACCGCAAATCAAGAGGCTGAGTGTTGTCCTGCCTTGCTGCTGACTCACTCTGTAGTTCTGGGCAAGATTCTTCTCTGAGTTTATTTTCATAGGAAATGTGTTTGGCTGCACACAACAGAAAATTAATCATATAGGGGTTTGTTTTTCTCATATAACAAGAATTCCTGAGGCTGGGATGGTGGCTCCATGATGCTAACAAGGATGAAACTATTTCCCTCTTTCTCCTTTGCAATTCTTTTTTTTTTTTTACATTTACATTTTATTATTTATTTATTTTAAAAGACGATGGTTAGATGCCACAAAGTAGGTGGCAATGCTTGAACCATATGCATGTTGTCAGGCCCAAAGGCCTCTTCCATCCTTGTCGAGGGGAGTGCTAACCTTCTCTCCTTTCATACAACACCTCTTTGCAATTCTTGACCATTTCGTTATGCTGAGTTGCCTCCTCATTGAAAGAAGGCTACTCTGCCTCTCTGTGTAATGTCTATCTTTGGACTGGAAGAAGAAAGAAGTGAGGGAGCAGTTTGAAAGGGGTATTCCCTGTGTCAGGAATACAAAAGTTTCCCAGTTTATGTCCTAGTTTGTGGTCACCCCTTGTTGCAAGAGAGTATGGGGAAACAAATCATTTTAGCTGGACCTGTTGCCTCTCAGAATAAACTTGGTATCCAGTATCTATTGCTGCATAAGAAACCATCTCCAAACTTCATGACTTAAAGCAATATAGTTACTCTTTCTCACAGTTGTGTAGGTTGCCTGAGCTTGGCTGGGCAGTTCATATACCCACATGATGTAGCTGTGGTCATTCATTTAGCTGCATTCATCTGGGAGCTTAGCAGGGAGCTCAACTGGAGCCACAACGTCCAGGATGACCTCTCTTCTAGGTTCTGTCTCCATGGGGCATCTCATCATCCCATAGCGTAGTTCAAGCTGCTTTATAGCATGGCGGCTGGTTTCCAAGAGGAAGTATTCTGAGTGGACAAGCCCCAGTATGCTAGTGCTTATCAAGGCTCTGCTTACATTACATTTGCTAATGTCCCATTGGTCAAAGCAAGTCAGATGGTCAAACCCAGAGTAGGTATGGAAGGGGACTACAAAAGGGCCTGAATCCCAGGAGGTAAAGTTCACTGGAGGCCACCATTGTAAATGTCTGCCACAGGGAGAATTCAGGGAGAATGTTGGCCACAGTGGGTTAGACCTGAACAGTGTTTTTCAAACTGTGAGTCCTGAAAGCAATTTAGTAATTAGGAAAAATAAGAACTAGAATATAAAATATCAGGGTGGGCTGGGTGGGGGGGCTCACGCCTGTAATCCTGGCACTTTGGGAGGCTCAGGCGGGAGGATCACTTGAGCCAGGAGTTTGATATCAGCCTAGGGAACATAGTGAGACTCTGTCTCTACAAAATAAATAAATAAAATTACCCAGGCCTGGTGGCTTGTGCCTCTAGTCCCAGGTACTCAGGAGGCTGTGGTGGGAGGATCCCTTGAGCACAGGAGTTTCAGGCTGCAATGAGCTATGATTGTGCCACTGTACTTTAGCCTGGGTGATACAGTGAGACCCTGTCTCTACAAAATAAATAAATAAATAAGCCAGGCATGATGGCATGTGCCTGTAGTTCTAGCCACTCAGGAGGCTGAGGTGGGAGGATCCCTTGAATGCAGGAGTTTGAGGCTGCAGTGAGCTATGATTATGCCACTGCACTTTGGCCTGGGCAACACAGTGAGACCCTGTCTTAAAAAAAATCAGATGTATTGCAGATACATGATACACATAAATATTTACATTATATATGTATATAAATATATAACTATATATAAACATACACATGGGACACAATGAAAAATGTGTT
Organism: Homo sapiens; assembly: GCF_000001405.40. Classification (NCBI taxonomy): domain Eukaryota; kingdom Metazoa; phylum Chordata; class Mammalia; order Primates; family Hominidae; genus Homo; species Homo sapiens. The sequence goes on along the minus strand of NC_000020.11, from coordinate 45,777,253 downwards.
TCATATTGTGAGCGTCTCTGGGCTCCAATGCTTTGATTATGTAGCAGAGTTTGGTGGTGAATGTCCCGCTGACCCCCTTCCGTGTGAGGAGCTGTGTGATGGGGATGCATCCTGTCCCCAGGGGCATAAATGCTGCAGCACCGGCTGTGGCCGCACCTGCCTCGGAGACATTGAGGGAGGTATGTTGGCTCTTTTGGGAAGAAATCCTTGAGTGTTTCCTGAGAAGAGTGCTTCTCTTTCCCTTCCTGGGAGGAGCTAGGATTCTCATCCTTCCTGTCCCTCTGGTCCCCCAACCCAAAGCAACCCATTCTTCTAGGGCCGAGGGGCCCTGTCGACATTAAAAGAACTGGGGGAAGGCACTGTGGGGCAGTAGGAACTACTTGGGCTGGAAGACAGACAGTGTGGCTTTTGGTCTTGATTCTGCTGAGGTTTTGCTTTGTGACCTTAGGTAAGCAAACCCGTCTTTTTGAGCCCAAATTTCTTTATCTGTAAAATGAAGGAGTTGCCCAAGATCCTGATTTTCAGATCTAATTTTTAACAAAAAGCTTCTCCCCTGCCCCAAATGAAATCTTAGTTGGAAACACACACACACATATATATATATATATATATATATATTTTTTTTTTTTTTCTTTTTTTTCTTTTTTTTTTTTTTTGAGACAGAGTCTTGGTCTGTACCCCAGGCTAGAGTGTAGTGGCGTGATCTTGGCTCACTGAAACCTCTGCCTCTGGGGTTTCTTCTGCCTCAGCCTCCTGAGTAGCTGGGATTACAGGCACACGCCACCATGCCCAGCTAATTTTTGTATTTTTAGTAGAGATGGGTTTTCATCATGTTGACCAGGCTGGTCTTGAACTCCTGACCTCGTGATCTGCCTGTCTCGGCCTCCCAAAGTGCTGGAATTACAGGCGTGAGCCACCACGCCCAGCTGGAAACACACACACACACACACACACACACACACACACACACACACAGAGATAAAAGCATTCCTGTTCCAATGCCTTTTTTTCTTCAACATTTTAAAAAAACAAATATTTTTGAGTGCCAGGCACTGTGGATCTCCATTAAAGAATCATTGACCCTTGTGCTATCTTAGTCCCTTTAGATTCCCAGGCAGTGCTCAAGGCTGAGGACAGACTCTTGTCCGTATGTAGCTTATAGCCCATCAGGCAAGATAGACATATTCCTTTTAAATAAGGGATTATGATAAAGTTTGATGAGAGGAAGCATACAGGGTGCTACAGGAGCACAAAGCAGGGACATCAAACCTTGTCTAGGGTGGCAGAGGAGGCCACCGTGAAGAAGTGACACTATGAATCCAGAGCATAGGGGGAGGGGGAGTGGTCTGGGAGGCTTGCCCCTGCCACACTTCACCCACCCCCACCCCAAACCTGCAGAGGTGTCAATCCCTGAGTTACCTCTTGGGAACTCCCTTTGGGGCACCATTTGAAAACTCTGGGCTCAGAGGTCTCTTGGGTTCCTAAAGATTCTGAGATCCTCCAGCGCCATGGTTTCCCAGCCAGTTTAGTTGGGTCTAGTGAGGGTCAGGGGTTGATTGACCTAGAGCCTCTGTGTGTAAGTTCACGATGGGAACATGGAGATGGCAGAGCTGATGCCCTGTCCCTTTTCCTGTGCCTGTTGTTCCCACAGGGCGGGGCGGTGATTGTCCAAAAGTTCTGGTGGGCCTGTGCATTGTTGGCTGTGTGATGGATGAGAATTGTCAAGCTGGAGAAAAATGTTGCAAGTCAGGCTGTGGCCGCTTCTGTGTCCCACCAGTCCTGCCCCCAAAACTGACCATGAACCCCAACTGGACTGTGAGGTCTGATTCCGAATTAGGTGAGTACAGTCCATTGTCATCAACAATAACAGACAACTGCTATGTGCAAAGCACTGGCTTAGGTGCTGGGAAGGGGACTTCAGAAGGTCAGGAAAAGTCTAGTTGGAGAGAAAGAACCTATGTCCCAGATGAAAACCCTCATACAAACAGTACAGGCTTACACCTGTTCTCAGGTGTGGCAAACCTGTGTCCCAGATGAGAACCCTCATATAAACAGTACAGGCTTACACCTGTTCCCAGGTGTGGCTCCCTGGGAAGGTCTCTGTGGGAGAGGTGGGATTTGATTGAGGTGCTTAAGGCTAGGCAGATGCGACAAAGGGAGGATAGCACAGGGACATGCCAGATAGGCAATCTGGTGATTGCTGGCAAAGGAACACAGGGTGGGAATGTGTGGGATATGTTTGGGAGGTGAGGAGTGGGGGCAGGGTGGGTAAAGGAACAGACGTATCTCCAGTTTTTTTTTTTTTTTTTTTGAGATGGAGTTTCACTCTTGTCACCCAGGCTGGAGTGCAATGGCACAATCTCGACTCACTGCAACCTCTGCCTCCTGGATTCAAGCAATTCTCCTGCCTCAGCCTCCCAAGGCTGGGATTTACAGGCGCCTGCCATCATACCTAGCTGATTTTTGTATTTTTAGTAGAGACAGTGTTTCACCATGTTGGCCAGGTCTGGTCTCGAGCTCCTGATCTCAGGTTATCCACCCACCTTGGCCTCCCAAAGTGCTGGGATTACAGGCATGAGCCACTGTGCCCGACCATAATTCCAGTTTTTTATAACAGGAGATACAAGGTTGACATCTGAATAATAAGAGCCTTCAGTGCCAGTTTGGATTGGATTGTCTGGGAAGCAAGGAGCTATTTAAGACTTTTGAGAGCAATATAGGCCAAGCTTTCCTAGGGTGGAGGGAAAACATTTCAGGTAGCTGAAGCCAGGAGGGCACAGCTGTGACTTGATGTTTCTTCTACTTGCAGAGATCCCGGTGCCCTAGCTGTGCTGATTTGTCTGGAGCTTCTTTGGTAATTCTGGAAGCTTTTCCTGGCAGTCAAGAGAGGGTGACATCCTGGGGCTTGTGACATTTCCAGGGGCACTCATGGCCCTCTCTGCTCTGCTTCTCCTCCTGCCGCTGACCAGAGCATGGGAAATAGCCCTGGATTGGGTAGTGGGTGTGTGGTGCTTCTCTTTCCCGATAAAGGCTGGTGCTGACCTCTTGTTTGTGCTATTTGAGGGCTCAGATGATATGGGAGAGCTAGAGGGTATGTGTGTGCCTGTGGGATTGTACGATTTACATATTTAGGACAGATGGGTAATCCATTCTTTGTGAGGACACTGAAAATGGGTTTTGGTTGGGTGTGGCTAGGGAAGAGATGGGTGGAAACTAAACTGAGAGTGACTTGCCATAGATGTCTTTCTCAAGCCCTGGTGGGGGTGGAGGTCAGTCTCTTTTAGACCTGCTGACCTTCTTTCTTTTATTGGAGAATGTGGGTTGAGGGTGGAAACTAAACTGAGAGTGACTTGCCATAGATGTCTTTCTCAAGCCCTGGTGGGGGTGGAGGTCAGTCTCTTTTAGACCTGCTGACCTTCTTTCTTTTATTGGAGAATGTGGGTTGAGGGTGGAACAAGGGTGAGTGGCTAGTTTTTTTTTTTTTTTGAGATGTAGTCTCACTCTGTTGCCCAGGCTGGAGTGCAGTGGCGCAATCTTGGCTCACTGCAACCTCTGCCTCTCAGGTTCAAGTGATTCTCCTGCCTCAGTCTCCCGAGTAGCTGGGACTACAGGCGCGCTACCATGCCTGACTAATTTTTGTATTTTTAGTAGAGACGGGGTTTCACCATGATGGCCAGGCTTATCTTGAACTCCTGACCTCAGGTGATCTGCCTGCCTTGGCCTCCCAAAGTGCTGGGATTACAGGCGTCAGCCACTGTGCCCAGCCGAGTGGCTAGTTTCTTATAGATGTTGGAATGTTCCCACCTTGGACCTCCTTCCTTGAGGGCCAGCCCTTGGCTCCAAGACAGGCAGTTTGTCCCCTCCAGGTAGCTTTATTTTAGGGAGGGGATATCCCTAGGTTCTTGGGACCAAGATAATTTTTTAAAGTTATGTTTTTTATTTATATGAAATGGATTATATTGTGTATCTTGGAGATCTTTCATGTCATCACGTATATTCTTTTAATAGAACTCTATGAAATGGGTAATTTATTTAACTAGTTATCTTTTTTTTTTTTTGAGACGAAATCTTGCTCTGTCGCCTAGGCTGGAGTGCAGTGGCACGATCTCCGCTCACTGCAACCTCCGCCTCCTGGGCTCAAGCAATTCTCTTACCTCAGCCTTCTGAGTAGCTGTGCCTTTGACTGTTTTAGTAGAAACCCTGTCTCTACTAAAAATACAAAAATTAGCCGGGTGTGGTGGTGTGATGATATAATGATTTTTAAAAAAACTATGTGCATGTATTCGAGTTTTTAAATAAACAACAAAATGATAAAACAGTGGAAGAGGGATCTGCCAAAATGTTCAGCAGCCCATCACACAGACACTGGCCCTTCCCAGTTCCCTGCAACATGATCCTGGAGTCATGGATGTTTCTGGGTTGGCCACTGCGAGGTTCATGCCAGCCACTCTTTTTCAGATCAGGCAACATTGACATGTCTACTGTACTGAAAAGAGATAAATGTTCTGAACCAGGTAGAAACCAGAATTTCACATGCCAGGATGAAAACAAGGGGGAGAAGGCACAGACACTCAGCAGTGGTCGGGTGCAGTGGCTCACGCCTGTAATCCCAACATTTTCGGAGGCCAAGGCAGGCAGATCACTTGAGGTCAGGAGTTCAAGACCAGCCTGACCAACATGGTGAAACCCCGTCTCTACTAAAAATACAAAAATTAGCCAGGCTTGGTGGTGCACGCCTGTAATCCCAGCTACTCAGGAGGCTGAGGCAGGAGAATTGCTTGAACCTGGGAGGTGGAAGTTCCAAGTGAGCCGAGATCCTGCCATTGCACTCCAGCCCGGGCGACAAGAGCGAAACTCCATCTCAAAAAAAAAAAAAAAAAAAAAAATCATCAGTATGGTAGAACTTTCAATGAAAAACAACAGTCTGGGAATCCTCTCATATTGCAGAATGATGTTCTGTCAGGGTGGAGAGTGGGACTGGAGAGACAGGTGTGAGCCCCAGGCACAGCTCAGGCTGAGCAATGGGAGAGCTGCTCCTTGCAGACCTTTCCTCCTCGTCTGGAGGCTCACCCTTTCCAGAGGGAGCTGCTGACCTGCTTACAGGTAGCAACGTCGAGAGAGATAGAGAGATAGATAGATGTATAGAGAGATAGAGATGGAGATGAGAGAGAGATAGAGATGAGAGAGAGTGCTGAAGGGTTAAATTTGAAAGCTGGCGGTTAAAGGCTGAGCTGGGGCCAAATTCCCACCCCCAGGTCTTTCTGGGCAGCTTTCTCTACTGTTGGACCCTGAACTAAAGAAGCCATTAGAACCTTTCCTTCCTCAGGGTTTAAGTCCATTTCAGCCTTGGTCCTGGGGTGGAAATGACCCAGGAGCAGGTCTCAGTGGACCGTGATCCTACTCTCTCACCTTGCACCCCGAAATTAGCCTCTGACCAGGTTGAAAAGCCACCCTTCTCCCCCGCCCTGCTCCTCAGCTTCCTCATCGTGGGCAGGAATGTCTGGGGCTCCAGTGTAGGCTGAGAAAGACTTGTTCTTTGACCAGAACCACGCAGCTCCTCCCTTCTCCACCCTGCTTCTTGACCATCTGGTTGTAGAAATCTCAGACTCCATATGTGCCCTTGGCCCCAGCAATACCATGGGCCCCTGCAGCCTCCACTGCTCCCGTGGGGGCATGATGTTATTGGTAAGGCGTGTAAGTGGGGTGAGGAAGGCAGGAGGCCCAGAGCGTATCCTGGCAGTGGGTTGCTCTTGAGTTGGGAGAGGTGTCTTTCCTTTCATATACAAGTTAAGCCTTCTCCTCAAGGGATTGTGTGGAGAAGCCCAGCTTCCCACAGATTCAGCAATATAAACAAAGAAGAGGCCATGTGACTGGAAAGAATTCTTTGCTGGGTGCTTCATGCTCTGCCCACCAGAGGGCAGCAGAGGTCTGTCATAGACCATTTCCAGGCAAGAGACTCAAAAGGGCAAAAGGGCATTCTAAAAGATAAAGTGAAAGCTTGCTATCAGCTGTCTAAGCTCCTGGATCCCGACTGAACTGCACTTAATAAATTAAGACCTAACATTATGCCCTCTGTTTTCATATGATGTGGCATGCTGCTTCATTTCTGGTAACATTGATATGGGGGACATTACCCACTATGTCGTATTAGTGTTTCTTGTACAAAGCCACAGGGTCAAATTCCCTGTGGAGCTCAAGATCAAGAAAAAGTTTCTCCCTCTGAGTTAGTGTGAGAATGGGCAGGGAAATAACTTACTGGGCATCGTCTGTCTTTCCAGACTCTGTGGTAGGGGCTTTCTAGAGCTGATGTTTCCATCTTCGCATTGGCTACCAGGGTGCCAAGAGCTCAGGTTTCGGAGTAAGGCCTGGGTCTGAATCTATAATCTTGTGCTGCTTATCAGCTTTGTGTGTATAATAACATTACCACACTGCCTACCTCATAGAATTGGTGTGAAGAGTCCATTATAAAGAAAGCACTGGCCAGGTGCAGTGGCTCACACCTGTAATCCCAGCACTTTGGGAGGCCGAGGTGGGTCGACCACCTGAGGCCAGGAGTTTGAGACCACCCTGGCCAACATGGTGAAACCTCGTCTCTACTAAAAATACAAAAATTAGCTGGGCATGGTGGTGGACGCCTGTAGTCCCAGCTACTCGGGAGGCTGAAGCAGGAGACTTGCTTGAACCCAGGATTTGGAGGCTGCAGTGAGCTGAGATCGTGCCACTGCACTCCAGCCTAGGCCACAGAGGGAGACTCCGTCTAAAAAAAAAAAGATTATAAAGAAAGCACTTAGCAGAGCCTGGCACAAAGCACACACTCAATAAATGTTAGCTGTTGTTATTCAGTTTCTCTGACAAAATCGATCCTTCTTGCCACCCTCTTTTATTACTTGTCCTCCCCCACCTTTTTTTTTTTTTTTTTTGAGACAGAGTCTGGCTCTGTCACCAGGCTGGAGTGCAGTGGTGCAATCTTGGCTCACTGCAACCTCCACCTTCCAGGTTCAAGCGATTCTCCTGCCTCAGCCTCCTGAGTAGGTGAGACTACAGGCGCCCACCACCACACCCAGCTAACTTTTGTAGTTTTAGTAGAAATGGGGTTTCACCATGTTGGCCAGGATGGTCTTGATCTCTTGATCTCATGATCTGCATGCCTTGGCCTCCCAAAGTGTTGGGATTACAGGTGTGAGCCACTGCGCCTGGATCCCCTACCTTTTTTCACTCTTGGTTTAAAGACTTTCATTTTCATGTAACTTGTTTTGTAGTATTTTATTTTCTGTTGTTGTTTTTTGTGACAGGGTCTCACTCTGTCTCCCAAGCTGGAGTGCAGTGGTGCAATCATGCTCACTGCAGCCTCGACCTCCCAGGTTCAAGTGATCCTCCTGCTTCAGCTCCCTAAGTAGCTGGGACTACAGATGCGCACCACCATGCCCAGCTAATTTTTGTATTTTTTGTAGAGACAGGGTTTCACCAAGTTGGCCAGGCTGGTCTCGAACTCCTGGCCTCAAATGATCCACCTGCCTTGGCCTCTCAAAGTGCTGGGGTTACAGGCGTGAGCCACTGCACCTGGCTGTTTTATAGTATTAAGTTCCTCCTTGAGTCTTGTTTGGAAGCAGGTGAGGGCAAAGGTAAATGAGAGGTAAGTTCCAGTAGAATACTTGGGCAGAAAGAAGCATCCAGAGCAGCACTCTTTCACAGAAACATAATGCAAGCCATGTATGTAATTTCAAGTTTTTTAGTAGCCACATTAAAAAACTAAACAGTGGTCTGGGCACAGTGGCTCATGCCTGTAATCTCAGCACTTTGGGAGACTGAGGTGGGAGGACTGCTTGAGCTCAGGAGTTCAAGACCAGCCTGAGCAACATAGCAAAATCTTGTCTCTACTTAAAAAAAAAAAAAAAAAGTCAGTCAGGTGTAGTGACATGTGCTTATAGTCCCAGCTACTTGGGAGGCTGAGGTGGGAGGATCACTGGAGCTCAGGAGATTGAGGCTGCAGGGGGCTATGATTGTGCCACTGCACTCTGGCCTGGGCAACAGAGCAAGACCCCGTCTCAAAAAAAAAAAAACCCTAAAAAGTTTGATGGTTTCTCAATAAGTTAAATGTGGAATTACCATATGACCCAGCAATTTCACTCTTAGGTATATACCCAAAAGAACTAAAAACAGGTATCCAATGGCCAAGTGTGATGGCTCACACCTGTAACCCCAGTACTTTGGGAAGCTGGGGTGGAAGGATCGCTTGAGAACATGAGTTTAACACCAGCCTGGGCAACATAGTGAGACCCTTGTCTCTACAGAAAAATTAAAAAAATAACCAGGGTGTGGTGGCATCATAACTGTAGTTCTAGCTACTCAAGAGGCTGAGGTGGGAGGATTAGTTGAGCCCAGGAATACAAGGCTGCAGTGAGCTAAGAAGGTGCCACTGCACTCCTGCCTAGGTGACAGACCCTATCTCTGAAAAAACAAAAAACAAAAAACAAAAAACCCAAACCAAAACCAAACAAACAAAACCCCTAGATGTTCAAGCAAAAACTTGTGAACAAATGTTCATAGAAATAGAAACAGGTGGACAATAGCCAACAGGTGGAAGCAACTCAAATATCTATCAACTGGTGAATGGAGAGACAAAATGTGGTATATCAATACAATGAAATATTAATTCAGCCATAAAAAGGAATGAAGTACCAATACATTCTATAACATGAATGGACCTTGAAAACATGCTAAGTGACAGAAGCCAGTCACAAAAGGCCATATAATTCCATTTATATGGAACATCTAGAATAGGCAAATTCGTAGAGACAGAAGTACATTAGTGGTTGCCAGGGGCTGGTTTTAGATCCTTGCACGGGCTGGTCAATGTGCAGATTCCCCAATCCCATTCCAGATATTTTGATTCAGTAGGTCAAAGATGGGTTGGGCCAAGGGAACTGCTTGTTTATGTGTTTATTCAGAGCAATATTTAAAAAAAGCCCTCAGGGAATTCTAATGTGTGGTCTGGTTTGGGGATCTCTGAATTAGAAGTTCATGAAAGTCCCATCAGCAGCTCTAAGAATCTGTAGCCCAATTCAGTAATTTTTTTTTTTTTTTTTGAGACAGAGACTTGTCGCCCAGGCTGGAGTGCAATGGTGTGCTCTTGGCTCATTGCAACCTCTGCTCCCTGGGTTCAAGCAATTCTCCAGCCTTGGCCTCACAAGTAGCTGGGATTACACCCACCATTAGCCACCACGCCCAGCTAATTTTTGTATTTTTAGTAGAGACAGGGTTTCACCATGTTGGCCAGGCTGGTCTCGAACGCCTGACCTTAAATGATCCACCAGCCTCGGCCTCCCAAAGTGCTGGGATTACAGGCGTGAGCCACTGTGCCTGGCCCAATTTAGTAATATTATTAATGATCATTCTTCCTTTACCTTTCTCTTGTTTTTCTTTTTCAGCTTTCCTGCAATTTCTGAGCTGTCTATATGCTTAGGATCACAAGTCTTTTTTGTTATTCTTTTTCTCCTCCTCACCTTCCTCCTTCTCCTTTTTATTTTTTAATTTGTTGTTGTTGTTTTTAAAATAGGATGCATAAACATTATTGCGATATTTAAACAGTACAGAAAAGTTCAAAGAAGTGTGAATGATGTAAAAGAATATTTATGTACACTGAAGAAGCAATGAAAAAAATTGCTATCTGAAAGATGATTGAAGAGGTTTTATTTTTTTCCTTTCAACTTGTATTTTACTTTAAAGGGATTCATATGCAGGTTTGTTACACGCACTAATTGTGTGTCTTGGGGATTTGGTGTACAGAAAATTTTGTCACCCAGGTAATCAGCATAATATCAGATAGGTAGTTTTTCAATCTTCACTCTCCTATTGCCCTCCACCCTAAGTAGGCCCCAGCGTTTATCATTCCCTGGTGATGACATTTGAAACCATCAAGATCGCTAATGCACCAAAAAAAAAAAAAAAAAAATTCAAAGAAGATCTCCCTACCCATAGGTGACCATTGTTAACATGCTTGTGAAGGTCCTTCCAGACTTGCTTTATGCATATATGCAAATGTCGATATAGGTAGAATCATCCTGTAATAGGCTTTTGTCATTCAACAATATAATAGATAGATATGATTTTTAATTGTTAAGGTATTCAATGTTTAAATATTTACTTATTTATTAATTTAACATGGCTCTGGAACTCTGTAGCTATTGCTTGCCCTGTTTTCCATGATCTTTGCCAAATGGCTTCAAACGCTTTTACATTCTTTCTTTTTTTTTTTCTGAGACAGGGTCTTACTCTGTCACCCAGGCTGGAGTGCAGTGGCTCAAACACGGCCCACTGCTGCCTCGACTTCCTGGGCTCAAGCAATCCTTCTACCTCAGCCTCCGAAGTAGCTGGGACCACAGGCATGCACCACCACACCTGGCTATTTTTTTCAGTTTTTGTAGAGATGGGGTCTCGCTATGTTTCCCAGGCTAAGGTTTTTACTTTCAATCTTAGTTTGGTTAAACCAGCAGGTGTATTCGATGACAAAGCCTCCATTCCTTCTGCAACACTTTTCGGCTTGCAGATAGATTGCTATTTCTTGATATATATATCAAGAAATATATATATGTATTCTTGGTTTTAATTTTTAGGTTCTTCCATTGTGCTGTACTTCATTGTATAGGTTACATCTTTCCATGTTCAATACTTTCCCAGTTTTAATATTTTTTTCCTTTAAACATAGGCTTCTCATTCCAGTACTCTCTCACCTGAGGCCAGATAATATAAACAACTCAATCTCTTCTCTCTCGTTTTCCTCTTCCTTCTTAGCACTGAAACTCAAAACCAGAGCAAACCTGCCCCACCTGATGGCCCAGAACATCAGGGTCCCAAATAATGAACTGTTTAAATCACTTGATGCAAAATGAAACACTTATACTGAAATTAAAACAGTTTCTTTCTAGTTTTCTTGACTGCAAATTCTGGTTAAGTTCATTCAAGCTGAACTTGTCAGTTACTTGCTGATGCTTGAAGTGTGTGCTTAGCCTAGCAGCTGGGTAAGCCTGCCCTGCCCTGGAATGGAGCCCTCCTCTAATTGGATGGTTGGGCGTAAGGGTTCTTGGTTACCATCAACAGAAAGATACTGGCTGACTTGGGCAAATGACAGTGAACTGGAAGGAAATTGGGGCTCGTATGATTTATGCAAAGCTAGGGCTCCATGGTAGGGAATTGACAGCACTCTGGAGGGTCAAGAGGGAGGAAGCAGGTCATCTAGGCAGGAAGAGTTGGGTCACAGTGACGCTGCTGTGACAGCGATGTTCTATTTCTCTTTCCCCCTTCTCTCAAGATTGAGACTTCCTGAAAGAGGGAGAATATATGTAATTACTCATTCAGGGTTTCGCAGCCTTGGTCCTATTAATATTTTGGGCTGGATAATTATTTGCTGTGAGGGGCCATCCTGGGTACTATATGATGTTTAGCAGCAGCTCCGGCTGCTTTTCACTAGATGCCAGAATCTCTCCCTGTCATTTGTCACAAACAAATATGTTTCCAGATGTTGCCAAAATGTCCCCTGGGGGGCAAAATCACCCCTGGTTGAGAACCTAGAGAAAAGAATTGCTTCTCTGGCTTGTTTGGGTTAGCAGGCACCTGAAATTAACCCTCACAACAAGACATAGAACAGGGGAAGAGAATTCCTTGAAAGGAAATAGGCTGCTATTAGGAAGGAGAAAGGGATACTTAACATCTCACTATGAGTCTTTAGAGCCGTATAGATTCCTGAAGGGTATTTCACATTTTATGGGTAGCAGTCGTAGATGCAGAAGAAACCTTGATTCGCAGTAGCCAGGGGAGTAGATCTCCTTTCCTGATAGCTCCTGATTTTTCACAGACTACAACTTGTGAAATGAGAAAACAAATCACCAGAGTTGTTAAAATGCAAATTCCAATGCAGTAGGTTTCAGGTGGGTCTGAGATTCTGTATAAATAACAAGCTTCCAGGTGGTGCTGATGCTGCTTTTTTTTTTTTTTTTAAAGTATTCTTCTTTTCATGCGCGTCCATGTGAAGAGACCACCAAACAGGCTTTGTGTGAGCAACGTGGCTGTTTATTTCACCTGGGTGCAGGCGGGCTGAGTCTGAAAAGAGAGTCAGCGAAGGGAGATCAGGGTGGGGCCATTTTATAGGATTTGGGTAGATAAAGGAAAATTACAGTCAAAGGGGAGTTGTTCTCTGGAGGGCAGAGTGGGGGTCACAAGGTGCTCAGTAGGGGAGCTTTTTGAGACAGGATGAGCCAGGAAAAGGAATTTCACAAGACAATGTCATCAATTAAGGCAGGAACAGGCCATTTTCACTTCTTTCGTGGTGGAATGTCATCAGTTAAGGCAGGAACCGGCCATCTGGATGTGTATGTGAAGGTCACAGGGGGTATGATGGCTTAGCTTGGGCTCAGAGGCCTGACATTCCTGTCTTCTTATATTAATAAGAAAAATAAAATGAAATAGTGGTAAAGTGTTGGGACGGCGAAAAGTTTTGGGGGTGGTATGGAGAGAGAATGGGCGATGTTTCTCAGGGCTGCTTCGAGCAGGATTAGGGGCGGCGTGGGAACCTAGAGTAGGAGAGATTAAGCTGAAGGAAGATTTTGTGGTAAGGGGTGATATTGTGGGGTTGTTAGAAGAAACATTTGTCATTTAGAATTATTAGTGATGGCCTGGATACAGTTTTGTATGAATTAAAAAATAAACGGAATTAGAGAAGGACAAAAACAGGTATTAAAGGACTAAGAATTGGGAGGACCTAGGACATCTAATTGGGGATAGTACCAGGAGATATCAGCTGTGATGGTTTGGAGAAACAGTGTAAACTGGCAGTGTAAACAAGAGCAGGGCATGTATGAGTAGTTGAGAGCAGTGAATAGGAGTATGACTAGACAGAAGATAGTAGGGATGACAAGTGTTTTGGGGCACAGTCTGAGTTGGTCTGGTATCTGGAATGAGACTGGGGCCTAATAAAAAGGAGCGTCTATACAGGAGCTTAAATGGGCTGTACCTTGTAGCATTCCGAGGACAGGCCTGAATTCTGAGAAGCGAAAGTGGTAAAAGTATTGTCCAGTCCTTTTTAAGTTAGTGGCTGAGCTTGGTGAGGTGTGTTTTTAATAGACCATTAGTCTGTCACTGACTACTAAGAGCCTGAAAAACTGCTTGGCTGATTTGACTAATAAAGGCTCGTCTGTTATCAGACTGCATAGAGGTGGGAAAGCTAAACTGAGGAATTATGTCTGACAGAAGGGAAGAAATGACTGCGGTGGCCTTCTCAGACCCTGTAGGAAAGGCCTGTACCTATCCAGTGAAAGTGTCTACCTAGACTAAGAGGTATTTTAGTTATCTGACTCGGGGAATGTTGAGTAAAGCCAATTTGCCAGTCCTGGGTGGGGGCAAATCCTTGAGCTTGATGTGTAGGGAAGGGAGGGGGCCTGAATAATCCCTGAGGAGTAGTAGAATAGCAGATGGAACACTGAGAAGTTATTTCCTTGAGGATAGATTTCCACGATGGAAAGGAAATGAGAGGTACTAAGAGGTGGGCTAGTGGCTTGTACTATAGCATAGCCTGTCTTTGCTGGTGTGTGGCGATTAGGCCTGGTGGAACCGCCAGTCAATAAATCAAGCATGATTGGGTGAGGAACAGGAAAGAAGGAAATATGGGGAAATGGGGTGAATGTCAGGTGGATCAGAGAGATACAGTCATGGGGGTCATGTGTGGTATCAGGAATAATGTGGGAGGCCGGATTGGAGTCCGGGCCAGGAACAATGGTAATTGTGGGAGACTTAACAAAGAGTGAGTACAGCTGAAGGAGCCGGGGAGCAGAAAGTATATGTGTCAGGTGTGAGAAAGAAAATAATTCTGGAAGTTATGAGAGGTGTAGAGAGTGAGCTGAGCATAGTTTGTGATTTTTAGGGCCTCTAAAAGTATTAAAGCAGCGGCAGCCGCTGCACGCAGACATGAGGGCCAGGCTAAAACAGTAAGGTCAAGTTGTTTGCACAGAAAGGCTACAGGGTGCGGTCCTGGCTCTTGTGTAAGAATTCTGACTGCACTAACCATGCCTAGGAAGGAAAGGAGTTGTTTTGTAAGGGATTGAGGTTTGGGAGATTAATCGGACATGATCAGCAGGGAAAGCACATGTGTTTTTATGAGAATTATGCCGAGATAGGTAACAGATGAGGATGAGATTTGGGCTTGACTGAAGTAATGGGGGCTGTCTGTGAAGCCTTGCAGCAGTATAGCCCAGGTAATTTGCTGAGCCTAATGGGTGTCAGGGTCAGTCTAAGTGAAAGCAAAGAGAGGCTGGGACGAGGGGTGCAGGGGAATAGTGAACTAATCTGTAAGACTTGTCCGGTTTTTGGACAGGTAAAATGGGGAATTGTAAGGAGAGTTTATAGGTTTTAGAAGCCCATGCTGTAGCAGGCGAGTGATAACAGGCTTTAATCCTTTTAAAGTGTGCTGTGGGATGGGATATTGGCATTGAGCAGGGTAAGGGTGATTAGGTTTTAATGGGATGGTAATGGGCATGTGATTGGTTGCCAGGTAAGGAGTAGAGATGTCCCATACTTGTGGATTAAGGTGGGATACAAGAGGAAGACGCGAAGGAGGCTTTGGGTTGGGGAGAAGGGTGGCAATGAGATGTGGCTGTAGTCCAGGAATAGTCAGGGAAGCAGATAATTTGGTTAAAATATCTCAGCCTAATAAGGGAACTGGGCAGGTGGGGATGACTAAAAAAGAGTGAATAAAAGAGTGTTGTCCAAGTTGGGACCAGAGTGGGGGAGTTTTAAGGGGTTTTGAAGCTTGGCCGTCAATACCCACAACAGTTATCGGGGTGAGGGAAACAGGCCCTTGAAAAGAAGGTAACGTGGAGTGGGTAGCCCCCGTATCGATTAAACAGGGGATGGACTTACCCTCCACTGTGAGAGTTACCTGAAGCTTGGCGTCCATGATGGTCCGGGGGGCTTCCGAGGTGATCGGGCAGCGTCAATCTTCAGTCGCTAAGCCGAGCAGATCTGAGAAGGAGTCGGTCAGAGAGCCTTGGGCTAGAGCTTTAGGGGCTCTAGGAGTGGCTGCCGGGCGAGCTGGGCAGTCTGCCTTCTAGTGGGTCCCTGCACAGATAGGACATAGCTTGGGAGGAATCCTGGGCTGCGGGCATTCCTTGGCCCAGTGGCCAGATTTCTGGCACTTGAAGCAAGATCCTGATGGAGGAAGTCTTGTAGGAATGCTTGTCTGCTGCGGCTTAGGCATTTTGAAGTTCTTGTGTGCTGGAGGTGTGGCTGGGTTTTGTCTCACAGCAGAGGCAAGTAATTGTAACTCAGAAATGCGTTGCCGTCTGGCTGCTTCCTCTCTATTACTGTACACCTTGAAGGCGAGGTTGATTAATTCCTGTTGTGGGGTTTGAGGGCCCGATTCTAATTTTCGAAGTTTTTTCCTAATGTCAGGAGTGGATTGGGTGATAAAATGCATATTAAGAATAAGGCGGCCTTCTGGCCCCTCTGGGTCTAGGGCGGTAAAGTGTGTAAGGGTTGCTGCTAAGCGGGCCACGACCTGGGCTGGGTTTTCATCTTTACCTCGGGTAGTTTCTTTAAGCTTGTCATAATTAACAGCTTTGTAAGCTGCCTTTTTAAGCCCTTCAACTAGGCAGGAAACCATGTAATCTCGCCTAGCTGTACCTGGGGAATCTGCCTTATAGTTCCATTGGGGGTCCTCTCGGGGAACTGCTCTACTGCCTTCCTGGAGGTCAGGTTCACGAAGCCGGCGGTTATCAGTGTGAAATTGGGCTAGAGAAAAAACTCTTTCCTGTTCATCTGGGGAGAGGGTAGAAGTCAGGATGACATTTAAGTCACTTCAGGTTAAATTGTAGGACAGAGTTAGATATTGGAATTCCTGTATATGTTTAGTGGGGTCTGATGAGAAAGAGCCTAAATGCTGACTGATCTGAGAGAGGTCTGATAGAGAAAAAGGTACATGTACCCTGACTATGCCTTCAGCTCCAGCCACCTCTCTAAGAGGAAATTGCTGGGCAGGTGGGGAAGAATTAGTTGCAGAACTAAACTGTAAGCTGGACCGGGTGTGAGGAGGGGAGGTGGTAGAAGGATTATAGTGTGGAGGAGCGGAGGCTGAGGAAGAATTGGGACTTAGCTTGGCCTGGCGACGAGCAGCCTGGGGAGGAGGAGAAAGGTCAGATGGGTCTGTAGAAAAAAGGAAGACTGGAAAGACTCAGCAACGCTTGGGGTTGGGACTGAGGGGACAGGCGGGAGGGAAAGAAGGAGGATTTGGGAGGAATCGTATTGGGAACAGAGACTAGGGAGGGAACGAAGTGTGAAAAATGCCCATTTTTCCACAAAAATTATTTAGGTCTTGTAGGATGGAGAAATCGAAAGTGCTGTTTTCTGGCCATTTAGAGCCATTGTCAAGTTTGTATTGGGGTCAAGTGGTGTTGCAGAAGAAAATAAGGTGCTTAGATTTTAGGTCAGGTGAAAGTTAAAGAGGTTTTAAGTTCTTAAGAACACAGGAAGGGAGAAGGAGGAGGAGGAATGGAGGGTGGAATGTTGCCCATAGTGAAGGAGGCAAGCCCAGAGAAAAGAGAGAGTAGAGACACGGAGGGAAGGGGTTCGGGGGTTCTTACCCTCCAGAAAAGTGGGAAAGGGGTTGGGGCACAGAGATACGAGGTCAGGGTGTGGAAATAAGGGATCGGGGCACAGAGATATAAGAGGTTGGGGTGTGGAAATAAGGGATCGGGTGCAGAGATATAAGAGGTTGGGGTACGGAAATAAGGGATCGGGGAGCAGAGATATAAGGGGTTGGGGCGTGGAAATAAGGGATTGGGGCACAGAGATATAAGGGGTTGGGGCGTGGAAATAAGGGATCGGGGTGCAGAGATATAAGGGGTTGGGGTACTTGCCCCTCCCCTAGAAAAGCAGGACTTGCCGCTAAGGGTGAAGGAGAAGGGGTTGGGGGTTTCTTGCCCCCCAGAAAGGCAAAGAAGAGGTAGAGACACAGAGAGAATGGGTTGGGGTACTTACCCTTCCCCAGAAAAGCGGGACTTGCCACTAAGGGTGAAGGACCAAGGCAGGTGTCCCTGCGTGGTCTGACACCTCTGAAACCTGGGTGAATAATCAGAGAGGCATCCCTGCAATGATTAAACACCAAGCGAAGGCTGCCTTCCCTAGTCTGCGACCGGCGCCGGAGTTTTGGGTCCACAGATAAAACGTGTCTCCTTTGTCTCTACCAGAAAATGAAAGGAATTGAAATTAAGAGAAGGGAGAGATTGAAGTGTGGCACCAAGATTGAAAGGAGAAAGAGGTTGAGGGATAGTGAGGGAGGTTGGAGGAGAGAGTAAAAAGAGGCTGCTTACCCAATTTAAAATTGGTGAGATGTTTCTTGGGCTGGTCGGTCTGAGGACCTGAGGTCATAGGTGGATCTTTCTCACGGAGCAAAGAGCAGGAGGACAGGGGATTGATCTCCCAAGGGAGGTCCCCCAATCCGAGTCACGGCACCAAATTTCATGCGCGTCCGTGTGAAGAGACCACCAAACAGGCTTTGTGTGAGCAACGTGGCTGTTTATTTCACCTGGGTGCAGGCGGGCTGAGTCTGAAAAGAGAGTCAGTGAAGGGAGATAAGGGTGGGGCCGTTTTATGGGATTTGGGTAGATAAAGGAAAATTACAGTCAAAGGGGAGTTGTTCTCTGGAGGGCAGAGTTGGGGGGTGGGTCACAAGGTGCTCAGTAGGGGAGCTTTTTGAGACAGGATGAGCCAGGAAAAGGAATTTCACAAGACAATGTCATCAGTTAAGGCAGGAACAGGCCATTTTCACTTCTTTTGTGGTGGAATGTCATCAGTTAAGGCAGGAACCGGCCATCTGGATGTGTATGTGCAGGTCACAGGGGATATGATGGCTTAGCTTGGGCTCAGAGGTCTGACACTTCTTATGTTACATTTTCCATTTTTTCATCCAATCAGTTTTAAAAGATCACAAAAGTAATGCTTGCTTGTTTTAAAAAAAATCAAAATATTTTTTCACCAACCTAATGCTTAAAAAAAAATGCAGGCTGGGTACGGTGGCTCATGTCTGTAATCCCAGCACTTTGGGAGGCTGAGGCGGGTGGATCACCTGAGGTCAGGAGTTTGAGACTAGCCTGGCCAACATGGTGAAACCCCGTCTCTACTAAAAATACAAAAATTGGCCGGGTGCGGTGGCTCAAGCCTGTAATCCCAGCACTTTGGGAGGCTGAGGTGGGTGGATCACGAGGTCAGGAGATTGAGACTATCCTGGCTAACAAGGTGAAACCCTGTCTCTACAAAAATTACAAAAAAAAAATTAGCCAGGTGTGGTGGTGGGTGCCTGTAGTCTTAGCTACTCAGGAGGCTGAGGCAGGAGAGTGGCGTGAAGCCGGGAGGCGGAGCTTGCAGTGAGCCGAGATTGCGCCACTGCACTCCAGCCTGGGTGACAGAGCCAGACTCTGTCTCAAAAACAAACAAACAAAAAAACCCCAAAAAACCCCCACAAAAATTAGCTGGGCTTGGTGGTGGGCGCCTGTAATTCCAGCTACTCTGGAGGCTGAGGCAGGAGAATTGCTTGAACCTGGGAGGCAGAGGTTGCGGTGAGCCGAGATCACGCTACTGCACTCCAGCCTGGGCAACAGAGTGAGACTCTGACTCAAAAAAAACAAAAAACAAAGACATCTGTAGAGTAACTTGGTATCTCAACCATGCCTGGCTGTGGGCTGCCAGGCAGGGCCTGAGAGTTCTCACCTAGGCTGGGCCCTGGTGCTAATGGCTGCCTGTTTCACAAGGGACTGCTTCATCTAAGCCTTTCTTTTTCAGGAAGAGGACACCCACCCTGGTACCTGGTCCCTGGCGAGAGGTGAGTGGTGGAGTGGGGTGCCCTGAGGGTTTCCTTCTTTAATTATAGAAAGGAAGCATGTAGCAGGGCAATTGTGTCCCAGGGCTGGAACCGGGGGTCAGAGGGCCCCTGCAAGACCTTGAGGACTGCAGTGCCAGATCGTATCTCAGCTACATGGAAGCCTGGGCTCTGGTGCCCATGAGCTCCAAGGCCTCCTGTGTCCTGCAGTGCCTCCTGGACTGGGGGGCGCCAAGGAGCCCAGAAATGCTTCTGCAATGGCCAGGGGTCTGTCTGTAAGAATGTCATCTTAAGTTCTTCCTCTTTTGAAACCTCTTCTCTCACAGCCCACCTGGCAGAGGCCTAGGGTCTTTGTTCATCTTCCATTTTTTTTTCTTGTAAACTTTCTGCTTACCTGTCTCTGGCTCCTATCCTTTTAATTTCTGGCACCCAGCCTGATCTCCCTAAGTAGTCTGGGCCTCACTTTTGTGTTTCAGACCACTAGGATGGTTCTGGCTATACCCAAAAGTGTTAAAATGATTTGTGGCACTGTCAAGACCACTGGGACAAATCCCCTTTGCCCAAGAATGTCTCTTTATTTGAGATATATGTATATATGTGTGTGTATATATATATCTGTATGTATATACACATATATATGCATGTATATATGCATATATATACAGATATATATATACATGTATATATGCATATATATACAGATATATATACATACATATGCATATATATACAGATATATATACATACATATGCATATATATACACATATATATATGCATACTTATATGTATATATATGCGTATATATACGCATATATATATATATGTTTTTGACACAGAGTCTTGCTCTGTTGCCCAGACTGGAGTGCAGTGGCCCAGTCTCGTCTCACTGCAAACTCTGCCCTCTGCCTCCTGGGTTCAAATGATTCTCCTGCCTCAGCCTCCCAAGTAGCAGGGATTACAGACATGCACCACCACATCTGGCTAATTTTTGTATTTTTAGTACAGACAGGGTTTCGCCATGTTGGCCAGGCTGGTCTCAAACTCCTGGCCTCAAGTGATCCACCTGCCTTGGCCTTGTGCTGGGACTACAGGCGAGAACTACTGTGCCAGCCAGATTTTTTTTTTTTTTTTTTTTTGGTATTGAGTTGTTTGAGTTTCTTATATATTTTTAATTCCTGTTGTTGCCTTTTTTTTGTAGAGACAGAGTCTTGCTATGATGCCCGGACTGGTCTCAAATTCTTGGCCTCAAGTGATCTTGCTGCCTCTGTCTCCCAAAGTGCTGGGATTATAGGTGTGAGCCACTGTGCATAGCCTAGTCCCTTGTTGATGAGGTAGTTTGGAAATATTTTCTTCCATCCTGTAGCTTGTCTTTTCTTTTTTGAGACAGGGTCTCACGCTGTCGCCCATGCTGGAATGCAGTGCTGCAATCATGGCTCACTGAAACCTCCACTTCCTGGGTTCAAGTGATTCTTGTGCCTCAGCCTCCCGAGTAGCTGGGATTACAGGTGTGCACCACCACATCTGGCTGATTTTTATATTTTTAGTGGAGACAGGGTTTCACCATGTTGCCCAGATTGGTCTCAAACTCTCCACCTCAGGTTCAGGTGATCTGCCTGCCTTGGCCTCCAAAGTGTGGGGATTATAGGGGATTAAAGGCAACTGGCCTTTGCCATGCAGAAATTTTTTTTTTTTTTTTTTTGAGATGAAGTCTTGCTTTTTTCCCCCAGTCTGGAGTGCAATGTCATGATCTCGGCTCACTGCAACCTCCACCTCCCAGGTTCAAGCGACTGTCCTGCCTCAGCCTCCCAAGTAGCTGGGATTATAGTTGTGTACCACCACACCCAGCTAATTTTTTGTATTTTAAGTAGAGATGGGGTTTCACCATGTTGGCCAGGCTGGTCTTGAACTCCTGACCTCAGGTGATCCACCTGCCTCAGCCTCCCAAAGTGCTGAGATTACAGGCGTGACCCACCGCGCCTGGCTGTAGAAACTTTTTAATGATGTAATCCCATTTGTTTGTTTTTTCTTCTGTTGCTTTTGCTTTTGAGGTCTTACCCAGAAAATCTTTCCCAAGACCAATGTCCTGACTAATGTTTTCTTCTAGTTTTGTAGTTTCAGGCATTAGATTTCAGTATTTAATCAATTTTTATTTGATTTTTGCATATGGTAAAAGATTGCAATCTAGTTTCATTCTTCTGCATATAGATATCCCGCTTTCTCGGCACCAATTATTAACAAGACTGTCCTTTCCCCAATATATGTTCTTGGCACCTTTGTCAAAAATGAGTTGTCTCAAAAAAATTAGCCGGGCATAGCGGCGTGCGCCTGTAGTCCCAGCTGCTGAGGAGGCTGAGGCAGGAAAATGGCGTGAACCCGGGAGGCAGAGCTTGCAGTGAGCTGAGTTCACGCCACTGCACTCCAGCCAGGGTGACCGAGCAAGACTCCGTCTCACAAAAAAAAAAAAAAAAAAAAAAAAAGAGTTGTCTATATGTGCATGCATTGATTTCTGGGTTTTCTATTCTGTTCCATTGGTCTATGTGTCTGTTTTTGTGCCAATACCATGCTGTTTTGGTTACTATAGCTTTGTTTTGGTTACTATAGCTTTGTTGTATAATTTGAATTCAGGTAGTGTGATACCTCCAGCTTTGTTGTTTTTGCCCAGGATTGCTTTAGCTATTCGGGGTCTTTTGTCGTTCCATACAAATTTTAGAATTTTTTTTTCCTGTTTATGTGAAGAATGCCATTGATATTTTAATAGAGATTGTATTGAATCTGAAGGTCACTTTGGATATTATGGGCATTTTAACAATATTAATTCTTCTGACCTATGAGCATGGGATATCTTTCCATTTTTTGGTGTACTCTTCAGTTTCTTTCATTAGTATTTTATAGTTTTCCTTGTGGAGATCTTCTAATTAATTTTGTCCTAGGTTTTTTTTTTTTGTAGCTATTGTAAAGGAGATTGCTTTATTGGTTTCTTTTTCAGATTGATTATTGTTAGCATATAGAAACACTACTGATTTTTGTATGTAGATTTTGTATCCTGCAATTAAACTAAATTTGTTGATTAGTTCTAAGAATTTTTTGGTGGGGTAGGTTTTTCTAAAAATAAGATCATGTCATGTGTTTCCAAGGCTAATTTGACTTCTTCCTTTCCAATTTGGATGCCCTTTATTTCTTTCTCTTGCCTAATTGCTCTGGCTAGGATTTCTAGTACTATGTTGAATAACAGTGGTGAAAGTGGCATCATTATCTTGTTTCAGACCTTAGTGGAAAGGGCTTTCCGTTTTTCCCCATTCCGTATGGTATTAGCTATGTGCTTGTCACTTATGGCCTTTATTGCATTGAGGTATGTTCTTTCTATATCCAATTTCTTGAGAATTTTATCATGAAGGGATGTTGAATTTTATCAAATGCTCTTTCACAATCTACTGAAATGATCATATGGCTCTTTTGATTCTGTCGATGGGGTGTATTACGCTTATTGATTTGTATATGTTGAACTATCCTTGCATCTGGGGATGAATCCCATTTGATCATGGTGAATGATCTTTTTTTTGAGACAGAGTCTCGCCCTGTTGCCCAGGCTGGAGTGTAGTGGCACGATCTTGGCTCATTGCAGCCTCCACCTCCTGGGTTCAAGCGATCCTTATGCCTTGGCCTCCTGAGTAGCTAGGATTACAGGCATGCGCCACCTCCCTGGCTAATTTTTGTATTTTTAGTACAGACAGGGTTTCGCCATGTTGGCCAGGCTGGTCTTGAACTCCTCGCCTCAAGTCATCCACCTGCCTTGGTCTCTTAGTCTCCCAAAGTGCTGGGATTACAGGCGTGAGCCACCATGCCTGGCCACAGGGTACTTCTTGCCTTGTAGAATGAGTTTGGAAGTATTCCCTCTTCAATTTTTTAGAATAATTTGAGTAGAATTTGTATTAATTCTTCTTCAAATATTTGGTAGAATTCAGCAGTAAAACCATCAGGTCCTATGCTTTTCTTTAAAGAGATACGTTTAATTTCTGCTTTCATCTCATTACTCATAGTTGGCCTGTTTAAGTTTTCTGTTTCTTTATGATTCAATTTTGGTAAGTTGTATGTGTCAAATAATTTATCTTTTTAGTTTTCCAATTTGTTGGTGTGTAGTTTTCCATAATAGCCTCTAATGATCCAGGCCGGATGCGGTGGCTCACGCCTGTAATCCTAGCACTTTGGAAGCCTGAGGCGAGTGGATCACCTGAGGTCGGGAGTTCAAGACCAGCCTGACCAACATGGAGAAACCCTGTCTCTACTAAAAATATAAAATTAGCTGGGTGTGGTGGCACATGCCTGTAATCCCAGCTACTCAGGAGGCTAAGGCAGGAGAATCGCTTGAACCCGGGAGGTGGAGGTTGCAGTGAGCTGAGATCGTGCCATTGCACTCCAGCCTGGGCAACAAGAGCAAAACTCCATCTCAGGGGAAAAAAAAAGTCTCTAGTGATTCTTTGTATTTCTGCGGTATCAGTTGTAATGTGTCCTTTTTCATCCCTGATTTTATTTATTTGGTCTTCATTTTTTTCTTGGTTAGTCTAGCTAAAGGTTTGCCAGTTTTGTTATCTTTCCAAAAAAACAACTTTTTGTTTTGTTTATCTTTTGTATTACAATTTTTTTTCTTCTCCCCACCACCTTTTTTTTTTTTTTTTTGAGACAAGATCTGGCTCTATCGCCCAGGCTGGAGTGCAGTGGTGCCATCTCGGCTCATGCAACCTCTGTCTCCTGGCTGAGGCCGGCATCCTACCTTAGCCTCCCAAGCAGCTGGGACTACAGGCATGTACCACCATGCCTTGCCAATTTTGTATTTTAAGTAGAGATGGAGTTTTGCCGTGTTGTCCAGGCTGGTCTTGAACTTGTGAACTCAAGCAATCCGCCTGTTTTGGCCTCCCAAAGTGCTGGGATTACAGGCATGAGCCACTGGACCTGGCCTTTTGTATTATTATTATTATTATTATTTTTTGAGGTGGAGTTTCGCTCTTGTTGCCCAGGCTGGAGTGCAATGGCATGATCTTGGCTCACTGCAACTTCTCCCTCTTGGGTTCAAGTGATTCTCCTGCCTCAGCCTCCCAAGTAGCTGGGACTACAGGCATGCGCCACCACACCTGGCTAATTTTGTATTTTTAGTAGAGATGGGGTTTCACCACGTTGGCCAGGCTGGTCTCGAATTCCTGACTTCAGGTGATCCACCCACCTTGGCCTCCCAAAGTGCTGGGATTACAGGTGTGAGCCATCGGGCCTGGCCATCTTTTGTATTTTTTTAATAGACAAGTTTTGCTGTGTTGCCCAGGCTGGTCTCAAACTCCTGGCCTCAAGTGATCCTCCTGCCTTGACCCCCTAAAGTTCTGGGATTATAGGCGTGAGTCACTACGCCTACTCTTTGGGGCTTTTTAAATGAGAAATCAGAATCTTCTTAAACCACTTTTAATTTCCATCTCATATGTAATGGGATCTTTTCCTTTCAGTTTCTCCAGTGGTAAGATATGACTCAGGGGAAGAGGCTAGAGTCAGAACCAAAATCTTTTCATTCTGTCTTTGGTTTGTACTCTGAGGTTTTGGTTTATATTTTTATCTTTGTTACTCTTCTATCTGTGACTTTCTCCTCAAAATATCTCACTTGAATTTAATGTGAAATCCACTTGGGTTTCTTGTGGATTTGTGTCCTGTATTAGTCCTTGGGTATGTGGTTTTCTATGAAGGTCTGCAATGCACATATATCTTTGGGCCTTTTTACTAATCTTTGTGGGTAATTATAAAATATTCCTTCAGCACTACAGACAGTACACACATACCTTTTTCTTAGATGCAAATATAGGATTGATTGAGAAAGAAACTTGGGCAATTACTCAAGTGCCCAGAAGAAATCTGAAAACTTGAGGCTAGAATGAACTTTGGGTCATCATTGTCGGTAATTCTTTGTCTCCAGAGAATATTTTACTTATATTAATTCTTTGGACTAGACTATAGTTTTGAAAGACTTAAAAAATTGCACTTGAATCTTGTTTATGTAACACTGTTTTTTACAGTAATCAGAGGAAGGAAAATCTTCAGAATCCATGAATAGGCACCATGACATTCAGGCCCAAGACACAGCATGGTCTGAGATTCTAGACTTTGCCTCAATACCTAGAAGCTACCAGAACATTCTTGTTTCCTTTGTCCCTTTTTTGCACAGGAGTAATTCCTGGAAGCAGAACTAGGTGACATCTTTAACACATACTTTTTGCTAATTCCCATGATTTCTCCTAGGATATGCCCATAATTCAGGATTAGGGGTTGCCAGTGTTGAGATCGAGCTAGAATACCCACAAGTGGCTTCACTCTGAGCTTCAGTTTATTCTACTGTTTATGGCCCTTAGAACACTGGCATAAGCTATTTATATCAATAGATTCATTTGTGAGGCTTAGTCCTTGACAAGAATATGAATAAGACAGAGAAGAAGGGAGTGGCCCTTCATGCTCTGAGAGTAGAGGTTCACTTTGGTTCAAGACTCATAGCTCTCAGCTGTAAAGTCACAATTTCCATATGGCTTGTAGCTAGGGCACTGAAGATATTTCCCTAGAATATGATCACTTTTGTGGGTTGAATGCCCTTTGATTTGGAGCAGGTGAAAGAATTTAATAATGATTATCTTGGTGCCACCTACATGCAAATCCCACTGAAGTCAGTGACAAAATACAGAAAGAAACTCAGTTTTGGCATGTCATGCCGAGGAGATATCAATAATGATTGCCTTTACATACACTGATGCATTACATGGATAGGTTGGTCCCTGCAGAGAGGTCATTTGCAGTATATGTTGGAAGAATCTAGAATGGGAGAGATGAATAAATTCAGACCAGAGCTGACATACAGAAAATTTTCAGTTAAAGTTTTATATATCTAATTAGTATGAAAGGTAAACCTGGGCAAGGAAATTAGAAAGAATTCAGAATTCAAAAATCTTTTAGAAATAATCCAATTTATTTTCTCAGAATAACTTTGGCATGATTTTTCATAGAGCATACTCCTTTTTCCTTGTTTCCTCCTTCTGTCATATTAAGGCCCTATTGACTTTGGTCCCTGTTAATGAATAAATAAATTTAGAGATTATTATGGCCATTGGTATCAATAAGGACCCAAACAATGGGTCCTTAACATCTCAGCAGAACTTCACAGCTCTCTTTAATACTAATATTCCTCCTGACCCATGCATCTATCCATAAAATATTAATGGGCAAACATAGTACTAGACTTTGAGAATATACAGATGAATAAAGTGATATCTCTGCTCTTGCGTGTAAGACCATTGTTTAGCTATTCTTTATAGTGGATACTAAACCATGATCCTTGTCTTCTCCTACTCTTCTGACATTCTCATAGCTTTCCATTTAACTGTGAAACAATAAGATGTTGAACACAATCTCAAAAAGCTGATGCCATCCTGGTAGTACTGAGATGCTGGTGGGGAGCTAGGAGCTCTGGATCCATGTCCTTCTTCTGAGTGAATTTGGGCAAATCAGTAGCCTCTCTGAGCTTTATTTTTATTTTTATTTTTATTTTTTTGAGACAGAGTCTCGTTCTTGTTGCCCAGGATGGAGTGCAGTGGCATGATCTTGGCTCACTGCAACCTCTGCCTCCTGGGTTCAAGCGATTCTCCTGCCTCAGCCTCCTGAGTAGCTGGAATTACAGGTGTGTGCCACCGTGCCCAGCTAACTTTTTGTATTTTTAGTAGGGAAGGGGTTTCACCATGTTAGCCAGGATGGTCTTGATCTACTGACCTCATGATCCGCCCGCCTCAGCCTCCCAAAGTGCTGGGATTACAGGCATAAGCCACCGCGCCTGGCTATCTATATCTATCTGTCTGTCTGTCTGTCTGTCTGTCTGTCTGTCTGTCTATCTATCTATCTATCTATCTATCTATCTATCTATCTATCTAAATGGAAGTCTTGCTGTATTGCCCAGGCTGGTCTTGAATGCTGGGCTCAAGTAATCTTCTTGCCTCAGCTTCCCAAGTAGCTGGGACTACAGGTGCACACCACTGTGCTTGGCTGAACTTCAATTTTCACAATTTCAAGAATGTTATTAAACTAAGTTACCTGAAAAACTTATGCCTATGACTGATTATAGTGACATTTAAGTGACCTGAGAAATTAATACCTATGACAGGCTATCCCTAACTTAGGTATAATTTCTTGCCTCCCTGCTCATTGCCCTTGCCTTTCATTTCCTTTTTCCTTAAAAAGCTTTGATCCCTAGTGTTTGGTGTCATTGAGGGTTGGGTAAGATATCCAGAGACTTACTTTTCAGTAATACACATTTTTTCACAGAAATATTTCTGTTTAAAGTTGTTTCTGTTGCCTCCACAGCCACTGAAGACAAAGGGCTCACATAAAAATGTCAAAGTGTTGTAGTAGAATCTGGTCAAATATGAATTACAGGTGCCCTTCTTCAGAGGATAGTTGCAGTATTCTGTGAATGAGAATTCCAGAGTCAGGTTTTCTTTACTACTCTTTTGGCATTCTTGTTCTCACAGGCTCAGACTACTAAAACTTCCAACCCACATAAATCTAACTAATTTTACCCCTGGGGAACAAGACAGAGTTCCCTAAGCATATGGGGAAATTGTTCCAGACTACAGACTGGGTCCATGACACAGAAATAGAGAAGCACAATGAGGTTCTTATACTATTTTAGAGCTGAGAACAAGAAAGACCTGAGGTTTCCTTCATCTTTCGCAGTAAAGATATCCCATTTCTTGACTCCACATGCTTCCCATGTCACTGGAAGTGAACAACTCATCAGCTTCCTCAAGGACATAGTTCAGAGCCCTTACTTTCACTCTCTCCTCTCTGCCCGCCAGAGTCTGTGCAAATACACAAGCTAAAAAGACCTCTCACCCACTACACCTACTCTGAAGGACAGGTTTAAAATGTCCACTCTGGCAGATCTTCCTTTCCTCCATCAGTCTATTTCCTCTCCTATCCAGCCCCACTTTTGCCTACCCATCCAGACTCACCTGGTTTTACTGAGACCATGGAGATTAAGTGGTTAGAGCAGAAGCCATGATGACTGAGTTGGAGACAGAGAAAGAGTTAATGTTAGTCTTCTTGAAGCCCAACTACAATTCTTTTTTAAATTTTTTTTTTAATTGAGATGGAGCCTCGCTCTGTTGCCCAGGAGGGAGTGTAGTGGCGCTATCACGGCTCTCACTGCAACCTCTGCTGCCTGGGTTCAAGTGATTCTTGTGCCTCAGCCTCCCAAGTAGCTGGGACTACAGGCATGCGCCACCACACCCGGCTAATTTTTGTATTTTTAGTACAGATGGGGTTTCGCCACATTGGACAGGCTGTTCTCAAACTCCTGACCTCAGGTGATCCGCCTGCCTTGGCCTCCCAAAGTGCTGGGATTACAAGGGTGAGCTACTGCGCCTGGCCGCCCAACTGCAATTCTTATCCATGATTGGGAACTTGCCCCTTTTGCCTTGAGTGTTTCACAGATGCTCATGTTAATTTGAATGAAGAACAAATTAATTTAAATAAGTAGGATAGGAGTGCTCTATACATATATGGGGGAATGATGGCCTCTGCATATCTGTATCAGTGGAATATAACATAGTGGTTCTACACATATGTGTTGAATAGACTCAAAACTCATCTAATGTACAGACACACACCCCAACAAAGGAATTTCTTGGACACCTCTGAAATCAATCCCATTTTCATAACCCCCACTCTTATACTGAAATCTCATGGTTAAAACTTAAGTTGATTCTGCTTTCTGTCTTCCTCCTTCTCCACTCCATAGAGGAAACTCAATGTAATTCTCTGAATCAGATGTCCTAGAGCCATACGGTTTGAGATAAAAAGGAGACTTGATTCTAATTACTGGCAGCAACATCACCCAGGCTGCCCAGACCTCCCTCTCCTTCACAGTGTCACATTGGTCTGCCCTTTCTGTTTTTCTTTACCTCCAAGATGTCCACTTTCACGTAACTGTTTTCTGAGTTGTGGAGGAAATATGTTCCCTGAAGGTGTGTGGAGAAGCATGGACAAGATGAGGAGCCATAGAGAAAAGTGAGCCCATTCAGGCTTCATGATGTTGCAGACAGCAGATAGAAGAATCCCGGACTTGACTGAAATATCTGAAGGGTTAGCTGTCCTTCTCATGTGAGGAGTTGAATTCATATCTCTGATTTTTATCTTTCCAGGGCTTAAGCCTGGGCAGAGTTCTGGTGCATCCAGAATCAGCCTTGTGAGCAGAACAGTTAAGTTCTTGGGTACCCAGCCATGTAGCTTGAAAGACCATGCTTTACCAGAACCCTACTGATTAACCTCAGCCTTCCCCCCTTCTTTCCTCCACATCTAGGGATCATGACCACTATTGCTCGGGACATCAACATCTCTATAATGAACAGTTGTAAATAAATTCTTACCAATGCTTTAATATATACATGTGAATACTTGAAAGCAAATTAACTAAGGCTTGAACCTAAGAAACTGGAACAAAACAGCAAAGTAAGTAAAGAGAAAGTAGAGGATAATTGAAGAAAGTAGTTGAAATTAGTGAATTAGAAAAAAAGAAACACTAAAATTGCCAAATAAAACTAAAAGTTTGTATTTTAAAAATACCATTAAAATAGACAAAACTGCCAATAATGGCTGGAAAAAACATAGAAGAAATAAACACGTTCGGTAATAGAAATGTGAAATGGATAGAACTCAAACACGGAGGAGAGGAAAAATTTACCAGGAAATAGTCTTGCTCCTGATCTTAAAGGAAAACTTTTTAATTTCTCCCATTAAGTATGATGTTATCTCGGGATTTTTCATAAATGTGCTTTTTTAGGTTGAGGAAGTTCTATTCTTAATTTGAGGAGTGTTTTTATCATAAAAGGTTGACAGATTTTTGTCAATTTTTTTTTCTGTGTCTATTGAGTTGATTATGTTGGTTATGCCCTTTGCTCTGTTAAAGTGGTATATTACATTGATTTTTGCATGCTTGAATAACCTGGCATTCTTGGGACAAATTCCATTGGATTTCATTATGGCATATAATCTTTTTTTATATGTGGCTGAATCTTTTTACTAATATTTTTTGAGAATTTTTGTGCCTATATTCATAGGGACTATTGGTCTGTAGTTTTCTTTTTTATGATATCTTTGTCTGTAGTACTGGCCTCATAGAATGAGTTGGAAAGTATTCCATCCTCTTCTATATTTTGGAAGAGTTTGTAAATGATTAGAGTTAATTCTGTAAAAGTTTGGTAGAGTTCTCCATTGAAATCATCTGAGCTTGGGATTTCCTTTGTGGAATATTTTTTGATTAGTGATTTGGTGTCTACTCTTTACAGATCTATTCAGATTTCCCATTTATTTTAAGTCAGTTTTGGTAGTTGTTATCTTTTTAAGAATTCGTTCATTTCATCTAAGTTATCTAATTTTTTAGCATACAGATATTCCCAGGATTCCTTTATAATCATTTTTATTTCTGTATGAGGTAGCGGACGTGTTTGCTTCCACCAAGAGCATGTGCCTTGTCCAGCTTAAGTATGGCTGTCGGTATCCCTGGGCAGCAACCCCTCCTGGCTCAGTGTGGAGACAGGAATCTGCTAGGGCTCTGTAGCCAACTTGCTAGGCCTCAGTCTGTCCAGCACTAGTTTAAGAGTGGGAGAATCTAGCTTCAAACTGCGCCTCTGCTTGTGATCTTGCACAAGCCTCTACCTGGCTTTGGGCTTTGGCACCCATCTTGGCTGATTGATTAAGATGCCCTACAAGTTTCCTTTTAGTTTTGACAATGTTTCCTGTATTCACCTAGGGCAGGGATTCTAAACTGGTTTTAGATATTAGGGGCCTCTTTGAGAATTGTTTGCCCTTTTCTTAGAAACATGCTTGACTGGGTGCAGTGGCTCACACCTGTAATCCCAGCACTTTGGGAGGGGGAGGCAGGCAGATCACTTGAGGCCAGGAGTTCAAGACCAACCTAGCCAACATGGTGAAACCCCGTCTCTACTAAAAATACAAAAATTAGCTGGGCATGGTGGTGTGTGCCTGTAATCCTGGCTACTTGGGAGCCTGAGGCAGTAGAATCGCTGGAACCTGGGAGACAGAGGCTGCAGTGAGCAGAGATCATGCCACTGCACTCCAGCCTAGGTGACAGAGTGAGACTCCATCTTAAAAAAAAAAAAAATTACAATACTGTGAATAGCCACAGCTTAGAAGTTACGAAAGCCCAGTCGAAGCAAGAGATGGGTAGTACTTCATCTAGCCAAAGAGTTCGAAGTGGTTCTGGAAATTTTGGTGGTGGTCCTGGAGGTGGCTTCAGTGGGAATGACAATTTTGGTCGTGGAGGAAACTTCAGTGGTTGTGGTGGCTTTGGTGGCAGCCATGGTGGTGGTGGATATGGTGGCAGTGGGAATGGCTATAATGCATTTGGTAATGATGGAAGTAATTTTGGAGGTAGTGGAAGCTACAATGATTTTGACAATTACAAAAATCAGTCTTCAAATTTTGGAATCATGAAGGGAGGCAACTTTGGAGGCAGAAGCTCTGACCCCTATGGTGGTGGAGGACAATACTTTGCCAAACCACAAAACCAAGGTGGCCATGGAGGTTCCAGTAGCAGTAGTAGCTATGGCAGTGGCAGAAGATTTTAATTACTGCCGGGAAACAAAGCTTAGCAGGAGAGGAGAGCCAGAGAAGTGACAGGGAAGCTACAGGTTACAACAGATTTGTGAATGCAGCCAAGCACAGTGGTGGCAGGGCCTAGCTGCTACAAAGAAGACATGCTTTAGACAAATATTCATGTGTATAGGCAAAAAACTCAAGGACTATATTTGTGACTAATTGAATAACATGTTATTTTAGTTTCAGTTCTGTGGAAAGTATAAAGCATTCCAACAAAGGGTTTTAAAGTAGATTTTTTTTTTGCACCCATGCTGTTGATTGCTAAATGTCATAGTCTGATAATGATGCTGAGTAAATCTGTCTTTTCTTTTTGTAAAATGTACTTCTAGTTATAATTTTTGTTTTAAAGTCTATGTATTAGGGTACTCCAGAGGAACAGAATCAATGAAACAAAACCAATGTTAGGGAATTGGCTTGTGTGATTGTAGGGATGGACAAATCTGAAATTTGCAGGGCATGCTGGCAGGCTGGAGGTTCAGGAATGTGTTGATGTTGCAGTTTTGAGTTCAAAGGCAGTCTGGAGTCAGAATACCTCCTTCCTCTGTGGGACCTCAGCCTATTTCCTCTTAAGGCTTTCAACTGATTGGATGAGGCCCACCTGCATCATGAAGGGTAATCTCTTTTACTCAGTCTACTAATTTAAATATCAATCATATACACACACATATATACATGTATATATATACACATATACATATGTATATGTGTATATATGTATATATATACACATATATATGTATGTATATATACACACATATATGTATGTATATGTACACACATATATGTATGTATATGTACACACATATATGTATGTATATGTATATATATATGTGTGTATATATATGTTTTTAGAGATGGAATCTCACTCTATTGCCAAGGCTGGAGTGCAATGGCGCTATCTCGGCTTACTACAACCTCTGCTGCCTGTGTTCAAGCAATTCTCCTGCCTCAGCCTCCCAAGTAGCTAGGATTACAGGCACCCACAACCACACCTGGCTAATTTTTTGTATTTTTAGTAGAGATGAGGTTTCACTACGTTGGCCAGGCTGGTTTCGAACTCCTGACCTCAGGTGATCCACCCGCTTTGTAATCCCATAGTGCTGGGATTACAGGCATGAGCCACCATGGCCAGCCAGCATCCTAATTTTTCTTTGTAGAACTGCCCTTTCATGTAATGGACTCTCAGTCACAGTGTCCATTATTTCTCATGAGTGTAGACAGAAACAACTCATGAATGGGAGGATTGGGAGCTGTGAGTATTTGGGTAAGAGTGAGGGAGGCCAGGCACGGTGGCTTACGCCTGTAATCCCAGTACTTTGGGAGGCCAAGGTGGGCGGATCACAAGGTCAGGAGATTGAGACCATCCTGGCTAACAAGGTGAAACCCCGTCTCTACTAAAAACACAAAAAATTAGCCAGGCGTGATGGCGGGCACCTGTAGTCCCAGCTACTCGGGAGGCTGAGGTAGGAGAATGACGTGAACCCGGGAGGTGGAGCTTGCAGTGAGCCGAGGTGGTGCCACTGCACTCCAGCCTGGGCGACAGAGTGAGACTCTGTCTCAAAAAAAAAAAAAAAAAAAAAAAAGAGTGAGGGAATCCAGGGTTTTAATGTTCAAGGATTTTGGTTCATATTGGGCAAATCTTAATTCAATTCTCTTATTAGTGTGAAGATTTGCCTTGCTAAGGAAATAAATTATTATTTTCCATTTGGGCATTATAAATGAGAAGGTATTTAAAAGGTCCAGCTAGTATAAATAAAGTATCAATTCTGTTATATATCCTGACACTATAGCTCCATAAGATTAATAACATAAATTCTATGTAGCACCAAATGTAGGGAACCTCAATATAGATATAGCCAGGACATTATCTTTGAAAAAATGTTAAACTTGCATTTTTACCTTTCCAATAACTCTGAATGATTTTGCATATTTGAATTCTATTGTGTTAGTTTTGATCCTGTCCTGCATGTTAGCATAATCAATATACAGATATTTAGTTTCTCTGTTGTATAATATATTGTTAAAGGGAGCCAAATAAGATACGATTCTTTTTTTCAAGGTTTTCATAAAGAAGTTGTATAAAAGAGTTGAAATCTGATTTTATAGTCAATGGGTAGAGGCTAACTGTCTGGTGTTGGCAAGACTACATTCCCCACAGTGTGGAGAAAGGTTAGGACCAGAGCTTTGAGTAAAAGGAATCTGAAGGTGCTGGTTCCATGTTTCCAACAAAGCTAATGTTTTTGCTCCTCCATATCACCAGCTTCATTGTTCCAATTAAGATAAGGCTGGGTGGTGGCAGGGTTGAGTGGCAAAGACCCTAGGCTACAATGGCGGGATAAATATGTTCCCAAGTGCCAGATGCCTTGTGTTCTGCCCGTGTGTGTTGAGAAGGAGGGCTTCCTAATGACAGTATTATTTAAATGTTGGGTTCCTGAAGTGCCTGTATGATCATGTGTGAGTGTGGGAGTGAATATTTTGAGCTGCATGTCCCCAGGGAGAGATGATATGTTCCATTCGAGAGTGTGGGCCTTAAGACATTGAGTGAAAATGTTATGAGATGGAAAACAGTGAGGATCATTAACTTCCTGTTTGTTTGGTAAAGGCCTGTGAAGGAAAGATGCTTGAGAAAATCTTGGAGTACCCATTGAACCCATAAGCAGTTCATTAAAAAAAAAAAAAAAAAGGACTCTACATTTTACCAGGTATACTATGGCCCTAAAGGTGCAAGTAAGTTTTATGAGCAAGTAGATTATATTCCCAGCCCATGAAATATCCCGTTTTTGTTGTGTTGTCACAGAATTTGAAATCCACACTTATGGCTTCTTTGAGAATTCCTGAAGACCAGATGTCTAATGTTGGAAAAATTGTTGCCTGGTTTGCGCAAGTTCTCCAGTGAAATGTGTTTTAGGACTAATTGTAAACAAGCTGCTTTAACTCATTTGCCCTGAAGGACAGCGGGGAATGAAAAATTTCCCAGTAGGCAGAACTTGAGGAAAATGCATTCTTGTCTATTTTACCTGCAAGCAAAGATAGCCTAATTCATGGATTTGGGAGTGGTTGGAATGACCTTGTATTGCAAGGGTAGCGGAATAAGTAAGACTAGAAAGTTGGTGAGAACAAGTTTTAGAGAAGGACAATGTGAATGGAAATTCTATTATGACATATTAATTTGTCAAGAATAATTTATTGACAGCTGGGTGCAATGGCTCACGCTTATAATACCAGCACTTTGGGAGGCTGAAGCAGGAGGATGTCTTAAGCCCAGGGGTAGGAGACCAACCTGGGCAACATAGTGAAACCCTGTCTACACACACACACACACACACACACACACACACACACACACACACAGAATAATTTGTTGGGCCGGGCGCGGTGACTCACGCCTGTAATCCCAGCACTTTGGGAGGCCGACATGGGTGGATCACGAGGTCGGGAGATCGAGACCATCCCGGCCAACAGGGTGAAACCCTGTCTTTACTAAAAATACAAAAATTAGCTGGATATGGTGGCATGTGCTGGTAATCCCAGCTACTTGGGAGGCTGAGGCAGGAGAATCACTTGAACCAGGGAGTCGGAGGTTGCAGTGAGCCGAGATCGCGCCACTGTACTCCAGCCTGGTGACAGAGCAAGACTCCATCTAAAAAAAAAAAATTTGTTGAATAAATGGATCTATAATGTGAGATTATTCATGTTTCATGTAACTGTTTATCAGGGGTCCTCAGTATAGAAGATATCCTTAATAATCAGATGGACCAGATATGTCACTCTGTAAATTCCATCTATCTTCTTGCTCAGGCAGTCCATTAACCAAGTAATGGGCTTGATATAGCCATAGTCTTAGACACAGAAACTGTGCATAAATTTAACCCAAGTGACTTTCAACTTTTAAGTGTCCTTGTTGGTATGATACTAATTTAGTCCCATGTTACAAAAGAACCAAATAGATCATTTGGGACATTTTTCCTCATTACTATGCTGTTATAATGAACTTAGACTCGGTTTTTTATTGTACTTAAATATACATCACATAAAGTTTACCTATTTATTTATTTATTTAGACAGCGTCTCATTCTGTTACCCAGGCTGGAGTGCAGTGGTGCCATCTCAGCTCACTGCAACCTTTGCCTCCCAGGCTCAAGTGATTCTCCTGCCTCAGTGTCCCAAGTAGCTGGGATTACAGGTGTGTGCCATGACACCCACCCAATTTTTAGTAGAGATGGGGTTTCACCATGTAGGCCAGATTGGTCTTGAACTCTGGACCTCAGGTGATCGCCATCCTCAGCCTCCCAAAGTGCTAGGATTACAGGCGTGAGCCACCACACCTGGCCAAATTTACCATTTTAACCATTTTAAAGTGTACATTTCAGTGACATTAAGTACATTCACATTGTTGTGGATTCCTTACCACTGTTCATCTTCAGAACTTGAAAAAAAAATTACCTGGTCCAAAATGTCATGTTTTTCAGGTTTTTTTTTTGAGACAGGGTCTTGCTCTGTCACCTAGGCTAGACTGCAGTGGTGCAGTCATGACTCACTGCAGTTTTGACCACCTGAGCTCAAGTGATCCTCTTGTCTCAGCCTCCCAAAGTGCTGAAATTATGTGTGTGAGCCACCATGCCCAGCCTATACTTTTTTTTTTTTTAAACACAGGATCTCACTCTGGTTGCCCAGGCTGGAATGTAGTGGTGTGATCCCAGCTTACTGCAGGTTTGATCTCCCCCGCTCAGGTGATTCTCCCACCTCAGCCTTCTGAGTAGCTGGGATTACAAGCATGTGCCACCATGCCTGGATAATTTTGTATTTTTAGTAGGGATGGATTTCACTATGTTGCTCAGGCTGGTCTCAAACTCCTGGACTCAAGCAATCTGCTCGCCTCAGCCTCCCAGAGTGCTGGGATTACAGGCATAAGCCACCGTGCCTGACCTAGAATTTTGTAATCATCCCATTAGATTTGCTTTTTTCATCCACCATATCTTGTTAATATCAGCTTTGATGGGCTTGTCCAATACCTTATGGTCATCTTAGCAAATAATACTATATTGTTCCTGCCTGTTTTAGGAACTTACTTCCCACTACAAGAAGTAAGAAAATATATTAGTGCTTATGTATCTACTTACCTAGTGTATTACCATCTCTAGAGGCATATTGTCTTATAAAGTTGAAGATGCAACTATGTTTCAAGGCTGGGGATTTCCCTTGCTGTATGCAGTATAAGCCCTGAGCTTATGTTCTTTGTAGCATCGTCAAAACACATAGGTTTGGGGACCAAGTTGGTGTAGGTAGTATTTAAGATTCTACTTTGTAATAGTTTTGCTTCCCATTCTTATGATTATGCACTCTACTGGTTTGATTGTTTTTGTGTCTAAATGGGGGAATACTTTCATCAAGCAATTAAAAAATGGACCTGTTCAATTCAGAGTTGACATTTATATCTGGCCACTTCAGTCTCTTCATAAGAATAAAAAAATTGACAAAAGATGGGTATTACAGTTTGCCTGCAATTTTTGAAACTGTGAAGATAAAATAGGGTTAATTTTCACCTTAGCTACCTTGAAAAATATATACATATAATTGTACCCCATCTCAGTTGTAAAATATAATGGGAGCCATTAAAGTCCAAAAGATGGGAAAATGTAAAGCCTGCCCAGGCAGTTCTCTCAAAAGCTAATATCACACAGAAATGAAGTTTTACATAAAGAACACAGCTTATTTGTGGTATTGGCTAAACACAAAAGTATGAAATGCATAATAGAGGAGGATTGTTAACGCAAGTCAGCTATTACGGGCTTATAATGAACAGCACAAATAAAGCTACCTGTATTTTCCTAATCATTGTGTTGTAGCATTAATATTTTTCAAGCATTTATTTTTTATTTCTTTTATTGTTTTATATAGGGTATGTTGGTTTATGATATAATTAACCACTTTTTTCACAGTATTTATTGGTAATATACAGATAGAGCTCATTTAGAGATTTTATACTTGTAGCCAGTTGAAGGAGTCGGAGCTGACTTTCGATTGTCTCCCTTTAAGGAGTAGGTAAGTACTTTTTGTGATGTTAGACCAAGGCATTAAACATATTTATGAACAGAAAGGAGAGAGTATATGCATGGAATAGTCAAGGGTTGGGAGGTAGTGAACAGCAGTTGTTTAGGTCTGCTCATCAGTATATTTCACATCTAATAATAGCATTCCAACTTTTCCTTGTAGAATTGTCCTTCCCATTCATAGTGCCCTAAGTTGCCTAAACATATAAACTTGAGAAAATTAAGGATGGGACAGTTGGGGGCTGTGATCATTATTGTAAATCTCGGGGAACTGAGGCATTTTCTACACTGGGATTTGTTTATATTGAGCCATTTTTTGGGCTTTTTAAAAAAAATTCATTTTCGACAAGTTATAGTTGTGTGTGTATCTATATATATATATGCAACTATAACTTGTATATGTTACATATATAGTTTTGTAAACCATATATATAACTATATATACAGTTTTGTAAACCATATATATAACTATATATACAGTTTTGTAAACCATATATATAACTATATATAGTTTTGTAAACCATATATATAACTATATATACAATTTTGTAAACTATATATAACTATATATACAGTTTTGTAAACTATATATAACTATATATACAGTTTTGTAAACTATATATATAACTATATATAGTTTTGTAAACTATAACTATATATATAACTATATATAGTTTTGTAAACTATAACTATATATAACTATATATAGTTTTGTAAACTATAACTATATATATAACTATATATAGTTTTGTAAACTATAACTATATATAACTATATATATAGTTTTGTAAACTATAACTATATATAGGTTTTTTTTTGACTTGGGGTCTTGCTCTGTCACCCAGGCTGGAGTGCAGTGGCATGATCTTGGCTCACACTAGCCTCGATCTCCTGGGCTCAAGCAATCCTCCCCCCTCAGCCTCCTGAGTAGCTGGAATTACAGGTGGGCACCACCACACCCGACTAATTTTGTGTTTTTTTTTTTTTTTTTTTTTTGTAGAGACAATGTCTCACTATGTTGCCCAGGCTGGTCTTGAACTCCTGGGCTCAAGCAATCCTCCTGCCTCAGTCTTCCAAAGTGCTGGGGTTATGGGCAGGAGCCACTGTGTCGAGCTTGTTGTATATATTTATGGGGTACAAAGTGATGTTATAATTTATGATTTGATTGGAATAATCAAATCAACCAAATTAACATATTCATAATCTCAAATACTTATTTTTTTGTGGTGAGAACATTTGAAATCTACTCTTAGTGATTTTGAAGTGCACAATATACTATTATTAACTATATTCACCACATTGTGTTAATAGATCTTGAAAAAATCTTATCCTTCTAGTCTGAGGCTTTGTACCCTTTACAATCATCTCCCCATTTCCCCCAACACTCCAGCCTCTGGTAACCACCATTCTAATTCTGCTTCTATGAGTTTGATTGTTTTAGATTCTACATGTAAGTGAGAACATATGGTATTTGTCTTTCTGTGTAGACTTATTTTAATTTAGGATAATGTTCTTCAGTTTCACCCATGTTGTCACAACTGACTGAATTTCTTTCTTTTTTTTTTTTTCTCTGGAGTGTCTGGTTTATTGAAAATGCTGATCATGGAGCAGGAACCAAATTGTTGGGAACTGTGGGGCTGAACAGGAGAGGGATATCCAGGTATCAGAAGGTAAAAGGAGGTCAGCTGAGCAGCCAGGGCAGCATTAGGACCAGGTTGAGCAGGATGAATTTCTTTTTAAGGGCTGAATAGTATTCCATTGTACATAACTAAACACACATTTTCTTTATCCATTCATTTGTTGATGGAAAGTTAGGCTGATTCCACAACTTGGCTATTGTGAATAGTCGATGCAATGAACATAGGAGTGCAGACATCTCTTCAACATACTGGTTTCAATCTTTTGAGTAAATACCCAGAAGTGGGATTGCTGGGTCATAGGTTAATTCTATTCTAATTTTTTGAGGTGCCTCTATAATGTTGTCCATAATGTCTGTACTAATTTACATTCCTGTTAACAGTGTACAAGGGTTTCCTTTTCTCCGCATCCTGCCAACACTTGATATTTTTCATTTTTTTGACAATGGCCATTCTGACAGGTGTGAGATTGTGTCCGGAATTGGTGGGTTCTTGGTCTCACTGACTTTAAGAATGAAGCCGCAGACCCTCGCGGTGACTGTTACAGTTCTTTTTTTTTGAGACAGAGTCTCGCTCTGTCACCCAGGATGGAGTACAGTGGCGCGATCTCGGCTCACTGCCACCTCTGCCTTCTGGGTTCAAGCGATTCTCCTGTCTCAGCCTCCCGAGTAGCTGGGACTACAGGTGTGTGCCACCACGCCTAGCTAATTTTTTTCTATTTTTAGTAGAGATGGGGTTCCACTGTGTTAGCCAGGATGTTCTTGATCTCCTGACCTCTTGATCCACCCACGTTGGCCTCCCAAAGTGCTGGGATTACAGGCATGAGCCACAACGCCTGGCCTGACTGTCACAGTTCTTAAAGGCGGCATGTCCAGAGTTCGTTCCTTCTGATGTTTGGATGTGTTTGGAGTTTCTTCCTTCTGGTGGGTTTGTGGTCTCGCTGGCTTAGGAGTGAAGCTGCAGACCTTTGTGGTGAGGGTTACAGCTCTTAAGGCGGCATGTCTGGAGTTGTTCATTCCTCCCGGTAGGTTCGTGGTCTCGATGGCATCAGGAGTGAATCTATAGACCTTTGTGGTGAGTGTTACAGCTCATAAAGGCAGTGTGGACCAAACAGTGAGCAGTAGCAAGATTTATTGCAAAGAGTGAAAGAACAAAGCTTCCACAGTGTGGAAGGGGACCTGAGCCGGTTGCCACTGCTGGCTCCAGCAGCCTGCTTTTATTCTCTTATCTGGCCCCACCCACATCCTGCTGATTGGTCCATTTTACAGAGAGCCGATTGGTCTGTTTTAAACAGAGCTGATTGGTCCATTTTGACAGGGTGCTGATTGGTGTATTTACAATCCCTGAGCTAGACACAAAAGTTCTCCATGTCCCCACTAGATTAGCTAGATACAGAGTGCTGATTGGTGTATTTACAAACTCTGAGCTAGACACACAGTGCTGATTGGTGCATTTACAAACCTTGAGCTAGATACAGAGTGCTGATTGGTGTATTCACAATCCCTTAGCTAGACATAAAGGTTATCCAAGTCCCCACCAGATTAGCTAGATAGAGAGTGCCGATTGGTGCATCCACAAACCCTGAGCTAGACACAGAGTGCTGATTGGTGTGTTTACAATCCCCTAGCTAGACATAAAGGATCTCCAAGTCCCCACTAGACTCAGGAGTGCAGCTGGTTTCACCCAGTGGGTCCCGCTCTGGGGCCGCAGGTGGAGCTGCCTGCCGGTCCCGCGCCATGCGCCCGCACTCCTCAGCCCTTGGGCAGTCGATGGGACCGGGAGCCATGGAGCAGGGGGCGGTGCCCATCAGGGAGGCTCCGGCTATGTGGGAGCCCACTGTCGGGGGCTTAGGCATGGTGGGCTGCAGGTCCCAAGCCCTGCCCCATGGGGAGGCGGCCGAGGCCCAGCGAGAATTTGAGTGCAGCGGAGGTGGGTCGGCAGCGCTGGGGGACCCGGCACACCTTCTGCAGCTGCTGGCCCAGGTGCTAAGCCCCTCATTGCCCAGGGCCGGCGGTGCCGGCCGGCCACTCCAAGTGCAGGGCCTGCTGAGCCCACACCCACTCGGAACTCACGCTGGCCCACGAGTGCCACATGCAGCCCTGGTTCCTGCCCGTGCCTCTCCCTCCACACCACCCCGCAAGCAGAGGGAGCCAGCCCCAGCCTCGGCCATCCCAGAGAGAGGCTCCCACAGTGCAGCTGCAGGCTGAAGGGCTTCTCAAGCACAGCCAGAACAGACACCGAGGCCAAGATAGCACTGAGAGCGAGCGAGGGCCACCAGCATGTTGTCACCTCTCAAGATGATACTCATTGTGGTTTTAATTTGCATTTTTCTAATGGTTAGGAACATTGAGCTTTTTTTTTGTATATCTGTTGGCCATGTGTGTGTCTTCTTTTGAGAAACATTCAGGTCCCTTGTCCATTTTTTAAATGGGGTTGTTTTCTTGCTAAAGAGTTGTTTGAATTCCTTATGTATTTTGAATATTAGCCCCCTATGAAATACATGGCTTGCAGGTATTTTCTCCGAAACTGTAGAGCATCTGTTCACTCTGTTAGTTGTTTCCTTTATTGTGCAGAAGCTTCTTAGTTTAATGTAATCCCATTTGTCTATTTTTGCTTTTGTTGCCTGTGCTTTTGAGGCCAAATCTGAAAAATCATTGCCCAGACCAATGTCCTGTAGTTTTTTTCCCCTCTGTTTTCTTGTAGTAGTTTTACAGTTTCAGGTCTTCTGTGTAAGTCTTTTTTTTTTTTTGAGACAGAGTTTTGCTTTTGTTGCCCAGGCCAGAGTGCAGTGGCATGATCTCAGCTCACTGCAACCTCTGCCTCCCATTATGTGTATAAGTCTTTAACCCATTTTAGTTCATTTTTGTATATGGTGTGAGATAAGGGTCCAATTTCATTCTTCTACATTTGGATATCCAATTTTCCCAACACCATTTATTGGAGAGACTTTCCTTTTCCTATTGTGTATTTTTGGCACCTTTGTTGAATGTCAAATGACTGTATATGTATGAGTTCATTTCTGCACTCTTTATTCTATTGGTCAATGTGTCTATTTTTATGTCAGTGCCATTTTTATCACTTTGTAGTATAGTTTGAAATTAGTAGTATGATGCCTCTACGTTTTTTTTTTTTTTTTCCCTCATGATTGCCTTGGCTATTTTTTTTGTGGTTCCATATGAATTTGGGATTTTTTTCTTATTTATGTGAAGAATGACATTGGGATTTTGATAGAGATGGCAATGACTATGTAAATTGCTTTGGGTAGATGAATATTTCCACGATATTAATTCTTCCATCCCATAAACATGGGATATCTTTCCATTTATTTGTGTCTTCTTTAATTTCTTTCATTAATGTTTTATAGGGTTCCATGTACAGGTCTTTTATCTCCTTGTTTATATTTATTTCTGATTATTTTATTCTTTAGTAGCTATTATAAATGGGATTGTTCTTTTGTTTTCTCTTTTGGATAGTTCATTATTAGTGTATAGAAATGCTAATGATCTTTTTGTGTTGATTTTGTATCCTACAACTTTACCATATTCATTTATTAGTTCTAACAGTTTTTTGGTGGAATCTTTAGGGTTTTCTATATATAAGATTGTGTAATCAGCAAATACCAACAATTTTACTTGTTCCTTTCTTATTTGATGCCCTTTTTTCCCTCTTGACTAATTGCTCTGGCTGGGACTTTCAATAATATGTTGAATAGAAGTAGGAAGAATGGACATCCTTGTCTTGTTCTGGATTTCAGAGGAAAGGCTTTCAATTTTTCACTGTTTAGTATAATGTTTCCTGAGGACTTGTCATATATGGCCGTTATTGTGTTGAGATATATTCCTTTTACACCCAATTTGTTGAGAGTTTTTTTTTATCATGAAAGGGTGTTGAGCCATTTTAAAATTGTTATTTATGACTGGTACCTGGAACCTTTTGTATACTACTCATGGTTTTGTATTAAGTAGATAAATTCTTTTTTCTCTTGAAACTTTATTTTTTAATTCCCCCAACTGTATTGAAGTATAATTGACAAATAAAAATTGTATATATTTGAGGTGTACAATGTAATGTTTTAATATATATGTGTGTATATATATATATACTATATACACACATGCATACATATACACATTGCAAAGTGATTACTATGGTCAAAATAATTAACATATCTATCACCTCATGTAGTTTTTTTGTGGTGAGAACATTTAAACTTTATACTCTTAGTTCGATGCTCTGAATGTTCATATACCCTCAAATACATATGTTGAAATCCTAACTCCAAGGTGATAGTATTAGGAGATGGGACTTTTTGGGAGGTGATTATGTCATGAGGTCAGAGCCCTAAGTAATGGGATTAGTGCCCTTCTAAAATGAGCCTAAGTGAGCTTGTTTACCCCTTCTACCATGTGAGAGCACAGGGAGAAGTTATCATTTATGAACTAAGAAATAGTTCTGGTCTTACCAGATCTCAAATCTGCTGGTACCTTGATTTTATACTTAGACCTAGATCTTAGATCTTAGACTTCTCAGTCTTCAGAACTGTGAGAAATTTCTATTGCCTATAAGCCATCCAATCTACTGAATTTTGTTATAACAGCCCAAACAAGCCCAAATGAACTTGTCCTCATTCATTTCATGTGGTGGGGGCAACAGATTTTTGGGCAGTGGATAAGGGTCTGCCCATGTCATAAAGTATTTTGAAGAAGAAAGATTGGAAAATTTGTTTCAAGGAATTTTAGGCTGTAAATTTTGTATAAGTTTAACAAGAGGGACTTCCACCTTCTGACTATCTAGTTTGCTAAGACACTGATTTGTTACCATGCTTGAAGGGAATCACTCCATAGGTCAGCTAGGTGATTTGTTCTTTTAGTAAAGACTCCTTTACAAGCAGCTGTACACCCATATGCTGGGCTTGAGAAACAGCCCTGTGGGTTGCTCCTGGCAGACACACGTCCAGATTGACTGAGCAACTGCATGCCAGTGCTCCCAGCCAGAATAACAGCTCTGTGGCCCCAACCCCAATTTGGCTGACCCACCTGAGAAACACACATGCACTCCCCACCTGAGAAAAGCCTAGAAAGCCCATTTCTGG
Source organism: Homo sapiens (assembly GCF_000001405.40). Lineage (NCBI taxonomy): Eukaryota > Metazoa > Chordata > Mammalia > Primates > Hominidae > Homo > Homo sapiens. The sequence continues at coordinate 45,732,926 of NC_000020.11, read as the reverse complement.
CAAAGTTCACTACTATTATCACAAACTCTCTTAGCCTAGGCCGCTGAGAAATTCACAAACACTATTAGTGTGGACTAAGGTAGAAGAAACTAAATGGATACTATACTACTGCATCCACCTAGAACCAAGGCCAATGAACTCCACTGAGTCAATACCTATGAAAATGAATAAGTCTTTCCTTACAAAACCTACTCTATAAAATTGTAAGAGGCAACTTTTCTACCAGATATATAGAAATCAATGTAGGGACACATCAACCATGAAAAACCAAGGAAACATGTTACCTCAAAAGGAAAACAATAATTCTTCCATAACAGACCCTAAGCATAAGGAAATATATGACATGCTAAAAAAGAATTAAAAATAATAATCTTAAGGAAACTCAGTGAGATATAAGAGAATGCAGATAGATGAGTCAACAAAATTAGGAACAGAATTCATTATTTGAATGAGAAATTCAATGAAGAGATAGATATCATAAAGAGAGCCAAACAAACCTTAGAGCTGAAGAATTCAATGAATGAAATAAAAAACACAATTGAGAGCTTCAACAACAGACTAGCCCAAGCAGAAGAAAAGAATTTCTGAACTTGAAGACAGGACTTTTGAAATAACATAGGCAGATTAAAAAAGAAAAGAGAAAAAAAGAATGAAGAAAGCCTACAGGATTTGTGGAATTCCATTTTCCATTAAGTGCACAATATGCATATTATGGGTGTTCCAGAAAGAGAAGAAAGGGAAAAGGTAAGGAAAACATATTTAATAAAATAATGTCAGAAGACTTCCCAAGTCTTGGGAGAGATGGACATTCAGGTCCAGGAAGCTCAAAGAACCCCAGATTGATTCAGCCCAAACAGGTCCTCTCTGAGGCACATTATAGTTAACTTGTCAAAAGTCAAAGACAAAGAAAGAATTTTAAAAGCAGCAAGAGAAAAGCATTAAGTCACATATAGGGGAATTACCATTAGCTATGAATCTCCATTAGACTATCATATTTCTCAGCATAAACCTTACAGGTCAGGAGAAAATGGTATGACATATTTAAAGTACTGAAATAAAAATAAAACTCTGCCAATTAAGAATATCATACCCAGCAACATTATCCTTCAGAAATGAAGGAGAGGCTGAATGTCGTGGTTCATGCCTGTAATCCCAGTAATTTGGGAGGCTGAGGTGGGAGGATCACTTGAGCCCAGGAGTTCAAGACCAGCCTAGGCAACATAGTGAGACCCTGTCTCTACCAAAATATAAAAAATTATCTGGGCATGATGGTGTGTGCCTGTAGTCCCAGCTAGCCAAAAGAAGGTGAGAGATTTGGTTGAGTCTGGGAGGTTGAGGCTATAGTGAGCCATGATTGTGCCAGTGCACTCCAGACTAGGTAACAGAATGAGAGCCTGTCAAAAAAAAAAATGAAGAAGAAATAAGATCTTCAAGACCATCCTGGCTAACACGGTGAAACCCCATCTCTACTAAAAATACAAAAAATTAGGTGGGCATTGTGGCGGGCGCCTGTAGTCCCAGCTACTCAGGAGGCTGAGGCAGGAGAATGGTGTGAACCTGGGAGGCAGAGCTTGCAATGAGCTGAGATCGCCCCACTGCACTCCAGCCTGGGCGACAGAGCAAGACTCTGTCTCAAAAAAAAAAAAAAAAAAAAAAAAAAAAAGAAATAAGATCTTACACAGACAAACAAAAACTAAGAATTCATTACTACTAGACTGGTCTTACATGAACTGCTCAAGGGAGTCTTATATCTGGAAGTGAAAAGACAATAGCCACCATCATGAAAACATAAAATGATAAAACTCACTAGAAGAGCCAATACACAAAGGAAAAAGAGAATCAAATCTTACCACTACAGAAAACCACCTACCTGCAAAAATAATAAGAGAGAAAGTAAGGAACAAAGGAACTATAAAAGAACCAGAAAGGCTGGGCGCGGTGGCTCATGCCTGTAATCCCAGCACTTTGGGAGGCCAAGGCGGGTGGATCACGAGGTCACGAGATCGAGACAAGCCTGACCAACATGGTGAAACCCAGTCTCTACTAAAAATAGAAAAATTAGCTGGGTGTGGTGGCACGTGCCTGTAATCCCGGCTACTCAGGAGGCTGAGGCAGGAGAATTGCTTGAACCTGGGAAGCGGAGGTTGCAGTGAGCTGAGATCGTGCCACTGCACTCCAGCCTGGTGATGGAGTGAGACTCCGTCTCAAGAAAAAAAAAAAAAAAAAAGAACTAGAAAACAACAAAAAAAAGATGAGTAAGTTCTCACCTATCAATAATAACCTTGAGTGTAAATTAATTAATTTCCCCATTTAAAAGGTTTAGACTAGTTGAATGGATAAAAAACAAAACCCAACTATATGATGCCCACAAGAAACTCACCTCAGCTGTAAAGACACACATAGACTGAAGTGAAGGAATGGAAAAAGATAATCCATGCCAAGGGAAACAAAAGCAAGGAATAGCTCTACTTAGATAAAACAGACTTCAAGTAAAAATCTGTAGACAAAGAAGGACATTATATAATAATAAAGGAATCAATTTAGTAAGATAAAATAATTGTATATGCACCCAATACCACAACACTCATATTTATAAAGCAAATATTATTAGATCTAAGGGGATAGACCCCAATACAATAATCACTGGGGATTTCAACACCCCACTTTCAGCATTGGACAGATATCTAAACAGAGAATCAACAAAAAAACTTTGGTTTAAAACTGTACCATAGACCAAATGAACCTAACAGACATTTACAGAACATTTCATCCTGTAACTGAATGATACACATTCTTTTCTTTGGCATGTGGAACATTCTTCAGGACTGATCATATGTTAGGACATGAAACAAGTAACAAAAAGTACTCATCTGACAAAGGGCTAATATCCAGAATCTACAAAGAACTCAAACAAATTTACAAGAAAAAAAAACCCATCAAAAAGTGGGCGAAGGATATGAACAGACACTTCTCAAAAGAAGACATTTATGCAGCCAACAGACACATGAAAAAATGCTAATCATCACTGGCCATCAGAGAAATGCAAATCAAAACCACAGTGAGATATCATCTCACACTAGTTAGAATGGCGACCATTAAAAAGTCAGGAAACAACGGGTGCTGGAGAGGATGTGGAGAAATAGGAACACTTTTACACTGTTGGTGGGACTGTAAACTAGTTCAACCATTGTGGAAGACAGTGTGGCGATTCCTCAGGGATCTAGAACTAGAAATACCATTTGACCTAGCCATCCCATTACTGGGTATATACCCAAAGGAATATAAATCATGCTGCTATAAAGACACATGCACACGTAGGTTTATTGCGGCACTACTCACAATAGCAAAGACTTGGAACCAAGCCAAACGTCCAACAATGATAGACTGGATTAGGAAAGTGTGGCACATATACACCATGGAATACTATGCAGCCATAAAAAATGATGAGTTCATGTCCTTTGTAGGGACATGGATGAAGCTGGAAACCATCATTCTCAGCAAACTATCACAAGGACAAAAAACCAAACACCGCATGTTCTCACTCATAGGTGGGAATTGAACAATGAGAACACTTGGACACAGGAAGGGGAACATCACACACTGGGGCTTGATGTGGGGTGGGGGGAGGGGGGAGGGATAGCATTAGGAGATATACCTAATGTAAATGAAGAGTTAATGGGTACAGCACACCAACATGGCACATGTATACATACGTAACAAACCTGCACGTTGTGCACATGTACCCTAGAACTTAAAGTATAATAAAAAAAATTGAAATCATATCATGTATCTTATATGACCAAAATGAATAAAACTAGACATCAATAACAAGAGGAACATTTGAAACTATGCAAACTCATGAAAATTAAACAACATACTCCTGAATGGGTGAAGGAAGAAATTAAGAATGAAAATAAATAATTCCTTGAAACAGTGCTGCAGTGAACATATGCATGCATGGATCTTTATAATAGAATGATTTATATTCCTTTGGGTATATACCCAGTAATGGGATTTCTGGGTCAAATGGTATTTCTGTCTCTAGGTCTTTGAGAAATTACCACACTGTCTTCCATAATGGTTCAGCTAACTGAATTCCCACCAACAGTGTAAAAGCATTCTTATTTTTCTGCAACCTCTCCAGCATCGCCATTCCAACTAGCATGAGATGGTATCTCACTGTGGTTTTGATTTTCATTTCTCTAATGATCAGTGATGTTGAGCTTTTTTACATATGTTTGTTGGCTGCATATTTTATCTTCTTTTGAGAAGTATCTGTTCATGTCCTTTGCCCACTTTTTAATGGGATTGTTTGTTTTTTTCTTGTAAGTTTGTTTAAATTCTTTGTAGATTCTTGATATTAGGACTTTGTCAGATGGATAGATTGCAAAAATTTACTCCATTTTTGTAAGTTGCCTGTTCAGTCTGATGATAGTTTTTTTTTTGCTGTGCAGAAGCTCTTTAGTTTAATTAGATCTCATTTGTCAATTTTTGCTTTTGTTGCAATTGCTTTTTTAATTTTGCTATTTATTTATTTTTGTAGCAATTGCTTTTGGCAATTTCACCATGAGATCTTTGTCCATGCCTAAATCCTGAATGGTATTGCCTAGATTTTCTTCTAGGGTTTTTATAGTTTTGGGTTTTACATTTAAATCTTTAATACATCTTGAGTTAATTCTTGTATGAGGTATAGGGAAAGAGTCCAGTGTCAATTTTCTGCACATGGCTAGCCAATTCTCCCAGCACCATTTACTAAATAGGGAATCCTTTTCCCATTGCTTTTTTTTTTGTCAGGTTTGTCAAAGATCAGATGGTTGTAGCTGTGTGGTCTTATTTCTGAGTTCTCTATTCTGTTCCATTGTTCTATGTGTCTGTTCTTGTACTAGTGCCATGCTGTTTTGGTTATTGCAGCCTTGTAGCACAGTTTGAAATCTGGTAACATGATGCCTTCAGCTTTGTTCTTTTTGCATAGGATTTCCTTGGCTATTCAGACTCTTCTTTGGTTCCATATGAATTTTAAAATAGTTTTCTTCTAATTTAATGAAGAATATCAATGGTAGTTTAATGGGAATAGCATTGAATCTATAAATTACTCTGGGCAGTATGGCCATTTTCACAATATTGATTTTTTTCTATCCATGAGCATGGAATGTTTGTCCATTTTTTATTTCCTGTCTGATTTCCTTGAGCAGTGGTTTCTGCTAGGAATCCAGGCTAGAACCACTGAGCCCAGCCTTCTTCTTATGCCTTTGCACTTTAATAGCTTAGCTCCCCAAAGCCCAACTTTTTTAACTTGTGCTGCTCTTGGTGGATTCAAGGGTGGTTGTGGTGGTGGTAGATGATTCCAGAGAAGAGACTTTACAGTGATACAGCCTGGGCTTCCTTACTCCATTTGCTTCTTCCTAAATAACATTATTTCTCTATCTTCCTCCCCCCACCTCCAACCAGAGAAAATATCTACACTTCTGTCCTAGATGTATTTTCTAGGAACCTTTCTTCCTCTTAGTTTTAGTCACATAAACCTTACTGTATATAGGAGGAAGAGAAAACAGTAAACTCTGTGTCTGGCTAGCTCAGTTGCACCTGTTTTTATGCTTCTCACTTCTTTTATGCTTTTATACTTCTCTAGCTGGACTCTGGAACGACCACTATGTTATCTGGTATTTTGTGGCTGTTAGTGATTTGGCAAGAGAGCAGGCAATGACTGATCCAGATCTTTGTGGTGGGGAGAATAACACAACTCGAAAGCCTCAAAAGCTCTTACTCAACTCATTATCTCACTTTTGATGCTCAACAATCTGTCCTGGGCATCTATTTCCTTTTCTCACCAGGATACAATTGCCTTCTTTCCTCAGAGGATTCTTAGTCTTGACTTTATTCATATCTGTACACCTCTTTTTTACTTCTCTGACTTTTCAAGGAGTTGGCTGAAGTAGGAAGCAAACAGGCTCCCGAAATATGCTATCTTGTCCCTGAAAGACTGTCTGCTTCTGGGACACCCAGTTTCATGATTCATAACAGGAAAATCTCAGAACTTCTGTGTATGTGGACTAATTAGATTAGTCTCATCTCTATTATTTTAGGGTCTTGCAGCTGGCTGGGCTCAAGAATGATCTATAATTTTAGGATCTTCATTGAAGATGAAATATGCCAGAATCAACTGGGTTATTAGCACTTTACCTGCTCAGAATAAACCCTGTCTGGTTGAGGGTATGATCTTGTAGTTACCAGAATTTTTGCAGAAAAGCATCTTAATTTAGGGCATTGATCTTCCTAGTCTTAAGATGGAGCAGAGATCAGGCTTGTGTGTCTAGTTATGGTCTCACTGGTTTACAATGTTGGCCCTAGCTACCCCTGTTCCAGGTTGTGATTCACAGGTGAGGGATTGGCTTTGTCTATAAGATGGACATGGTAGATATGCAGAGGGTAATAACAGGTGCCAGGATAGGTTTTCCTACTTCAGTGCAGGTTCAGTTTGGATGCCTGAAAAAATTCAGAGGTGAAGTGGTCAACTTGTAAATCTTACAGCTAGGCTGATCATGGCCATGCCAAACCTTGTAGCATTATATGCAGAAGATTTGGGAACCTGTGTTTGGATAATCATTTTTTGGTAGCTGAAACACAGTCACTGGACTGAAGTTGAGGATTCTTTTCCAGAAGGACTGACTATAATCAAGTCAAATAGCAATGACAGAGGTCCATATAATTACTCCTAAACAGGGACCAGGTTGGGAGGTAATTAAACTAATTGAGGGACTTGAATCAGGAAACACGACAAAGAAAAATTTGTTATGAGTGCAGGGACATTTCACATAAGTGTGCAGTTCGCTGCTAGGTTTGATTTCAAGATCAAAAGGGAGTATAGGTTTGGTACTTTGGTTCCACTAACCAGTTCAATTTGACAGGGGAGGTGATGCAAACCTGTACAGACTTGTCAAACCTGAAACAGTTTAGCAGTTTAGGATAAATGAAGCTAAGTGTGCATATGTAAGGGATGGCTCAGGAGTGAGGGGGAAATCAATGGATGGGACCAGCTGACATTTCAGCTCTGCAAATCCAGATAAGACAAGTGGAGAGAAATTAAGAGAGCCAGGGCTGACAGAAAGACTCTTTCATTCTAATGATCATACAGTTAATTTCCAGGAAAGACAAAACTAGGGTCAGGAAAATAGCAAACATATGGAAGCTTAAAGCATTATGGAAATATTACAAAGATTTCAAAATCAGTCTGAATTTTCTTGTGTCTTTATTTCGGATGGTGCAGCAGACAACTTCATGAGTTCACATCCTCTCACCTCCTGTTTAAGCAAAGGAAAGAAAAACCCAAATCGGTGTTACAGGTTTTTGAAGGTCTCCCTGGATTAATGCAGGTCATTTTTTATCCTAGGGAAAGCACAGAGGATGCCTTCTATCTCAATGTTTCCCTTATTTTATTGATTAATCTTTCACTTTTTCATTCACTTAACACTTAATCATTGCTTAGTATGTGCCAGGCACTGAAAAGATCCACTAGGAATATAAAATAAACAAAACAACATTTCTGCTTTCTAGTTACTCCCAAGGCCACTCTCCAGCCAGTTCTCCTGGGAATCAGCCAAACCACAGCCCTGTTAGGCACCATTGACCTTCTATTTCCAATGATTGGGAAATAGTCAAGCATGGGCTGGGAGCTTAGTTGTATAAAGCAGCAAGTTGCTATGAAGAGTTCAAAGGTATGAGAGTGCAAGAATTTGGTTTGGGTGACCTTGTCCATGTAAGATTGTCAAGACCATTGTGACTGTCAGCTCTGGTTAGAAACCCTGCTGTGCCATTTAATAATGTGACCTCGAGATGCTTGGTTACTTGTACTGTACTTGGTTTCTTCATCTGTCACATAAAAATAATGATATATATCTATTGATATATATATATATATATATATATATATATATTTTTTTTTTTTTTTTTGAGATGGAGTCTCACTTTGTCTCCCAGGCTGGAGTGCAGTGGCATGATCTTGGCTCACTGCAAGCTCCGCCTCCCGGGTTCACACCATTCTCCTGCCTCAGCCTCCCGAGTAGCTGGGACTACAGGCGCCTGCCACCACGCCTGGCAAATTTTTTGTATATTTGGTAGAGACGGGGTTTCACTGTGTTAGCCAGGATGGTCTCGATCTCCTGACCTTGTGATCCGCCCACCTCGGCCTCTCAAAGTACTGGGATTACAGGCGTGAGCCACCACGCCTGGCCCTACCTTGATATAATTTTAAATTATATCAATATATGTTAATTGCTTAGTGCAGTGCCTGACACACAGTAATTGTCCAATAGATGGTGGCTATTATTTTCTCTCTGGGCATTTGATTTCCTAACTGCAAAATGAGCAAATGATCCTGACAGCCCACCCAAATGTGGTTTTTTTTTTTTTTTTTTTTTAGATGGAGTTTTGCTCTTATTGCCCAGGCTGGAGTGCAATGGATGGCGCGATCTCGGCTCGCCGCAACCTCTGAACCCTCTGAACTTCTTGAACCCTCCCGGGTTCAAGTGATTCTCCTGCCTCAGCCTCCCGAGTAGCTGGGATTACAGGCATGCGACACTATGCCTGGCTAATTTTGTATTTTTAGTAAAGATGGGGTTTCTCCATGTTGGTCAGGCTGGTCTTGAACTCCTGACCTCAGGTGATACACCCACCTCAGCCTCCCAAAGTGCTGGGGTTACAGGCATGAGCCACTGCGCCCGGCCAACCCAACTGTTAAAACTTCTTATTTGAGCAATCCTCCCTCTTCCCACTCCAAGCAAGGTTAGCCCCTGATCAATTTTCTCTATCTTAGGATGTCAAAACCTCTTCTTTTACTACCCCCAAGGACCAAGGACAGGATTAGATTCCTTACGGTGGTTTGTATTTTGCAACACAGGCTACTTCACGTTCTATTTTAAGCTTGAAGTTGTTAAGGTTGCCATTACAGCCGGAGAAGACAAAAGTTTCACATCTTTTGGAGGTTCTGTTGTAGAAATATCTAAAGTGAACTTCATAGCAGCTTCCAAAATTCATGTCCAATTTGCAGGGATCTGCATGAGAGGTTCCCATTGAGTTAGTGGGAATTGGTAAGGACTCAGCAGGAGAACTTGTCTTTATGGGCCCTTAAAAATTCCTACGTTTAGCCTGGAACTATTCTCATATTCAAGGACTCTGAAAGATGTGGTTTTCTCTTGGAGTTAGAGTTGCTTGGAAATGTTGCCCTTGCACAATGCAAATTGGTTAAAATTCCAGGTTGTTGTCGTGAGCAGTGTATTGGAGAAGGAGAAGTAGTGATCAGTGAAAAAGGAGGTTCCACCACTAGCTTGTGCAGGGCGATGAGCTTCCCTACATTTCCTATCTTACAGTTTATTAAAGTACAGTATCCTCCTGCTTCCCCACATCATCTTCCTTTCCTTTTAATTGCCCACATAGGACATGCAATTCAGAGTGCCTCCTCCCCAGTTTCATACATTCACTATACTACCTATACTTCAAAATTTAAGTAACCATGGCTGCTGCTATCTTTAAAGCAGGATGCATACTAAAATGCTAAAATGCATAACCTTGGGGTGATGCTCGTTCATCCTCATACCCCGTCATCTTCTCCTTTCTTGCCTTCTCAGAGGCAAACCCTCTGTTTTTATTGTTAAGAGTTGGGTAGTAAGTGGTTGGAACAGCCACAATCATGGTTGTATTGACAATCCACCTTACTCAAGCAGCCAGCCTGGAATTTACTCTCTGGTAAAGTTATGTGCATAATCTTATTTCATACTCACAAACACCCTCTGCAGCAGGCACTTTTCTGATCTTCATTTTACACATGGGGAAACTGAGACTAAGAGAATAATAAGTGGTTGAGTGACTTGTCCAAGGGCACATATCTGCTAAGTGAACAGGTCCAGAACTTGAAGTGTCTGACTTACGGTATAAACTGTGCTACTTTCTCGTCCCCTGGAAGCGCTGAGCCTTCACACACTATCTATGGAAGAAAGTCTCATTGCCTCTCACATTTACATTGTGAGCTCCTCTAAACAGGAATCATCTGTCCAAGAGTTCTGTATATGTCCATAGCCCAGATACTGAAAATGTCTTAATTTGCTCTGTCTCCAACCCCCTTTCTCTCTCATCCCAATACATAATCATCAATGGTCTGGGATCTTTGAAATTTGTCACACAACCTCTGATTCAAAATACTTCCAGTCCTTTGGACCTCCTATAAAAGAGGTCTCCATCTGGAAAGGACTTTGTGTCATTTCTGTTTTTTCTCATCAAACATCCAGAGGACCCCTAGTGTAAGTAATGCCCTGAGTCAAGGGACTAAGTGTCTATGGGTATTGTCATGAAAGGAAGACCTTCCTGGACTACCTAGATAACACACTTTTCTCCCAATACCTTCTCTCTCATTCATAATTGACCTTTGGATTTATTTTCTGCCTTAGCTTCATACCTTTGAGGTCTCCACATATCTTCTCCGCAATTTTATTAACACCACCCAATAACAGGGTATTCAATGAGCAGAAGATGAAGAATCTTAGAAGAAATCCCAGCTTGGCAGACTTCATGGTGCAGCAAGCAGCAGGCAGGATAGTTGTGGTATCACCTGATGTTATATTTTGGGCTTGATACTTGAGACGGTTGAGCTCACCTACCCCAAGGGCCAGGACTGGACATTACTAGGTGTTGAGTTGAACAGTGAGTGCTTGGGTACCCAGCCATGAAGCTGAAGGCCCCAAACTGATTAGACCCTTGATAGTGAGTCCCATGTTCATCTAGAAGCAATAGAAACTTAAGGATCAGAGCTTCTGCATATATTTAATCATGAAGGGTAGAATCATCAGAGTGAGGAATTAAAAAGGGATTTCTTCCTTTCTCTTTTTGACCTTTTATGCACAGAAGAAACTAATCATGGCACAAGAGAAAGAGTGCAATAGCACTATAATAATAGTAACAGGGTTAGTTATAACCTAGAGTACTACTTAATTCCAGGTGCTATTTTTAAGTAATTTGTATATACTTTATCATCATATACACCCTATGAAGTAAGTACAGTTATTACCATCATTTAAGGATGAAATGGAGACAGAGATTAGGTTACATGTACAAGGTCACTCATTTATTATGTGGTAGAGACAAGATTTGAACTTGGCTTCAGAGTTTTTGTTCTTAGTCACACTACACTATGTTATCTAGGAACATGAGGACATCTTGGATCTGTTTTCTCCTAAAAGTTTTGAAGTTTTGGCTTACCTTTACACCCTAAAACCACCTGATGTTGATTTTTTGGTAAGGTATAACATAAGGATCCTTTTTCATTTTTCAGTGGTTCCAGACCTATTTATTAATGAGTTCCTCTTCTATTTAACTGCAAAATAATTTTGCTTAATTATGTGGGATTGCTTCTGAGCCCTTTATTTCACTCCACTGTATACCCCCACTCCAAAGCCACACTTAATCTCTTGAACTTTGTTTATCTTAGGATTTTGTATTTTCATATAAATTTTAGTCAGTTTATCAAGTTATTCAAAAGACCTGTTTCGGGCCAGGCGTGGTGGCTCATGCCTGTAATCCCAGCACTTTGGGAGGCTGAGGTGGGTGAATCCCATGAGGTCAGGAGTTGGAGACCAGCCTGGTCAACATGGCAAAACCCCGTCTCTACTAAAAATACAAAAATTAGCTGGTTATGGTGGTGAGTTCCTGTAATCTCAGCTACTTGGGAGGCTGCGGCATGAGAATTGCTTGAACTGGGAGGCAGAGGTTGTAGTGAGCTGAGACTGTGCCATTGCACTCCAGCCTGGGTGACAGAGCAAGACTCTGACCGAAAACGAAAACAAAAACAAAAACAAAAACAAAACACCTATTTTGGATATTCATTTGAATTGCACTGGATCTACAAATCAATTGGAAAAGAATGATATCCTTATAATATTGTCTTTGATATATATATTTCCATCTATTTTGACCTTCATTAATATTTTAAAGAAAGGTTTATGACATTTCTCATGCAGGTGTTACAATCTTATTTATATTTTTAATATTATTGTAAATGCTATCTTTTAAAAAAATCTTCAACTTTTATTTTAATTTCAGCGGTACATGTGCAGGATGTGCAGGTTTGTTACATACATAAACCATGTGTGCCATGGTGATTTGCTGCACAGATCATCCCTACACCTAGGTATTAAGCCCAGCATTCACCAGGTATTCTTCTTGATGTTCTCCCTCTCCCTACCACCCCCATGATATGCTCCAGTGTGTGTTGTTCCACTTATGTGTCCATGTGTTCTCATCATTCAGCTACCACTTGTAAGTGAGAACATGCAGTGTTTGGTTTTCTGCTCCTGTGTTAGTTTGCTGAGGATAACTGCTTCGAGCTCCATCCATATCCCTGCAAAGGACATGATCTCATTTCTTTTTATGGCTGCATAGAATTCCATGGTGTGTGTGTGTATATATATATATTTCAGTATCACATTTTCTTTATCCAGTCTATCATTGATGGGCATTTGGATTGATTCATGTCTTTGCTATTGTGAATAGTGCTGCAATGAACATATGCATGCATGTGTCTTTATAATAGAATGATTTATGTTCCTTTGGGTATATACCCAGTAATGGGATTATTGGGTCAGATGGTATTTCTGCCTCTAGATCTTTGAGGAATCTCCACACTGTTTTCCACAATAGTTGAACTAATTTACACGCCCACTAACAGTGTAAAAGTGTTCCTTTTTCTCTACAACCTCTCCAGCATCTGTGTTTTTTGTTTTTTTTTTTACTTTTTAATAATCACCATTCTGACTGGTATGAGATGGTATCTCATTGTGGTTTTGATTTTCGTTTCTCTAATGATCAGCGATGTTGAGCCTTGTTTCATATGTTTGTTGGCCACATATATGTCTTCTTTTGAGAAGTGCCTGTTCAAGTCCTTTGCCCACTTTTTAATGGGATTGTTTGTTTTTTTCTTATAAATTTGTTTAAGTTTCTTGTAGACTCTGGATACTAGAACTTTGTCAGACGGATAGATTGCAAAAATATACTCCATTTCTGTAGGTTGTCTGTTCACTCTGATGATAGTTTCTTTTGCTGTGCAGAAGCTCTTTAGTTTAATTAGATCCCATTTGTCAATTTTTGCTTTTGTTGCAATTGCTTTGGTGTTTTCATCATGAAATCTTTGCCCATGCCTACGTCCTGAATGGTATTGCCTAGATTTTCTTCTAGGGGTTTTGTAGTTTTGGGTTTTACATTTAAGTCTTTAATCCATCTTGAGTTAATTCTTGTATGTGGTATAAGGAAGGAGTCCAGTTTCAATTTTCTGCATGTGGCTAGCCACTTTTTTCAGCACCATTTATTAAATAGGGAATCCTTTTCTCATTGCTTGTTTTTGTCAGGTTTGCTGAATATCAGATGGTTGTAGATGTGCAGCCTTATTTCTTAGTTCCCTCTATTCAGTTCCATTTTTCTATGTGTCTGTTCTTGTACCAGTACCATGCTGCTTTGGTTATTGTAGCGTTGTAGTATAGTTTGAAGTTGGATAACATGATGCCTCTGGCTTTGTTCTTTTTGCTTAGGATTGTCTTGGCTGTTCAGGCTCTTTTTTTGGTTCCATATGAATTTTAAAATAGATTTTTCTAATTCTGTCAAGAATGTCAATAGTAGTTTAATGGGAATAGCATTGAATCTATAAATTACTTTGGGTAGTATGGCCATTTTCACAACATTGATTCTTCCTATCCATGAGTGTGGAATGTTTTTCCATTTTTTTGTGTCCTCTGTGATTTCCTTGAGCAGTGGTTTGTAGTTTTCCTTGAAGAAGCTCTTCACTTGTTAGCTGTATTCCTAGGTATTTTATTCTTTTTGTGGCAATTGTGAATGGGAGTTCATTTATGATTTGGCTCTCTGCTTGCCTGTTTTTGGTATATAGGAATGCTAGCAATTTTTGCACTCAGATTTTGTATCCTGAGAGTTTGCTAAAGTTGCTTATCAGTTTAAGACGCTTTTGGGCTAAGACGATGGGGTTTTCTACATCTAGGATTATGTCATCTGCAAACAAAGATGATTTGACTTCCTCTCTTCCTGTTTGAATGTGCTTTATTTCTTTCTCTTGCCTGATTGTCCTGGTCAGAACTTCCAATACTATATTGAATAAGGAGTGATGAGAGAGGGTATCCTTTTCTTGTGCTAGTTTTCAAGGGGGAATGCTTCCAGCTTTTCCCCATTCAGTATGATATTGGCTGTGGGTTTGTCATATATGGCTCTTATTATTTTGAGGTATTTTCCTTCAATATCTAGTTCATTGAGCATTTTTAACATGAAGGGATGTTGAATTTTATTGAAGGCCTTTTCTGTGTTTATTGAGATAATCATGTGGTTTTTGTCTTTAGCTGTGTTTATGTGATGAATCACATTTATTGATTTGCATATGTTGAACTAATGTTGCATCCTGGGGATGAAGCCAACTTGATCATGGTGGATAAGCTTTTTGATGTGCTGCTGGATTTGGTTTGCCAGTATTTTATTGAGGACTTTTGCATCAATGTTCATCAGGGGTATTGGTCTGAAGTTTTCTTTTTTTGTTGTATCTCTGCCAGGTTTTGGTATCAGGATGATGCTGGCCTCATAAAATGAGTTAGGGAGGAGTCCCTCCTTTTCAGTTTTTTGGAATAGTTTCTGTAGAAATGGTACCAGCTTTTCTTTTTTTCTTTTCTTTTCTCTTTTTTTTTTTTTTGAGATGGAGTCTCACTCCGTCACCCAGGCTGGAATGCAGTGGTGTGATTTCGGCTCACTGCAACCGCCGCCTCCCAGGTTCAAGCGATTCTCCTGTCTCAGGCCCCCCGAGTATCTGGGATTACAGGTATGCATCACCATGCATAGCTAGTTTTTGTGTTTTTAGTAGAGACCTGCCTCAGCCTCTGATTACAGATTATAGATGTGAGCCACCGTGCCTGGCTGGTATTACAGATGTGTAATTGTTGGGATTACAGATGTGAGCCACCGTGCCTGGCTGGTATCAGCTTTTCTTTGTGCCCCTGGTAGAATTCAGCTGTGAATCCATCTGGTCCTGGGCTTTTTGTTGTTGTTGTTGTTGATAGGCTGTTTATTACTGTCTCAGTTTCAGAACTCGTTATTGGTCTATTCAGTGTTTTGATTTCTTCCTGGTTCAGTCTTGGGAGGGTGTATGTGTCCAGGAATTTATCAGTTTCTTCTGGATTTTCTATTTTATGTGCATAGAGATGTTTATAGTATTCTCAAATGGTAGTTTGTATTTCTGTGGGATCAGTGGTGATGTCTCCCTTATCATTTCTAATTGTGTTTATTTGATTCTTCTCTTTTTTCTTCTTTATTAGTCTATCTTGCAGTCTATCAATTTTATTGATTTTTTTTTCAAAAATCAGCTCCTGGACTTGTTCATTTTTTGAAGGGGTTTTTTTGTATCTCTATCTCCTTCGGTTCAGCTCTGATTTTGGTTATTTCTTGTTTTCTTCTAGTTTGGGGGTTTGTTTGCTCTTGGTTCTCTGCTTCTTTTAGTTGTAATGTTAGATTGTTAACTTGAGATCTTTCTAGGTTTTTGAGGTGGGCATTTAGTGCTATAAATTTCCCTCTCAACACTGCTTTAGCTGGATCCTAGAGATTCTGGTATGTTGTCTCTTGGTTCTCATTAGTTTCAAAGAATTTCTTGATTGCTGCCTTAACCTTATCATTTACCTAGGAGTCATTCAGGAGCAGCTTGTTCAATTTCCATGTAGTTGTGTTGTTTTGAGTGAATTTCTTAATCTTGAATCCTAATTTGATTGTGCTGTGGTCTGAGAGACTGTTATGATTTCAGTTCTTTTGCCCTTGTTGAGGATTGTTTTACTTTTGATTATGTAATCAATTTTGGAGTAAGTGCCATGTGGTGATGAGAAGAATGCATATTCTGTTGTTTTTGGGTGTAATGTTCTGTAGATATCTATCAGGTCTGCTTGATTCAGAGCTGAGTTCAAGTCCTGAATATCTTTATTAATTTTCTGTCTTGATAATCTGTCTAATATTGTCAGTGGGGGGTTAAAGTCTCCCACTATTATTGTGTGGAAGTCTAAGTCTCTTCATAGGTCTCTAAGAACTTGCTTTATGAATCTGGGTGGTCCTGTATTGGGTGCATATATATTTAGGATAGTTAGCTCTTCTTGTTGAATTGAACCGTTTACCATTATATAGTGCCCTTTTTTGTCTTTTTAAAGTCTTTGTTGGTTTAAAGTCTGTTTTCTCAGAAACTAGGATTGCAACCCCTGCTTTTTTCTGTTTTCCAATTGTTTGGTAAATTTTCCTCCCTCCCTTTATTTTGAACCCATGTGCATCTTTGCTTGTGAGACAGCATACTGATGGACCTTGGCTCTTTATCCAGCTTGCCACTCTGTGTCTTTTAATTGGGGGCATTTAGCCATTCACATTTAAGGTTAGCATTATGTGTGAATTTGATCCTGTCATCATGATGCTAGCTGGTTATTTTGCAGACTTGTTTATATGGTTGCTTCATAGTGTCAGTGGTCTGTGTACTTCAGTGTGTTTTTGTAGTGGCTGGTAATGGTTTTTCCTTTCTATATTTAGTGCTTCCTTCCTTCCTTGCAAGGTGCTCTTGCAAGACAGGCCTGGTGGTGATGCATTCTCTCAGCATTTGCTTGTCTGAAAAGAATCTTATTTCTCCTTTGCTTATGAAGCTTAGTTTGGCAAGATATGAAATTCTGGGTTGGAAATTTTTTTCTTTAAGAATGTTGAATATTGGCCCCCAATCTCTTCTGGCTTGTAGGGTTTCTGCGGAAAGGTTCACTGTTAGTCTGATGGACTTCCCTTTGAAGGTGACCTGGCCTTTCTCTCTGGCTGCCCTTAACATTTTTCTTTCATTTTGACCTTGGAGAATCTGATAATTATGTTTCTTGGGGTTGATCTTCTCATGGGGTATCTTAGTGGGGCTCTCTGCATTTCCTGAATTTGAATGTTGGCCTGTCTTGCTAGGTTGGGGAGTTCTCCTGGATGATATCCTGAAGGATGTTTTCCAACTTGATTCCATTCTGTCCATCTCTTTCAGGTATCCCAATCAGTTGTAGGTTCAGTTTTTTTTTTCCAAGATGGAGTTTCATTCTTACACCCAGGCTGGAGTGAAGTGGCGCAATCTCAGCTCGCTGCAATCTCTGCCCCCTGGGTTCAAGCGATTCTCCTGCCTCTGCCTCCTGAGTAGCTGGGATTACAAGCACCTGCCACCATGCTCAGCTAATTTTTGCATTTTTAGTAGAGATGGGGTTTCGCCATGTTGACCAGGCTGGTCTCGAACTCCTGACCTCAGGCAATCCACCCGCCTCAGTCTCTCAAAGTCCTAGGATTACAGGTGTGAGCCACCGTGCCTGGCTGGTTCAGTCTTTTTATATAATCCCATATTTCTCAGTTTTTATTTATTGCTTTTCTTTCTTTTTTCTCTATTCTTGTCTGCCTCTATTATTTCAGATAGATAGTCTTCAGGCTCTGAGATCCTTTCCTCTGCTTGGTCTATTCTGCTATTTATACTTGTGATTGCATTGTGAAGTTCTTGTGTTGTATTTTATAGCTCCTTCAGGTCAGTTATGTTCCTCTCTAAACTGGCTGCTCTGGTTGTCAGCTCCTGTGTTGTTTTATCATGATTCCTAGCTTCTTTGCATTGGGTTACAACATGCTCCTTTAGCTCAGCAAAGTTCATTATTACCCACCTTCTGAAGCTTCATCTCATCTGTCATCTCAGCCTCAGCCCAGTTCTGTGCACTTGCTGGAAAGGTATTGTGGTCATTTGGAGGAGAAGAAGCATTCTTGCTTTTTGAGTTTTCAGCATTTTTGCATTGATTTTTTTTCTCTTATTTGTGGGCTTATCTACCTTAGATTTTCTGTGGTTGCTGACCTTTGAGTGGGGTTTTTTGGTGGGGTTTTTGTTGTTGTTGTTTTCTATTTGTTTGTTTTTCTTTTAACAGGCCACTGACTGTTAGCACCTGTAGGACTGCTGTGGCTTTCTAGGGGTCCATTCCAGACCTTAGCTGCCTTGGCTTTTCCTGTAACTCTAGGTATCACCAGTGAAGGCTGCGAAACAGCAAAGCCCGCTTCTCTTCTGGAAGCTCCATCCCAGGGGGTACTGACCTGTTGCTGGCCTGAATGCTCCTGTAGGAGGTGTCTGGAGACCCCTGTTGGGAGGTCTCACCCAGTCAGGAGGAATGGGATCAGGGACCTGCTTACAGAATCAGTCTGGCTGCTTTTTGGTAGAGCAGGTGTGCTGTGTTGGTGGGGACCCTTCCTTGTCTGGACCACCTAGACTCTCCAGAGCTGGCAGGCTGGAACAGCTGAGTCAACTCAACTGCAGAGATGGTGGCCACCTCTCCCCATAGGAGCTCCATCCCAGGGAGAGATCGGAATTCTGTCCATATAAGCCTGGCTGGGGTGACTGAGGGCTCCCAGCAGGGAGGCCCCACCCAGTGAGGAGGAATGGATCAGGATCCTGCTTAAAGAAGCAGTCTGTCACGATCTGGCAAAGCAGGTGTGCTGCATAGAAGGGGACTAGTCCAGACTGCCTGGACTGTCCAGAGCTGGCAAGCTGAAATACTAGTTGACCAAACTGCAGAAATGGCAGCCACCCCTCCCCCCAGGTCCTGGAAACTCCCCCAGTCTCAGGCAGACTCCGCCTACTGCCACTGTGGCTGGAACTCCAAGCCAGCAGGTCCCAACTTGTGAGGTGCTGTGGAAGTGGGGCCTGCAGAATGATGCTGCTTGGCTCCCTGGATTCAGCCACCTTCCTAGGGGAATATACAGATGGATCTGCCCCCTTGTTGGGGATCCCGAGGCCAGAGTATGTAAAACTCCTGGGTCTCTGTGTGTGCTGGATTGCTGCTCTGCTGAGACTCCACACAGCTCTGTGCATTGAATCCAAGGCGCTGCTCATGTAGGCTCATGAGGGGATCTCGTCATCTGCAGGTTGCAAAGATCTGTGCGAGAAGTGTGGTTTCCCAGGCAGGGTCGCACAATCACTCACTGCCTCCCTTGTTTGGGGATGGGGGTTCCTTCGGCTCCATGTTGCTCCAGGTGGGCCCTCACCCCACCCTGCTTTTCTTCGCTCTCCATGGGTTGAGCTGATTGCTTAGTCAGTCCCAATGTGAGAACCTGGATATTTCAGTTGAAGGTGGTGAATTCACTTTGCTGCTCTCCTTCCTCAGCAGTGCTGTGACCGCAGCTGCCTGTAATTGGCCATCTTAAATGGTATCTTTAAACATTATATTTCTTTCTATGTTTTTCTGGTGTACAAAAATGTAATTCATTTTATATATTAATCTTATATCCAGTCACCTTCCTATATTCTGTTGTTATTTCTAAATAATTTGTATGTGGTTCTCTTTGCCTTCTACAAAAATAGGCAGTTATCATCTGTGACTAATGATGGTTTTGTGCCTTCTATTCCAATTATGAATGCTTTAAATTTCTATTTTTTAACATCACTCTGGCTAGAATCTTTAGTACATTGTGGAATAGAAGCAGTGTAGTGGTCATCCCTGTCTTTTTTTTGCAGATTTTAAGGGACTGCTTCTAATAGTTTCACCTTTAAGAATGATGTATACTGTAGGTTTTATTTAAAAAAAATACCTACACTTTATCTTGTTAAGGATATTCCCTTATATTCCCAGTGTGTTAAAAATGTAATCTGTCAAAATTTGAATTTTATAAAACTATTTTTTGCATCTGTTGGGATAATCACATGGCTTTTAAATTGTTATACGGTGAATTGTATTTGTAGGTTTTTCTCATTTTTACTCTTGCATTTCTGGGATAAAGTTGCTTATGCTAAATAATCTTTTTATACACTACTGAATTTAGTTTGCTAATATGCTGTATAAGATTTTTCTATCTACGTTTGTGAGTTAGATTGGCCAGTAGTTTTCATTTCTCATGCTCTCCTTATTTGGTTTGAGCACTAAGACTATATGGCCTCAAAGACTGAATTCAGGAATAGTCATTTCTAGTCTCTGGATGATTTCATATAAGATTGAAATGGTTTATTCCTTGAAGATTTGATTGAACTTTTCTGAAAATCATGTGGACTTGGTGTTTTCTGTTTTAGGAGATTGTTTCTACTTAGTAAACTTGTTTAATGACTTCCTATTCCTTCTTCTTCTTCTTTTTTTGAAATGGAGTCTCACTCTGTCATCCAGGCTGGAGTGCAGTGGCGTGATCTTGGCTGACTGCAACCTCTGCCCACTGGGTTCAAGCAATTCTCCCATCTCGGCCTCCTGAGTAGCTGGGATTACAGGCGTGCACCACTACGTCTGGCTAATTTTTGTATTTTTAGTAGAGATGGGGTTTCACCATGTTGGCCAGGCTGGTCTCAAACTCCTGACCTCATGATCTGCCTGCCTTGGCCTCCCAAAGTGCTGGGATTACAGGCATGAGCCACTGTGCCCAGCCCCTATTCTTTCTTTTTTCAAATTTTATTTTATTGTGGTAAAAGCACTTAACATGAAGTCTACTGTTTTAACATATTTTTAAGTGTATGATACGTTTTTGTTGACTATAGGTACAGTGTTGTATACTAGATCCCTAGAGCTTATTTCTTTTGCTTGACTGAAACTTTATGCCTGTTAATTACTAATTATCCATTTCACCTCCACCCAGGCCCTGGCAACCACTGTTCCACTATTGATTCTATAAATTTGACTATTTTAGATACTTCATATAAGTGGAGTCGTGAAGTATTTATCTTCCTGTGACTGGCTTTTTTCACTTGGCATAATGTCCTCAAGGTTCATCTATGTTGTGACATATTGCAGAATTTCCTTTTTTTAAAAGGCTGAATAGTATTCCATTGTATGCATATACTACATTTCAAAAAAATGTCTTCATCTGTCAACGTACATAAGATTGTTTTCACATCTTGGCTGTTGTGACTAGTGCTGCAATGAACATAGAGGTGCTAAGTGTTAATATCTCTTTGAGATCCTGATTTCAGTAATTTTGAATAAATATTCAAAAGTGGGATTAGTGGATCACATGGTAGTTCAATTTTTAATTTTAAAAGGAACATTCACTCTGTTTTGCATAGTGGCTGCACCATTTTGAATTCCCACTAATGGTGTGCAAGGGTTTCCTTTTCTCCATATCCTTGCCAACACTTATCTTTTGTTTTGATAATAGGCACCTGGCAGGTGTGATGTCATAGCTCATGTGGTTTTGATTTGCATTTTCATAATGATTAATGATGTTGAACATCTTTTCATAGACTTGTTGGCCATTTGTATGTCTTTGAAAAAATGTCTGTTTGGGGACTTTTACTATTTTTTTATTTTTTATTTTTTGTTATTGAGTTGTAGGAGTTCTTTATATATTTTGCATATTAACTGTTATCAAATGTATTTTTTACAAAGATTTTCTCCATTCCATAGGTTGCATTTTCATTTTGTTGATTGTTTCCTTTGCTGTGCAGAAAATGTGGTCTCCCTTATTTGTGTTTTTGTTTCTTGTGCTTTTGGTTTCAAATAAAAAAAAATCATTGTCCAGACCAATGGAACTTTGTCCCTATGTTTTCTTCTAAGAGTTTTACAGTTTCAGGTCTTATGTTTAAGTCTTTAGTCCATTTTGAATTGATTTTTGTGTATGGTGTAAGTTTTCCTAACATCATTTAATGAAGAGATTATCCTTTCCCCATTGTATATTCTTGGTGCCTTTGTTGGAAGTTAGTTGACTGTACGTGCAAGGGTTTAATTCTGGGCTCTCTATTCTGTTTCGTTGCCATATGTGTCTGTTTTTATGCTAGTACCATACTGTTTGGATTACTGTAGTTTGCAATATAGTTTAAAATCATGACGTGTGATGCTTCCAGCTTTGTCCTTTTTGCTCAGAATTTCTTTAGCTATTCAGTGTCTTTTGTGGCTCACATGAATTTTAGGATTGTTTTTTCTATTTCTGTGAAAATATCTTTGGAATTTTGTTAGAGATTGCATTGAATCTGTGGAGTAATTTAAGCATTATGAACATTTTAACAATATTAATTTCTCCAACTCATGAACATGGGATATCTTTTCATTTTTTGTGTGTCATCTATACTTTCTTTTATCAATATTCTATAGTTTTTAGTGTACAGATCCTTCACCTCTTTGGTTATATTTACTCCTATTTTATTCTTTTTGATGCTATTGTAAATGGGATTATTTTTCTTGATTTCTTTTATGGATAGTTTGTAGTTAGTGTAGAGAAATTCAACTAATTTTTGTATATTGATGATTTTATCCTGCACTTTTATTGAATTTATTAATTCTAACAGTTATTTTTGTTATCAAGTCTTTAGAGTTTTGTATACATAAGATGCTATCTGTAAACAGAGACAATTTTCCTATTGGAAAATTTCCTGTTGGATGCCTTTTATTTGTTCTTCTTGCCTAATCTTTCTGGATAGGATTTCAAGTATTTTGTTGAATAGAAGCGGTGAGAGTAGGCATCCTTGTCTTATTCCTGATCTTAGAGGCAAAGCTTTCAGCTTTTCATCATTGAGTATGATGTTAGCTATGGGCTTGTTATACATGGCCTTTGTTATATAGAGATACGTGGCTTGTATACCTAATTCGTTGAGAGCTTTTATTATGAAAAAAATGTTGAATTTTTCTCAAGTGCTTTTTCTTTCTTTCTTTCTTTTTTTTTCTTTTGGAGACAAAGTTTTACTCTTTCATCCAGGCTGGAGTGAAGTAGCATGATCTCGGCTCACTGCAACATCCACCCCCTGGATTCAAGCAATTCCCCTGCCTCAATATTTTAGCATTTTATCCTTTCTCATCTCATTAAAAGGTACTTACTTATTGAGCTCCTGCTATATTTCAGTAACTATTCTCAATGTTGGGTATATAGAAATGAATTAAAGTTTTGTCCTCAAAAGTTGTATACGAGTCTTGGCTGCAAGGCTGGGAAGCAGAACCCATGAACAAACAAGATTTCACCTTCAAAATTGTAAATTCCATTCCTAACACAGCCAAACCCACCTTTCCCAGCAAACCTAAAATTATGTTGGATTGTTGACTAAGCACTTATAGGAGGCAGTGACAGAGTACAAGAGTGCTCTCCAAAGGGCCATAGTCTTCATATTTATCTTCTTCCCAGGTGACAGCAAGAAAAAGTGACTCTTTTTTCATTGTGTCTCCCAAGTATCCTTATTGACTTGGTATAGCCCCTACTGAACTACTGATCTTTCACCATCTCTGCTGGGATGGACTGAGAAGAGAACTCCCAGCAAGAATTTGCAAGATATCCATAAGCATTGTTATTTTTTGAACAGTTTTATTCTGGCTTCATTGTGGCCAAATTCTTGTCTCTTAGCTTTTCATCTTTATTCACTCCCCTGGGGAAGAGTTGGACCTATCTATTAGAGCATCTTTTCCAAGATTCCCCATGCCTGTCACTTGTTCTTAATAAACTAAATAAACTCATGATTGGCTGAAACATCCCTTCAAGATTTCATCCTGGAGGGTCAGCCTGTCCTGTGTGGTTGTGTGTCAGGTACTTTCCAGTCCAGCCATGTTCCCTTCAAAGCAAGTTGATACTGCTGAGTTACTGGTTATTTAATTAAGCCTCCCAACCACCAGACTACAATCAAGAACTTAGTATCACAAATTACGTAAGGTAAGTGGTGTTATCTCTATTTTAAGCATGAAAAATTCAAGTTTTGAAGAATTTAGATGATGTGCCATAGTAGCACAACTATGGTTAAGTGAGAAGTCATGGTGTATAGATTATATTCACTGATGAAGGGGTGAAAATCCATTTTTCTTCTTCCTTAATGCCATTCCTTATATCTCACCCTTTGCAGTAAGTCCTCAAAATGTTAACAATAATCATAACCATTCATATTTCTGTCACAGTGCGTACAACATATTTTTATGCATATTATATTGTTTAATCTTTTTGTACAGTCTTGTGAAAATGAAGAACAATTGCTTATGCTGTTTTCCTAATGAGGAACACAAGGCTCACTGGTACAGAGTTGGAAGGAATGGAGGCAAGCAGAGAAAGGCCCAGGCTTTGTGGAGCTTGATGCTTGTATAATTATGGATACCTTGTTTTAGAAAAATAATGCAGAACTACTAATACAAAATTAGACACGTAAGTGAATATTTATTTGAAATGAAAAAGAAATTGCAACAAATTACAAACTTAACAAAAGCTTACGAATATATCAAATATCATGAATCCCAGGAAAATAACACTTTATTATTATTATTTTAAATACCTTTATAATACCTTTTTAATATTT